>NC_000005.10:156367384-156670414 GCF_000001405.40 Homo sapiens
AACAACAACCTTAAGAGGTATATGTTTTCCAAACCTTGAGAGGAAAGGGTAGGAAATTGTTATTCAAAAATAATAGGCAGAAAGCACAAAACAGAGAAGCAAGCTTGAAGTGTATTCAGATTCATTTTTTTAAAAGGCTCAATCTATGTGTTAATTCTAACCTAGAATCAGTCATGTAGTTTTGCAACATATTGGAACATACGGAACAACATTTAGCTGTAGATCTTTGACCCTGAAGGGATGTTGACAATCTACACCATTCCCTCCTACAGTATGGAAGCTCCCCTCTGACTTATTCCATGTGGCAGCCCTGTGGAATGGTCCTAACCACAGCCAGACGGGGAGTTAGCATTAGGCCCAGCTGTGGCTCAGCCTCGCTGATGACTATGCCTGCTGCTTTCAACTGTGGTTGTGTTGTAAGCTAGGTGGTTGTTGGAGGTGCCGCACAAGCTTGGTGACACAGCATGAACATTGTGCCAGGATAAATGTCATGACTATTTGAGCTAGGTTTGACCTTCAGCAATGTTGTGAAATCTGTGCCCTTATGTAGAAACTATTTGTTCATAGTTTCTCAGCATTTTCAATATATTTTTTAATTGAGGAGCTTTCCAAAACATACTAAAACCTATCCTAGCCTTTACCCTTCCAAAAACTGGAGTGCTTCTTCAGTATCTTTAGCTTAAACAGTCTGTATTCACGCTTGCTTTTTTTTTTTCTTTTTTTCGAGACGAAATCTCACTCTTGTCACCCAGGCTGTAGCGCAGTGGCACGATCTCGGCTCACTGCAACCTCTGCCTCCCGGGTTCAAGCAATTCTCTGCTTTAGCCTCCTGAGTAGCTGGGATTACAGGCGCCTGCCACCATACCCAGCTAATTTTTTTGTATTTTTAGTAGCGACCGAGTTTCACCATCTTGGCCAGGCTGATCTTGAACTCCTGACTACATGATCCACCCACCTCGGCCTTCCAAAGTGCTGGGATTACAGGCGTGAGCCACTGCGCCTGGCCTGTACTCATGCTTTTTAGCACATAATTGTGGTTATTATTTTCTATCTTATGACATGAAATGTCTCTTCCAGAAGAAACCTCTACCGTAGGAAGCAAGAAGACAGGATTTTTTTGTTACTTGCAGTACATTTCTTATTCTGTCAAGGCTTCTGTAGCTTCATTTTTTTAAATGGCAGTACTTCTGGACCGTAGACCAGTACTGGCTAGCAAGCAAAGCTTCATCTGTATTTACAGCCACTCTCCATCACTTGCATTACCACCTGAGCTCCATCTCCTGTCAAAAGCGTGGTGGCATTAGATTCTCACAGGAGCACAAACCCTGTTGTGAACTGCACACATGAGGGATCTAGGTTGTGCACTCCTTATGAGAATCTAATGCCCGATGATCTGTCACTGTCTCTCATCACCCCCAGATTGGACTGTATGGTTGCAGGAAAACAAGCTCAGGGCTCCCACTGATTCTACATTATGCTGAATTGTATAACTATTTCATTATATATTGCAATGTAAAAATAATAGAAAAAAAGTGCACAATAAATGTAATGCACTTGAATCATCCTGAAACCATCCCCTGCAAAACTAGTCCCTCGTATCAAAAAGGTTGGGGACCGCTGCTCTATATGCTTGAAGGCAGTGAGGTACACCAGATGATTCCCTGTAATTCTCTGCAGCTCTGAGATCTATAAGTGTCTGTGGAAGCCTGTGTGTATGAGACAGAGGGTTTAAGCTTAATAGAAAAGGTAACATAACACATTATTAATCTCTTCATGGCAAGGGCCACAAAACCATGATTTTTTTTCACCTACCCCAGTGCTTAGAACTGAGTAGTGAACATAGTTGATACTCCATAAGGACTTTTGTTTGCAGTGTTGTTTTTCTTTATGTCCCTTAAGTGTACCAGGAGCAAGGTGAAGAGGAATTTGGGGGCTTTGGATTAGGAGTCAAGACATCCCACTGGCAAACCTGCATCTAATGTGGCCTGAAACAATCCACTTAGAGTTCTCTGGTTAAATTTCCTCATTTTTGAAACCAAAGTCTTGGATTAGATTGGGGTTATAGACTAATAGTTGGCCAGTTTGTCTAGCAGAAGTGTATTATTAGACCTGCAGGGCGTTGAATATGTTTTGGTTGCTGTTAATTTGAAAGCCATTAAAGGAGGTGCATGTGCCTTGCATTTCACTATGGTGCTTGCCACTCCCTATTGGATAATCCAAGTCTATTCCACTCATCTACATTTCCCTTACTAGCTTTTAGAGGCATTTGATAGTAATTAAGAAAGGTAGGGGAGAGAGTTAGATTTTAAATCTAAATTTAGCTCTTCTGCTTTGCAAACTCCGGACAGTCAGTGTGCAGAGGTTTGTGGGATTTTTTTAATAGACATTGGGGGTTTAAAACCATTTGACTAATTAGAATGGATTGATGTGGGAAAAAATGTCAACCTAGGAAGGCACACCAGAGAAATTCCAAATGGGGTTTAAAATGGAAATAGAAAAGTTGAATCAGGCTACTTGTTTTCAGGTGCTTTCTCTTCACAGTCATTAGTTTGATCTGAACTACATCAAAATGGCCTTAATGGCCCTAGTCACAAGAGCTATTACAGGTTGTCTAACTTGGTTAAATTCTTTTCTGCTCTAAATTGTTAATGATTCAGCATTTCATGGCTTGAGTCAGGTGTTCTCAGTGGGCACCCTCCATAAAGGTCAGTTGCTTTCCAGATATCAGCATCCAAGTTTAAGGTCGCAGATTCTGCTCAGTGACCTTGAGAGAATAATACTTTATTACGCACAGGCTCAGAAAGCACAGTTTCATGGAGGGAGACCTCTGGTTGGCAATGACAGGAAAAGCAAAGAGGCTGATGAAAAAACAGAGTGCCAAGAAGGCAGGGGTGTGGGATTGAGGACAGCTCTCCAACAGGCGATACATGTTGCTGTGGAAGAGGGAGGAGAATTCCCTGTATACCAAACACAGTTAAGAGCTTCACATCACATCTTACCTGTCTCATCCTCTCAGGAGGCCAGGAAGTAAACACTATCATCACAAGGTCACAGATGAGGAAACTGAGACTTGGAAAGGTGAGGTAACTTGCCCATGTAAGAGCATTTTCAGAGTTTGTACATGAAATATTTCATGAAGGGCCTATTACTATTCTCTGCACACTGGTGTCTGATGAATGATTTATGTGCTTTATTCGTTTATGATGATATTATGGTGTCTGAAAATACATTTCTAGTAAACGTTGACATAAGAACCCTTTTGTCACCTGCATGGGATTGTCAGTATGAAATTTACAAGACTGAAACATACACATTCCAAGAGGGAGTGTGGTGGATGCATGACAGTTTTTTTACGGAGTTGATAGAGATCATTTCATGACATTAATAGGAGCAAAAAAACAAAAAGTAGAGGGGAGATTTTGAGGACAAACAGAACATCGGTGAGTAAGTGGAATATTAGGGCAGTCGGCAAAGAAATATACATTTAAAAATAATTGGCTTCAAATTTCTAAGATTCTGTGGGAGGCTGAGGGAGGAATTACTATATTTTTTTATTTGCAAACCAGCAAGTAGATGATTTGTGTACTGGAAGGGGGAAAAAAAAACAGTGATGTTTTTCTCCCCTTATGGCATATAGTTACCAGCCTAGGTTTCTATTTTTACTCTACCCTAGTCCCTGTGCATGATTTTCCCTTATTTAGAAAACTTGCAACTACAAATGTATTGAATTCATTTTCTTACCTTTCTGCTAAATATAGAGAACAATACCTATATTTTCATGCCTAGGGATTATTTTAAGCAGAATTGAGACCAATTGAAGCAGTCCTTATGTTTGTATCATGAAAACCAATTGTTTTGGTTTTTGAGTTTTTTATTATTTTAATCCACTCTGGAAGATGTTTCTCTTTAGGAGTAATTTTTTGTATTACAAATTGAGCAAATCTTTAAGGTTCTCTTCTACAGAGACAAATCTAGTGGTTTTAGGATTGATGAAGGAAACTCTGGGAATTCCTTTCATGATACTTGTAAGGAGTGAAAAAACAAGGAGAAAAAATTGTAAGTCTAGTAGTTGATTGGAAAAAGTTAAAGTTTCCTCTTGGAGACCATGTCTAAGTATGATAGGAGCTACAGGCAGGAGAGAAGGAGAGAAAGGACCGAGTGTCAGAAATGTGCCACCCCTGGAATTGTTCCATCAGAGAGGTGAGAAGTAAGCCCGGAATCAAAATGTGAGTCTTTTCCTTGATCATCAGCAAACTGCCTTTAGAACCACGTTTGTGATACTGACAAACTTACTGTAGTTTCAGGGCAGCTTGATTACAGAGACTTTGAGTTGTCCATTAGACTTGTCACACTGTCCAATAAATGTTCCCCCATCGTCATTAGGAAGATATATTCAGTGCCCCATGATATGCTCCGTCTAATCTCCATGCCTTTGGGCCTGATGGTTTATAGCACATCTTTGTCTTTTAAGTAACAGAAGACACAAGACATGTTGACTACACTAACGTGTCTTTTATATGTTAAATTTGGACTTTTGTGTAGCAACTAACATGTCAGAGCTATTGTACATTGACCGATATTCCATGTCTCCATCAGGGTTTATGCCATCACTCTAAAAAGGCACTGCATTTCCCTTAGTTCTCTTATTTTAAAAACTGGAAAAATCAAGCTATGATGAAAAGCAGAGGTCTCAAGACAATTGAGGCAATGTAGGACATAAGTGAATTGACAGTGGTGAATTTGCAGTTTCTACCAGGCCCTCTTTGGACCTCAGCTAGTTAATTGTGTGAAATTATAATGGAAAAGAGCAAAATTAAAAAACATGGCAAGAGGCAGGAAACATATCACTGAATATTATCTAAGAGGTATGGTATCGTGGGATTTATGTTTTATAGCACCTTTATATGTGTTAATCCATTATTTGACTTGCATATTTTACTTTGGTGCAGCTTTTCACAGATATGTGATGCAATAAGAGATGGCCTGTAGTCATCAACAATGGGTAGCTTTACTATTCTCACCTGTAATCTTAGCACTCTCCAGTCCATTAAGAAGCCATCAACCATGGCTCGTTTGAATTTACTTTCTCCAAGAAGTAGTCTTCATTTGGGCTTAGATTTCACCTCATCCTCCCTTTGGGCTGCTTTAAAATTATAGGAGCACATATAATCACACTTAACATTTACTTGTAGATAACTTTGTATATATATATATATCTTCCTCCATCAACCAAAATATTTGTTCCTTGAAGGCAGGGCTAGCAATTTATTCAGAATACTTTGAGGAAACATGGGCTATTTTAGCTAGTTACCTTGGAACAGTGGACATAGCTTTGCCTCCTACAAATTAGACATTTTGAAGCTTTTAAAACTGCATTCAGCATTCCCTCAGCATACTGATTCCTTTCAGCTTGCTGCTACCCATTGGGTGCTAAAATTTTTTGTTCTAAATACATGTCTTTCAGGATCAAGGAGCTTTGAATATGGGTTTTGTATTTTCCTTTTATATTCTCTTCAGGTCTTTCTAGGTGACAATCATGTACTCCTTTGCCTTTGTGTTTCCACCCTGAGATGCCATAATGAAGATGGCATTTCTCTACATTTAAGGTGTAGAGAAATGTAGTGATTTGTGTCTTCTTTCATACCACCCCAGAGAGATGGAATGGCCATTCTTGATCATCAGAGGTATTTGGTGTTTAAATATGCCATTAAGAGTTGCTCATAATTTAGCTGTCCAGACATTAGAGTAGGTTTCATTTGTGCTCGTGTTAGCATTCATGTCTTTTAGATAATTTACAGAAGAGTGTAATTTTCTCTAAAAAGATATCTGTAAGGGGGAACACTTACCAATCCAATTACATTTTCGACTTCTTCTTTTTCTGTACTCTCCAATAATTTTGCTGGACTTTTCAAGAAAAACAGGATCTCATATTTTTGTATATGTCTTCAGTCAATGCTAATTTTAGTTTTAATGTTCCCTCTTTGGTATCTCCTATTGATTTGGTAAGCGTTACCTTTAATCACTTAAAAGTAAGTAATGCAATGAGACCGCCCAAGGCTAACCTATATTTGGAAAAATCGCTACATTTAAGAATTAATTTAACAACAGTCTATTACACATTTTACTTTGGAAATTCACCAGGATTCTTTCCTTCTCTGTGAAAGCATTTATTACCCAGAAGAAATTAGGCCTAATTTTAGAGAATGCCACTGTGAGCCAAACTGCCTTACATTTCCAGAAATCTCCATGACTCTGACTTTAATAATAATGTTTAAAATTCACAGAATTTCAGTGCTAAGAGAAAATGAACGGATAGCAATTGTAATTAGAATACTACCACCTAACTTAAGATATTTTGAAGCCATTTAAACAGTAAAATGAGGCACAGACCAAGGGCTGTTGCTAGCTCAGGCCAAGAGGGTGTGACATAGTGGCATGGATAATTTTGTTTGGGTTTGTATTATGTTTGGATCCACATCACCCAGTGGTCAGCATGGAGGGCTTGATATGGAAAGACCAACCAGACTGTGCTGTGTGGGTGACGAAATAGAAACAAAGACCTTAGATGCCTCTTTCATGTTACTTTGCTGAGAAGAAGAGTAGAGAAATGAAACAGCAGTTGAAGGGGCGGGAGTGGAGTCAACGGACATTTTATTTTATTTTTTCGTGATAAGCAGTAACTCGGATAAAAATGGTGCAGTTTGGAGAGAGATTAATAATGCTACAGAGAGGGAAACTTCAGAGCTAAGAAAATGTTCAAAATACAAAAAAAAAAAAAATGCATGGCAATATCCTTAGTGTTAAAATTGCTCATTTCACTCTCTAGCCTAAAATATATTTTTGATTTAAGGACTTTTCTTACCCAAAACCTGTGCCACAGAAAATACCTGTGAAACAAGCTCACTCATGCCTGGCTTGATCACAATAACTAGGGTTTTTAGATCTTCCAAGCTGTGGAGAAAGTAACACGTGACCAACTATAGCATAACGCAAAAGTAATCTGTGGAGTCATTACTGCCAGTCAGCTTCACATGGGAGCAAAACATTAATAGTTTTCTTGGTCATCAGCTATTGAGTTTTCAGTTGCTCTTCTCCAAGAGCAACAGAAACCTAGCAAATTGGGCATTTTATTTTTCAGCACTCAACCTATTCGTTGATGGAAGAAAAAAAATTGATTGATTTTTGCTAAAAAACAAAGCAAATTTGAAAGAAAAAGTCTCAATTGTTTCTTGGAGCAGAAGCTTCCTGCATGAATAAACAATACAAAGCAACCCTGTCTTTTTTTTTTTTTTTTTGAGACGGAGTCTTGCTCTGTTGCCCAGGCTGGAGTGCAGTGGTGCGATCTTGGCTCACTGCAAGCTCCGCCTCCCAGGTTCACGCCATTCTCCCAAAGCAACACTGTCTTTTTGCCCCTGACATGCTGACAGCATACCAACACTCCAGCCGTGGTGTGAGGCAGCCTGAGTCAAAGCTCGCAGTCTCGCTAGTGTCATTCAGCTCTGAGAATAGCAATTTTAAATAAACATTTGTGACATGTTCGAAATGAAACACAAGCAAAATGAATATCAAACCTACTTACTATAGAACATCACTCTTCACAGTCTTTTTTGTTTTGCGTGTGTGTGTAAAATTTCAGATTTACCAAAAAATTGCAAGAGTAGTAAAAGAAACTTTTGAAGATCCTTTTCCAAGATTCACCAGTTATTTACATTTCACTTCATTTGCTTATTCTCCCCACTCCTTCCCTTTCCTTCTCTCTGTCAACCTCTCTCTTTCCCTCTCCTTCCGATTTTTTCCGTCTGCTTCCCCATATGTGCTTTTTAAAAAACGATCTGAAGGTAATTTGCTTTTAAATACTTCAATGTGTATTTCCTAAGAACAGTAATGTTCTCTTACATAAGCATAGTACAATAATAAAATCTCAGGACACTTAAAATTGCTGTAATTCTATTATCTGATCCACAGTCCATTTTCAGATTTTGTCAGTTGCCCCAGTAATATCCTTCACAGCTTTTTTTTTTTTTTTTTTTTTTAAAGAGTACTTGTTGAAGCATTAATGGTGCTACCTATGGTCTTGTGGTCTGGCTCCTTATAAAGACAGTGGGAAAATGTGAGAGTGAGAAGGATGGTCACCCATGTGTAATATTAATCTCCAGACTATAGCTGTGCTGTGTGATCATTTCCAAAGTGTGCCCCATTAAATGATTGTTTCAAGAAATGCCGTGGAAAATAAAGATGTTTTGTTCAAAGCTGAGGAAAAGCTTAAACAATTCTTTCCCCATGCTCACTGCATTCACTCCTTGAAGATGTACAAGAGTGCATTGGCTTATAAAAGCATCTGAACGTTTATGTATTTATGCCATAAGGAGACTGTATTATTTTTTAACTCAAATTCTCTAAGTTAATTGACTATAGCGCATCCTACTGAAGCCCTCATCTACCTATACAGAGTTTATTTTGGAAACTCTGCTATATTTTTACAGTATTTATTTTGCTTTAAAATTTTCTCTTTTATTTATTTTTATTAAAATTGTGAGCTAGTCAACCTTTTAAAACATTGAAAATGACTGACATTTTATGACAAAAATGTAAGATCTACATTATTGATTTATCGTATATGTACAGTTATAGATAGAAGATCAGTGACTTCATATCAGTGCTTAACCGTGTGAGGCAAACACTAGATTCTGTAACAGGCAAATCTATGTCAGCAGTTTAACAAAATAGTTTGTTGCTCACTCACCTGGAAACAGTGGCTGCCTGGGATGAAAGCTCTGCTCAGTTACTCAAGAACCCAGTCTAAAGGAGGTTTTGCCATTTTTATTGCAATGGCTCCCCATATCATCTTGGGTGTTAACATCCACACAGCAAACATAGAGTGAGAGAACACAAAGAATTGTAGGGGAAATTTGTATGGGACTAGCCAGTGTCATTTACATGTACATCTGTTGACAAGATTTCACCCACAACGTCATGACTGATGGAAGAGGGGCTAGGAAGTGCTAACCCTGGTTGGGTAACTGCTTTAAGTAGCAGCTTCAAAATATGAAAGGTGAACATAAATTTTTGATGAACTAATCTCCAGAAGTCTATAATCATGCATATGTAATTTACAAGTTTAACTTTGATATTTTGTTAATCATATGTTATCTCACATTGACCCTAATGAGATTGGGAAGGCAAGATAAATATACCCATTTACAAATGGAGCAGCTGAATCTGACTTTTAGGTGATCAGAGTAGAATAAAATGGTTTATGTGCATCAGATTTTTTTTTATTGGTTACTAATCAAGTATCTTTGTGTTTTTCAAAAGTATTTTAGCCTTAATTATACTTTTTAGGAGAAAATTATACTTTTAGGAGAGGAAGTTTATTGAACTTGCCATAGTCTCCAAATTTACCAGGGAATTAACAAAAGTGGCCCAAGGTGCTCTCTATTAAAATAATTTAATACAAATAGAATTTTTAAAAGATATAATTTCCATTTGTTGACAGTGGTGAAAACAGGAAGTTTGTGTCTGTTGATTCTGGGGTTTCACTTTGAGTACCATGGCTAAGTAACAGATGAGAGCCAAAATTAATCATCAATAAAAAAAATGACTAAAAATATAAAGCATGCCTCTTCAACAGTTTTTCATAAGATATAAATATCTTGAAACCACTAAAATGAAAATAAAACATTACAGAGAAAAAAAAGTCATGTAAAATCCCAAACCTCTATTTTAAAAAATAAATCAGTGTTATGAGGATAATGAACTTAATACTTACTATTTAATTAAACTTTAAGCTAATTAGTCTAATTAATTCATCTGATAAGCATCTTAATATTGCCAGCATTAAGCTGAATCTTCTAGAATGTGGTTTTAAATTTGGAGGGAGTAATTTAATGATGCTTAATATTGGTTGTTTACACTGCAAAATAAATTTGATATGTTAATGGATGCCCAACTCCCATCGCATTATAAAATTTATGTTGATTCTCACTGCTTCTATCCTGCAGGCTAGCCTATTCAGTATTCTCACAACACACTATGTTTTCTTATTAGAGCAAATATCACAGCCAAAAAAGTAATGATTTGTTATAATTTATGTAATATATGCCTTTATTCTCTAAATAATGTTAAGCTCCATGAAAGCAAGAATTGTTTCTGTCTTGGTCACTGCTGAATTCAGAGAGCCTAGTGCACGACAGGCTTTCAGTAGACAATGGAGTACATGAATGGATGTCCTCACTGAAAATAAAGCCAGCAGTGCACTTAGAGATGGGAATGGTGTGTACTGGTGGGTTCCAGCATTCAAGATCAGTAAAATGTAGGCTAAAACACACACTCTTTACTACCAATAATGTCCATTAGGTACCCCCATTCTTGGCTATACCATTTTTTAAGTAAAATGGATAGAGTTAATTATGTTGTTTCTGGTGTTGCATTTTCCATTAATTGCACATTGATCTCATGAATATGAAATCTCTGGTATGAGAAAAACTCAAGGTCTATGGATTGTGTTTGTTATCCATTGCTATTTAACATAGTGGTTTGAAACAACAATCATGCTTATTAACTTCCACACAAATATTTTTATTTCTCCTATGATTTAGCAATTTCACTTCTGGGTATAGATCCCAAAGAAGTGAAATCGGGGATTGAGGCAGATATTTGTTCACTAGTGTTCATCGTAGCATTATTCTCACTAGACAGAAGGTAGAGCAACCCAAGCATCCATTGACAGATGAATGGATAAATAAAATGTGGTATAGACATACAATGACATGTTATTCAGCCTTAAAAAGTAAATTCTGACCTGTTTTGCAACATGGACAAAACTTGAATATTTTATGCTAAGTGAAATCAGTCATTTACAAAACTCAAATGCTGTATGATTCCCCGTGTGTGAGATAGTTAAAGCAGTCACATTGCTAGAGAAGGAAAGTAGAAAGATGGTTGCCAAGGGGTGAGGGGACTGGAGAGTTATTGCTTAATGATACAGAGTTTCAGTTTTGCAGGATAAAGGTTCTGAAAATAGATGGGGATGCTTTCACAGCAGTGTGAATGTTCTTAATACTATTGAACTACACACTTTAAAAGGTTAAGATGGTTAGTTTTATGTTGTGTATTTTACCACAGTTTAATAAATGTTTTCCGTGTTGTGTCTAGCATTTTATAATTCCCCCCACCTATACAGACCCCTGCAATCTCATGACCATCAATAAGCTCCCAGTATGTTTACTTTCTGATATAAGCCAACTTTTGTTTTCAAAAAAGACTTTTCCTACCATTTTCCCATCACTCAACCTAAACAAAATAATCAGTCCTTTTAGAATTTTTTTCAATTTTTGTCACTGGTGGTGAGCTATTAGTTTATTTTCTCTTGTCACATGTAAAAGGCAATATAATTCTATTCAGCTTACCAACAGTGAATAAAATAAGAGTTAGTATGTGGACAAAATGTATAGAGTTCTGTATAGGTTAAAAATAATTTTAAAAATGTATATTGCATATGATAAAATATAGATAATTCTAAAGTATAAAATCACCATCCCAGATACTGCCTTTTATGATGAATCACTTTTTAATCCATTCAGTCATTGAATGTCTACCATGTGCTAAATGTTTGCATCTACTTCCATTTCATCTACTTATGTACTCACAAACCTATTCATAATTCACTTTATTCATTTATTCTTTTAACAATTATTGAAAGTACCTATCAGATGCCAATTATTCTAGGTTCCAAAGATGCAAAATAAAAATAAAAAATATCTGCCATAAAGCTTGCATTCTAATGTGGAATCTGACATTAAACAAGATAAAAAGGAAAATACCTATATTTCAGACAGTGATAATTGCTAAGGAGGAAAAATAAGTCATAGATGGAGGTTAGAAAATGTCATTGGAGGATTAGAGTTGAAAGTTTAGATAGTCCAAGAAAAGCCTCACATAGGATACTGAGTAAATATCTGCAATAAGTAGAGGAGTTATGCATGCACATGTCTGGGCAGAGAGGATCAGAGGGAGCAGCATGTGCAAATTCCTGAGGAACACGCCATATGGATGGTGTGTTCAAGAAACAGAAAGAAGTGTCCTTCTGTGTGGCTGAAGCACTATGATGACAGGATAGAGTAGTAGGGACTAGATCATGGAGTGTCTGTAAATCAGAACAAGTTTGGAACTTTAATTTTTAGTGACAGAGGAAGCCACTTCCTAATCAGAAAAGCAGTGATTATAGTTTTTATTTAAAGCATCTGTCTGGCTGCTGTAATGAGAATACACAGCAGAAGGGGAGAGGGGAGAAGGAAGGGGATGAGGTAGAACACTATTACAATAATCCAGGCTCACAGAGTGGCTTGGACCAAAGTGACGGTGAAGTAGAGAGGGTAGTATTTTTAAAGGAGAGTTAGTAGAATTTTCTGCTGGATAGAATGTTGATTGTGAGAAAAGGAGAAATCCAGGATAACACCAGTCTTTTGACTTTGAAGATTCCTTCAGAATTGTTCAGAAAACTCTCTTAGGAAAAAAGAAAAAGCAAAAAATTTGACTGCAAATGAGAAATAGCCCACTCTTTGGATTTGTTTTATGCTGAGTGTATCTGTTGTTTAGCATTATTTTCCTGTGTTCGAATAAGAACAAAGAATTCCAAAGTGTGGGCTCCCCCAGGTCTAGAGCCCATTCAAGGCACAGCGTTTGTGGTCTTGGGTGTTTCCTAGAGTTCTTGGTGGTTGAGTCTTGAACCCTACCCTTTAATTTTCTGTTCTTGGTTGAAATGATCATTGCAAACATCTGATTTAGATTATTTTTCCAGGCTCTTTTAAGCTCATCTGTGTTCCCTCTGGGTCTCAGAGAATTGCTGCAGTAACAAAGAAACAAGTTAATGTACTGCACACCTTACCAAAGCCAAAGGAGACGTTGAAATGCTATACTACTTAACCAAATCTCAGAGAACCCTCACTTGATGAATACATAGTTTGTGTTTTGTATATCTTTTGCTTATTTGAAAAATGTAAATACAACCTTCCTCCTACAACAGAAGGGGTTGACTAGGCAGAATTTACAAAAGCTGGAGGAGCAAGCACAGTTTTCAAGCACGTATTCATTCTCTCATTCACTCATTCAAAGAAAATCTTAGCAAATGACTTGCATGAGGCATTGTGACTTACAAGGCTAGCAGGTGGTTTCACTTGTGTTTAGAAGTAGTGATGCCTGAGTGGCAGATATTTAGAACGTGGCTTGGAGGTTAAGACTGATGTAGGTTAGACACCATTTCAGCAACTTCCTAGCCATGTGATATTAAATATGTCTGTAAACTCTGAAGTTTGGTTTGCTCATCTGTAAAATGGGGATAGTGGTACTAATCTCTCAAGATTTTTTTGTGTGAAGCAAGAGAATTGATATCAAGTGTGTAGTGCAGAGCCCAGAGATGTATATAGGCAGGCTGTGGTTTGCATTTTAATTTGAATTATAGGCAAAGCCAAGGCATGGGATGTGATGATACATCTTTTTCTCTCGTAAGTCGAGTAGAAGATGTATGCTTTTCCAGGCATTGTGTGCATGGTGGTAGCATCAGAGTTTGAGACACCGTTTCAGTAACTTAGGAAACAGAATAAATTGAGAGTAAATGATGAAATTCTCCAAGAAGTCTCTCTCATTCCTCTCCCATGACATCAGCTGAAAATAATGGCAATTGAGAAATCAAAGACAAAAACATCTCAGGAAGAAATGAGTTGGAGGTATCAAAGGAAGCCAGGGTGGAGGCCAAGGTAATCAGGCTTGTGAATTGCCTGCTGCATTCTAGCAGTTCTGAGGCTCTTTAAATAAAAGGAATGAGGGTTATGAAGTGAGAAAATGGGGCTGCTGCAAAGCAAGCTTGCTTGAGCACTCCTTATCATTATGTGTTCATTCTGGAAAAAGAAAACAACTCACAGATAAAAGGAAACGTAAGGCTGCTGATGCAGAGAATGGGTGTCCTCTGCGAATCCTAATCAAGTTGGAATACCATTTTTCATTCTTGGCAAGGAAAATCAAATTGGTCTTTTATACAGAATACGAATCTCGAGCTCTACCCTGGGGATGGTAGTTTGGGGAGCTGGGCACAGGGGCATGGCAGAAGCTTTTTGTTATCATTCATCCATAAGCATTATATTCCAATATAAATGTAGTACTTTGTTCTACTAGGTAAATGTCCTCATGTAAACATACATGTGCATATTTATAAAATTAATCATTATGCATTTTATATTTCTATATGACACATATAGTTGAGCCATCAGTGTCTGTGTTAAAAGGTACACTTTAATATAGAAGTCATAAAAGCATAGCATTTTAAAGCTGAAAGTGATCTTTAAAGGGTTTGGTACACAGCAGAAAGGGAGTATAAGGCAGTAGTATGATTGGAAGCTCTAGGGACAGTCCGCTCAAAGCTGGGGTTCAGCTCCAACATTTAAGCCTCTGTGAACTTGAGTAAGTTACTGAAACCCTCCTTGCCTTAGTTTTCTCATCCATAAAAATGGGATAATAATAGTATATTCCTCCTATGGGTGTTAGATTGAATGATATAATCTGTGTAAATCACTTAACACATAGTAAGTGGTCAATGTATGTTTTTATTATTATCATAAACATAATTTTTACATTATCATCTTTAATTCCCACAAGTTGTTGAAGTATGTATGGTTTTATCCTTATTTTATGGCTGCTCAACCAAAGGCCCAGGAATGTTAAATTCCATAAGTAATAACAGTGGAAGCAGGAATCAAACCCAGGTTTTGGAAACTCATTCCAAAACCCATACTCTCAGGCCACACAGTGCTCATAGGTCCCTCTCCACATATTTAATCAATGCCTCTTAGATGGTCACCTGGCACATCATCATGTCCTTCTCTGCCCTAAACACTCCCCTGCTGAAAGAAGCCAGCGAGAATATGTGAAATTGCTTTGCAGACTTCAAAGACCTGTAGAAGCTCACTCATGTTACTGTCCATAAGGAATAAAAGCAAAAAGCCTATCAGGATATATACAAGCATAAGCGCCCAGAAAATGCTGAGGACTGCTTTAATGGAGTAATGGAGAACACTCTTTGGTGTCTTGATGTACTTGTAAATCGAGGCTAAATTTACTAAATGTTTCTATTTCATTTTAATACAAATTCCGATAGTTATTCAAAACCTAAACTTAAAAATTATGGTTTTCAAGAGCTATGATGAGGGGTTTAAAATAAAAAGTAATAAAAATCAGGGACACGTGTGTGACATGTTATAATAATAATAGTAGGGATATAATATTCTCTAAATCTAGTAGAGGATATATCGGTGCTGGGATATAGTTTGTCAGCTTTCTAAACTCTTCACCAAAATGTGTAAACAAAGTGAATTTGTCTCATTTGAGATGTCTAGAATTGGTGATTTACATAAGAGACTTTATGTACTTTCAAAGCTTATAGTACAATTTCAGAAAAAAACAGTTATTAGATTTTAAACTGGGCATTCCAGGTTTTTCCTTATTAGATTTTAATAAGGGCATTCTGGTGACTAAAACTAAGGTACTCCATTCATGGCAAATAACTATTTAGCATAATTGTTTGCATCCTTAGCAACAAACAAGCTGTTTCCAGTGTGTAACATGACCATCAGGCAATTTTATAAGAAGCTGTTAAAGAGTAGATAGGCATTCATGAATGCCACCTGGTTCAAAGGACTGATATTATAGCAAAAACAAAGACATGGAACCTGGAAGTTTAACCATAATACTGTAATGAAACCTGGGCCATGTGCTGTGTGGTACATTCTATGCTCATCACTGGGGCTTATCAACATGGAAAGTTTGATGCTTAGAAATAGAGGTATTGGCCGGGTGTGGTAGTTCACACCTGTAATCCCAGCACTTTGGGAGGCCGAGGCAGGCAGATCACTTGAGGTCAGGAGATCGAGACCAGCCTGGCCAACATGGTGAAACCCTGTCTCTACTAAAAATACAAAAATTACCCGGGCGTGCAGCATGTGCATGTTAGTCCCAGCTACTCCAGAGGCTGAGACAGGAGAATCACTCGAACCCAGTAGGCGGAGGTTACAGTGGGCCAAGATCGCGCCACTGCATTCCAGCCTGGGTGACAGGGTGAGGCTCCATCTCTTAAAAAAGAAAAAGAAAGAAAGAAAAAAAAATAGGACATTTACTAGGAATATAGGAGTCCTGGGGCTGCTCTGCTTCTGGTCACTGTGGAGCCTGGGTGAGTCACTGTTTCTCTTAGCAGCCTTGTTTTCTTGCTTATAAAAGGGAATTTGACTGGAAACTAAAGTGAAGTCTATCCAGTGCCCATAATGGAGAACATACATGGGCTCAAAATGGCCCTTGGCTATCTCTTCACATTAGAAACTTACATGTCATCACTGCAGAAGTCTGAAACAGCTGCTTCATTCCTCTAGTATTGGAACAGATCGTATCTTCTTTGATGAGTCACCAGATGCCAGATGTAGTAATTTGCTTGTTTTTAGGGGCAGTCATCAGAATATATGTATATAATGAAATGCCAGAATCATTTGAATATGGCAAGAGACTCTGTGATAAAGATATGGGGGACTGAGCTTGACTGAATGTCAAGTCTTCTCTCATGCTCATCCTAGGGTCCAGGCTGTTTAAATTGTGTTCATGTATATTTATATGTATTTCGGTGTGTACATGTTTAGTTGCCGAGGTTGAGTTATTTGCAGCAAGGATATGCTGTTGAATCCACACAAGTTAAATATGTGTAGCACATTCAATGCCAGAAAGAGACAAGAAGAGGGATGAGGACTGGATACTTCGCATTGCTGGAATGGACCATGTTCTTTCTTACTTCCAAATCTTTGAGTATGTGGTTCTGTCTTCCTACTTCGTTAGTCTACTTTACTCTTTCTTAGCTCCAGTTCTTTCACTAGCTCTTAATATAAATCCCTTCTTCCAGGAAGCCTTCTTTCCTTCTTTGATTGCCTAAATCTATGTGAGATGTCCCTCCTGTATGCTTCTGAATGATTGTGAATGTTTCCTATCAAAGCCTTTCTTGTTCTGTAATGTGATTTCTTGGTGACTTGGCTCTCTTTCACTAGGATAGGAATTCCAAGAGAATAAGAACCTTATCTATCTAGTTGATTGAGCTTGTGTGCCAGACACTGTGCTGGACAGTGACGATAGAACACCATATGTGTGTTGAATAATCGAATAAATGCACAAATTAAAAAGTTAAGTGCCAAGAGAGAATTAACTCTTGAGTTTTATCTACAGAGAGATGCAATTAAAAAACATCTCAAAAAGATGTGCATTTTTTTCCCCCATCCACTATTATTGTCAATGGTATCAGATGTGATTTGGGGTAGTTTCTAAGAGATTTTAAGAATTCTAGACTCTAGGGTAATGTTCTCTAATGCAACACTATGAAGACAAATTGTGCCTTTTGTTTATGTGCAAACTTTGGTTGTCACTCCAGGCCTTGGGTGTCTTAAAGAAGGAGCCTGGGGCTTGTTAGTTATTGAAAGCCAGTTATTCCAAGGTGAACCTGCAGTTCTCATATGACCTAGGAGGAGGACTCAAGGATGGACTCAGGCAGGAGAGATGGCAGGTTGCGAAAGCACACCAATGCTGGGTGGGCAGAATGTCTTCTGAGGCATGGGTGGGTGGTGCAGGAATCCAGCCAGAAATGCACACCATTAAAATCATCAAGAGACCACTCAAAAGTGTAGGTAATCCAGAGTCTGCATTTAGATGGAGTGAAGTGCAGTGGAAAGAGCAATAACCCAGGAATTCAGAGACCTGAGCTCTAATTCCACCTTGACTAGTAACCAGTCCTATGCCTTTCACAAACCACCTTTCTTTTCTAGCTTCATTTTCTCTTTCTGTAAAATGAGGGTAACTGGGCCACCCCCTAAATTTAAAGTCTAGATTTCTCTGTAGGCAACAGGCACCAGGGCACTGTGGTAGCTGGTTGGTCAGTGGGAGGCTTTGAAACAGGGTTCCCTGCACATATTTTTTATGCTTTTTAAGTATGATTGCAAGTAAGAAGTTAAATAAGAAACAGGGTGGGGGAAGCAACATAGTTCTTCACAAAGGTGGTACATTTTGAAGTTAAAGATAAAACCATCAGGAGAAGATTTGTTTAAATTCAACAATCCTCACTGGTATTTTATTTTCACAATATATTTGGACAAAGGTTTGGACAAGTGATACAGAAAACATGTTGAGGATATTAGAGTTAGAGAAGGGGTCCAACTTAGGCCATCTGGGAACTCTCTCTGGAGGAGGTAAGAGCTTATCTGGGCCTGCAAAGAAGAAAAGGACTTCGACTGATGATTCTAAAGTGGGAGGGAAGGCAGACAGAATCTTCCAGATTGAGGGAACACCACAAAGAACCAGAGCTTTACGTGCTCAGAGTGATGGATTTAGATGCATTGTTAAATATTACCGACATTCCCATTTTTTGAGCAGTGGCCTGCACTGTGCTAAGTGATATTTACATGTATTATCTCCTACAGTTGCCCAAACTACCCTCACAGGTCTTTTTCATTACTGCCTCTGGTGTTGAATGAGGCCAGGTGGAGATGTAGGAAAAGTAAACATTTTGCCCCTAAGCATACAGTTAAAGTCAGAGAGTGAACTCTGAATCCTCAAATCCAGATCTCCTATCAGGTAATGATGACTACAGTGTTTCTTATTTTGTTAGGTGTAAATATGGTCAGAATGCCTTCCAATCTGTTTTAGTGATAGTATAGTTATTGAGCTTTCCTTAGTTTACACATTCACAAGTGTTTTTGAAGCACTGAAGTCCCTGTGCTGAATCAGATTGTGTGGTCAGCAGTGTGATCTGAGGACCCTATAGTGTGTAGGGTAGGGTGTGACAAGGTAAAGAGGGTGGACTCTGTAGCCAGTTTGTCTGTGACTATCTTCTGTGTGACTCTGAGAATGTCCCCTGGTCTCTCTAAATCTAAATTTTAACATCCATTAAAGTAGGTGATGAGGATTAACAATATATTTAAAATTTTAATACAAATATTAACATAGCACAAAGTGCAAATACAATACATGTGGCCAAGGGTTATAATCATCGTCTGCATTATCACATTGAATGGATGAATCACTGGACTTAAGCATAAATATCTGAGTTTGCAACTTTTAAAATGCGTGTTGTTTAAAAAGTCAGCTGTAATTCAGGAAATTCAGTTTCTCAACTGTAAAGTAAGGGTGCTAATAGTCCCTTGCGATGCCGCCATATATCTTAATGAAATGAAGGATGTGGAAATATTTTCAGAAGTACAAAGCCTCATACAGATGTAGGTGGTATTTTCCTGATGGTGATCCCCTTGGGGCTCCCTCACTCTTTAGAGCTTCGGAGCACTCCAAGTGTTGGAGGGATGGGGCACAAGTGTTGGCTTTTTTGTTTGTTTGTTTGGATGTCATTACATTGAAATCAGCCCAAACCATCTCAAGCTCATCCCAGTAGTCCAGAAAGTTTTTAACATTCCCAAGAAGTATTTCAAACTGGTCAGCCAACTTAAGGTATGTTTATTCATTGTTGTTTCTTGTTTTGTTACTTTTTTGTGGGGAGAGTACACACCAGTTAAAAGTGTACTTTAAAAATAATACTATTTATGAACAGTCAGGAATGAACATTTCAGAATGCCTAATGGATTCTGAAATCGTACTGCACTGGAGAACCATCAAGCATACACTTCCAAATCAAGAAGGCCTTGGGGAATGAGTTTGCCTCCCATTTCCCTCTCATTCATGCTTAGTAATAAATGGTTTTATTGTGAAGTGGGTAACACAGAAGCACATGAGCCTCATGCATTTGAGTATGCGACAGCTCCAAGTGGTGTTGTTTGAAAGAGCATGCTATGTTTAAGTGTAAGTGTAATCAATGTGTGGTGACATTTCAAGATTGTAGAAATTCAGATTCTGTTTCTGGGTGCAGTATTGAACACCGGATTCAGAAACGACTGTTGTCTCTATCATGCTACACCCTGGCAAATGATTAATGTGCTTTTAGCTTAAATAATTGGGAGGGGGGTGCCTCAGGGAATGCTAAACATATATTTAATTGCTATACAAATATGTCATTTCCTTGCTAATTCAAGTTATGCATGGGAGGTTATATAATACCAGAGAGCCTCCAAGCATGATGTATTGCACCTATAAGCTGAGTCAAGGGACTAACAGGGCCCAGCTGAAGGCAAAATATTCTTTGCTAACTCTGTCTTAGCAGATGAAGAATTAGATGTTGAAGCATGACATGGCTTTATAAAAGCAGAATTATTGTTTGGCAGAGAGTATGGTCTCTAAATAACTTTCTGAGATGTTGGGAAGAAAATGCATTTTCAATAAGAAAAGAGGGCCCAAAAACAACTTCAAGAAAAATATCCTTATTTAGGGGAATGTGCATGTTGAAGAAGAAATGAGTATTGCCTTTGACACAAAATAAAATATACAAGACGGTGCAGGACATTAGTTTCCCTATGGCCACGTTCGTATTATAGCCTAAAACTGACCTTATTTGTTTTGATACCTACAAAAGCAAAGGTTTCTTTAACTCCAATTCTTGTGTTCTTCCCTTTCTATTTCAACTCTTCATCTCAGAGAGGGAGAGAGATTCTAAGTAAGACTCAATAGGTATGAAGCTGTGCTAAATTATCTTTTCAGGCTCAGTTGATATTGATGGATTGCCTTGCTTTAAGAGCTGTGTAAGTTGGATTTCACATTCTGAGGTTACAAAGAGGTCATATTTAAATTTTGGAGTGAGTCTATTTTTTGTTGACACCACCACCAACCTGTGATTCTGAGTTATCAAAAACAAATGTGTGATAGCCGGGCAAGGCAGCTATTGAGAAATTCAAGAAGTGAGTGGAAGAACTGTATTTTTTTTCTTAAAAAAGCCTCCCTATGATAGTTTCCTTGAACACTTCTGTTTGTGCCATAGACCCTGGTTCATTAGCAGAAAGACAATAGATGGATTAAACACAGAAGGCAGAGTCATTCAACGACCAGATGCCAAGCAAATGGCAATCTTTGGCATATCTAGTGTTCTGATATGGGCAGTAATCAAACGACTATCAGATGTGCCCAATCAGTTGTTATTTCATTTGCAAGGGCCTGAAGGTATCATTTAATTTAAAGCACAATGGAATCAGAAATCATTTAATGACTGATTGCTGTTTCTCCTAGAAACTGATTTTGGATTTGGCAGTCTGAAGACCCCAAAGTGCCAGAGTCTATGCATGGGCTACATTAAAATACAGCTAGGATCTTGAATGAGTTAATTAGACCAGTTCTTCCAACTTTTTCAGCAATGTTGTGATTCTTCTTGACAAAATAAATGTAACTTCTAAAATTTCCTCCCACTTTTTCTAAACTTCCAATATTTTTGTTCTATAACTTTTAGCAACTGAAGAGGAATAATAGCAATCCATTAGTATTTTAAATATTTCCCTAAGCCTTTAAACATAATACAGATACTATTTTGAAATATAGAATATCGAGACCAGAAGATCTCAATGCCAGCCTTGTAAAATCAAGGTTATTTGTACAATCTACTAGGATCTCATTACATGTACATACTGGAAATGTTTATTTGATTCTGTAATGAGTGTAAGACAAGGGGAAGGTACAATACAATTCTTATCTAGAGTAAGGCTGACACAGGACTTATACATTGCCTCCCATCACACTCCCACAAATGTATACATGCTCAAATATTTGAATAGGCACAGGTTTTTGAAGCTTCCCCTCTCCAAGCCTTTCAATGATAAACCTCTGCATTTTATTCCCCTGGGACTTCTGTTGGCTACAAAAGCTGGGGGCAACCAGAACCTTAACAATTGTATATTTCTGCAAGATATATCCCTATTTGAAATTGTGCCATGGAGGGCTTGCCCAAAGGTGGGAAGCTGGAGAAATTCCTGGTCTTTGTCTCACTGGTTAGGGAAGCCATTCATATATCCCCAAACTAGGGTTTCCCTCCTCATACAGAGACTGGATGCCTACCCCAGACACTTGGTAAGAAGATTAAAACTCCTACTTTTGAAGAACTGGGACTATCTCCAGAAGGATACAAGTCCAAAGACATCTGGGAGTTATAGTATTGTTTGCTTTGTCAGCCACAGTCCCCAGCCTTTTTGGCACCAGGGATCGGTTTCATGGAAGACAGTTTTTCCATGGCCAGGGCAGGAGGCAGGGGAGGCTGGGGGTGGTGCTAGAGGGTTTCAGAATGAAACTGTCCCACTGATCTGACAGGAGGCAGAGCTCAGGCAGTAAAGCTCACTTGCCCCCTGCTCACCTCTTGCTGTGTGGCCTCATTCCTAACGGGCCACAGGCTGATACAGGTTTGTGTACCAGGATTGGAGACCCCTGATGTATAGTGTAACGATTAAGAACAAAGAGTCTGAATCCAGATTTCATGTGACCTTGAGCAAGTGATTAAATTTCTGTGCCTCAGTTTCTTCATGATAACAGTTCATACATTAGAAGCTTGTTGTATGACTAAATAATAGTGGCTGGTATATATTATGTTACACACACACACACACAGAGCCTTATGCCACATATTGATAATGGGGGTTCGATAAGATTATTGATGGAGCTGAAAAATTTCTATAGCCTGGTGATGTCATAGTCGTCGTCTTATGGTATTGAAACATGTTACTCATGTGTTTGCAGTGATGCTGGTATAAACAAACCTACCAAGCTGCCAGTTGTATAAAAGTATAGCACATACAATTATGTATGGTACATAATACATGATAATGATAAGAAATGGCTATGTTATGGTTTATGTAATTACTATACTTTTTATTATTTTAGAGTCTATGCCTTCTGTTTATTAAAAAAAAAAGTTACATTTAAACAGCCTCAGGCAGGTCCTTTAGAGGTATTTCAGAACAAGACATTGTCATCATAGGAGATGACAACTTCGTACACATTATTGCTCCTGAAGATCTTCCAGTGGGACAAGATGTGGAGGTGGAAGACAGCGTTGTTGGTGATCCTGACCCTGTGTAGCCCTAGGCTAATGTGTGTGTCTGTATCTTTGTTTTTATCAAAAAGTTTAAAGTGGGCCAGGCACAATGGCTCACGCCTGTATTCCCAGCACTTTGGGAGGCCATGGCGGCGGGTGGATCACCTGAGGTCAGGAGTTCGAGACCAGCCTGACCAACATGGTGAAACCCCATATCTACTAAATACAAAAGATCAGCCGGGTGTGGTGGCATGTACCTGTAATCTCAGCTACTTAAGAAGCTGAGGCAGGAGAATCACTTGAACCCGGGAGGCAGAGGTTTCAGTGAGTCAAGATTTTGCCATTGCACTCCAGCCTGGGCAACAAGAGTGAAACTCTATCTCAGGGAAAAAAAAAGTTTAATGCATATGAAAAAAATTTTTTAATAAAACTTATAGAATAAGGGTATAAAGAAAGAAAATATTTGTGTACAGCTGTATGATGCATTTGTGCTTAAGCCAAGTTTTATTACAAAAGAGTCAAAATGCTTACAAAAATAAAAGTTTATAAAGTAAAAGTTACAGTAAGCTAAGATTAATATATTATTGAGGATAAAATTTTAAAATAAATTTAGTGTAGCCTAAGTGTACCGTTTTTATAAAGTCTACAGTAGTGTTCAGCAATATCCTAGGCTCTCACATTCACTCACCACTCACTCGCTGACTTACCCAGGGAGAGAAACTTCCAGTCCCGCAAGCTCCATTCAAGAAAGTGCCCTATACAGGTGAAACTTTGTATTTTAAATCTTTTGTACCATATTTTTACTGTATGTTTTCTGTTTAGATACACAAAAACTTCCCATTGCATCACAGTTGCCTACTGTATTAAGTACAGTAACGTGCTATACACATTTATAGCCTATGAGCAATAAGCTATATCATACAGCCTGGGTGTGTAGCACGCTCTACTATCTAGGTTTGTGTAAGTACACGCTATGTTAGCACAACGATGAAATTGCCTAATGATGCATTCCTCAGAACACGTGCCTATTGTGAAATGACGCATGGCTGTATATACAGTCAGCCCTCTGTATCTGTGGGTTTCCCGTCTGTGTATTCAATCAACCACAGATAGAAAGTATTTAAAACAAAAAAGAAAAGAAAAAGGATAGTTGCATCTGTACTGAACACATACAGACTTTTTACTTGTCATTATTCCCTAAACAATACAGTGTAATAACTGTTTACAAAGCATTTGCATTGTATTAGGCATTAAAAATAATCTAGATATGATTTAAAGTGTATAAGAAAATGTGTGTATATTATATACAAGGACTACACCATTTTATAAGACACTTGAGCATCTGTGGATTTTGGTATCTGCAGGGGGTCCTGAAACCAATCTGCTGCAGATACTAAGGGATGACTCTCTATATACATGTATGTGTTTGCTAGTACTATCATATTTTGAAATTTTGCAGGGCAAAAAATATCATCCAAGTCTAATATTTTCTTTTTTGTTGAAATGTTCTTAAATTTTGGACGAGAATAAACTAATGCCTTGGGAAATGTTGCTGTGATTTCATGAGAAGTTGTTGTGCCACGTTTTAATTCATAGTTAATGTCTAGAGCTTTGTATAAACCATTTGAAAAGGTGTTGCAACATGTCCCTGTTAGCAACTTTAGTTCTTTTAGCACTACGTATATTGAATGTATTAGGAGTTTCTCAAATGCAAGAAATACTAGGTCACACTGATAAAATACTTACCTTTGTATGGCTCCTGTTTCAGACTCTAAGACATTTGCTATCTTGCAGCATTACATTATCATCTCAGTATAACAGTGATAGATAGCAACAAGACACTCATATCTACCCCATCCATACATTCAACAAGCATTTTTTGAGGTCCAGACATCAGAAATAAAGTGGTGAAGAATGGACGGGGTCTTCAACCTCTTAGAGCCTACAGTCTGGTGGGACAAGAAGACACTGAATACATGTGGCAAAAGGAAACTGTGTAGTAGTGAAATGGGGAAAGTTCCCTTGCCCCCTCTTAGGACGTTCCATGAGGGTGTGGCTTGCTTCTTCAGTGTGCACTATTCAAACTTCTAAGGGGAGCATACAGATAGGCAGGTTGTAGGGCTCTGACTCCATGGCAGTGTCTAGGGGTGAATGTTTACAGCTGAAGGCCCGGGGGGCATGTGTTACAGGGTGCTCTTTTAGTTTAACCATCATAGGCAGCTTGTGTTAGCTCAATTAGACCTCTGACTTATTGCAAGGACAGAGGCTTTCTGTATCCCAGGGTTCTTGCCTTGGTGTCCCGGAAGAATTGGATCATGTGTCGGCTTGGAGAATGAGTTCAAGGTTTTATTCAGTGGGAGTAGCTCTCAGCAGGTAGGGTAGCCAGAAGGCAGATAGTTTTCCCTTGGAGTCGGGCCCCTTGGTGGCCTGTGCTCTCCTCTGACTGCCCCAGCCAAACTTTGGGTCATTCTGCTGGTCGGTGGCCTGCCAGCATGCTGGTGCCTGTCAGTGCATTCCTCTCGACATCCAGCCACCCATGTGCTCCTCCCAACATCCAGCCACCTGTGTGTCTGCCTGCTTGCTTGGGTCTCGGGTTTTTATAGGCACAGGATGGGGGCGTGGCGGGGAAATTCAACATTTGGGCAGAAAAACAAAAATGCCTATCCTCACCTAGGTCTGTGGGCACAGGCCCAGGGTTGGAGCCCTAGCCAGGGATCATGCCCTCCTCTACCCAGCACTTCCCTGCCCCGCTTCCATATCATTTAAAGGGACCACGCCCTTCTCTTCTCAGCATTTCGCTTCTCTATCAGTAGGGAAACCAAGAGACAGGGACAGGACGGACATGCTTGAATAAATGAAATGTAATTAAGCAGTTCCTTTACTATGTGGTGATCTAAGACCTCAAATGTTAGGGGTATTTATTTTCACAAGAATCCTATAGACTACATTCATACAAGCTTCACGCTGTTTGTGGTACAGTGAAGCCAGCTCACACTGGCTCATGAGAGCCAATTGTTAAATGTTCAAGAATTTTACCAATAAGTCAGTTGTTAAACAGCTATTATTAAAATTAAATCATTTATAAACATACAGTTAAATAAATTAAAAGATAATAAATACTCAAAACTCATTTCTTCCTACATTTATGGCTGTTGATGCTCTTGCTGTGATTTAGTTTATTGTATCTGTGTAGCGGTGGACGCACCACATGATAGCGTGCTCCTGTGCATCTCTTCTCTGCTCCATGTAGAGTGAAGTCATGTTAATAGGTTGAAATTGGCCATAGTGAGAGTATTTACACCACAGAAATTGGCAAGCACTACAAATTAAGATCATCCATCTCCCAGAGCCATTGGTACATAGTTACTAACAAAGTGCTGTCTTACTGCAATGTTTGACATCTAGAGCATCCATCTGCTTCTGAGATTTAACTGGCTATTCAGATGTTGTGGAATGAGCTGAGAGGAGCCAGAACCAGGAGCCAGGTGACTCAGATTCCAGTACCCACTTTGCTGCTGGTGAGTTTTGTACTGTGGGTATGCCACTTAACAAATGTTGGTCGTTGACACTCACAAGAGATGGGTAAGACCTGATTCTTTCCCTGAAAAAGGCCACATTCTAAGCAGTAAAAGACAAAGATGCATCTAACTAATTACATCAATTGTGATTTAATGGTGCTTTGGGAGTCAGACAAGTAAGTCTCATATTGGACACTTGGGAGGAATTCATGAGAATACAATATGTGGAGTAGGAACTGAGCAGAATGTATTGGCACACAGTAGGTGGAGGATAACCTTGGCAAGTTATGATTTAGTCATGTCTGGATCAAGGATGGGAAGCTTTGTTTGGGGGGTGGTGGGAAGTGGCAGTAGTGGATGACGTAAGTTTATAAATTAAGATCAGATTGTGATAAGCAGTTGTGTAATACCAATGGAGTTTATAAACTATTTTTTACACATTGAGTAATGATCTCTTCAGTACTTTGAACATAATAGCTCCAATAACTGAAGAAGGGGTAAATTAAAAGGATTAATATATCAGAAAATAGCTGGAAAACCAATTTGGGAATTAACATGATGGAGAAGAGACAATACGAGAGATTGTAAGAGGTAACCTGTACTAAACAGTTGATAGTGACCATTACTTATCCACAAAAAGGACAATTATTACATCTATGATCAGGGCCATAATTTAGCTACTTAAGTTCCTAGACATTTTCACTTTTGGGGGCTCCTTCCTCCACAAAAATATGTGTAAGAATTATATTTTGCAATTGTGTTGGTATAAAAACTAATATGTTAATGTGATATAAAGTATTTTCTTTGACGTAAGTGTCTGCTTTTTTCCTTCCGATTTTAAAAGAAATTAAAACGTTTGTGTTTTAATTTCATTCCTCTAAAAATATTGTGGCCCTTGGCTTTGTGCCTGCTGTGCTTTTATGGATGCGCCAATTCTGTCTCTGACTCATTCAAAAAGTTGATAGCAAAAGAGGGAACATGTTGGGTAAGTTATTGGAAGAAGAGGAAACACTGTGTAAACATATAGTCTTTTGAGAATTCATATTGGCTAGAACAGGCTTACATAATCATATTGCACTGGTTACTTCCTTTGCTATTGGCTTTATCCGTGTATTGAAAAATCACAGTACTGGCTGTATCTGTCCTTAATTTACTGAATGACAGGATGTGTGTGATTATGCAGGGTATGTGCAAGGTAAGTGTGTGTGCATTGTGGAAATGAGTGAATGCTAAACAAATGGGAGAAGCAAGGGCTATTTATTCTGAGCTTGCTGTCGTAAGAGAGTCAAGCCATCACTTTCATTTTGGCAGAGACTCAAAGGCAGGCAGAGGGCTTTATAATGGACAAAAGGGAAGACTTTAGGAATGCCTTGCTTGCAGGCTGTGCCATGGAGAAGCTGGATGCAGCTAACTAGGACTAGGGCATCCTATGTGATTGGTTAGGATGTATATTTGGCTTTCTCTGGTTGGTCCTAAGTTGGAAGCTGAGACAAAATTAGGGAAGCTGTCAGTTATTTAATGACGTCCTGGCCATTTTAGGCCAGATTGTTAGAGTTATTGTTTAGCTTCCTGGATTGTCAGTAGAGACAGTAGTCTGGCTTCCTGCAAGTCTGACTTTTAGCTGGCTGGCTCCATGAGTTGTTTATTGTAGATGGGGGAATGGTTTTCTGGGAAGGTTGCTGCATTTTGTGGGACTCAGTTCTGTTTTATATACGGTCTGGCCATCATCCATTTGTATATTCAGTCTTTCAACATGTACCAAGCTCTGTGCTAAACTGTACATCTAATCCTCTTCATGATCCTGTGAAGAAGGTACTCCAACATTTGCAGAGAGGAAAAGGATCATTAGCGAGGTTACATGATTTGTTAGGAAGGGGTAGAGCCTGGTTTCAGACACATATATATCTGTCTGTAGCCTGTGGGCTTTACGACCCTGCCCTACAGGGATACAGCTTCCTTCGTTGCAAAATGAGGAGATAAACTAAGTTAATCTCTAGAGTTCCTTCTAGGTCAAATTTGCTAATTCAAAACTTGACACAAGGAGTCATCCTACTTAGTTATGACTGTAGTTGGTCTACCAGAGCAACTATTTACTGCCAACACAATGATACTATGAGTTTAATTTTGACATATCCATAGGACCTTGAATATGTTCATGTTTCTTCACTTAGAATTTTGAAAACTCAGAAGAACTGAAGTCAAGCTACCTGGGTAACTGAACCCTTTTTATGAAGTAAGCCCCGGAGGAGTTGTGCTTCCACACTCTCCCCACCACTGCAATCCATTTTCCCCTGGAACGATTTAATTTCATGCACAGAGAGAGATTCGGCGTGGGCAAAGAGAATGCACTATCATGTCATTCAGTCATGTCTGCGATTTCTCAGCTTCTCTCCAGTGCTGTAGAAATGATTAATTCCTTGGGAAGGAAGCCAAGAAAATCATGAAAATAGCAAAAATATTTCGACTGCAATTGTGGAGCACATAAACTTGTCAGTGGAGTGATGAGAAAACTGCTGGGTTGCCTCTCATTAGCAGCAAAATATTTTATTTATATATGTAGTTTTTGTGTGTTTTTATTGTTGCAGGGTGGAGGGTATCAGGAGGGTTTGGGGCTTAGGTAAGCGGGGTTTTGGAGAGAAAATATTTCATGCCCTTGTTGGACTTCTCAACCGAGGGATGCTGAGCTTTCTGCCAACAGTATTGATTGGTTAATATGTTTTGAGTGTTCCGCGGTGTGGAGCATGGTAGGGTAGTTTACAACGTGTGACTTATTGACCTCTGGACAGTATTGTTGAAGCTGTTTCAAGAGGCAGGCATGTGTGGGAGACAGAAAAAAGAGTGTGTTCTCACAATAATAATGATAGCTTACACTGCCTGACATCTTAGTATATGGCAGGCCTGCTAAATGCTGACCATGCACTGTTTCACTGAACCTTCACTGGAACTTAGAAGGACCTACTATTGTGATTCCTATTTCGAATAATTGAGGTGATGTAATTCACCCATACCTACAGGTAGTAAGAGATAAAGCTAGGGCTCAGTCCCAGTACTCTGACTCATAAGCCTAAGCACTAGCCATTAGGTCCTACTGCCTCTCAGAAACAAAGACGACTGGGGCATAAAAAGGGCTTTACAGATATTTTGGTCTGAGACTTTTAAGGTCTATTTCTAGGAGGTTAAAGGGTCACAAAGGAGCCCTGGAGGAAAGAGTATTGATCAGGTTCTCATCCCTGCATTAACCTGAGCAGGCTGGCATTTGGGTTATATATTCAGTATCTGGACTTTGTGTAAGATCTCCTTTGGAGAGCTCATTCCAATAAGGAGGAGGGAGAGAATGAAGTTTGAAAGAAAACTTTTTTTTTCTAGTTTATGTTCTTTATTTTAGGGCAGTCGGTCTGCAAACTTTTTCTATAAAGGATCAAAGAGTAAAAGTTTTATGCTTCAAGGTCTACAGATAATCTCAATTGCATATTCTTTTTTGTTTTGCTTTTTATAAACTTTTAAAAATGTAAAAACCATTCTTAGCTCACAAGCTATACAACAACAATCCCCAAATTGGATTTGACCCACAGGCTCTGGCTATACTTTTTCCTCTCCGTTCTAGAGGACAAATCCAATGTTCAGAGAAGGAAAGTGATTTGCCTGAGGTTACACAGCTGAGACCAGAACTCAAATTGTCCAGAAGAGCTTTACAGGCCCTGTTGACCACACTGGGCAGTTGGACGTTCACTGTGACCTGTGGCATGCCAGACACAGTGCTAACTGCTTGGAAGATTAACATGTGGGAAAAGCATCCCTGTCTCCCCGAGCAGCTTAGAGTCTATGGAGAGACAAGTCTTAAATGTACAAGTTAACCAGCCACGCGGAGCCCTCCTCAAAGCAGTACATAAGTCATTGCTAAACAAGTGACTGAAATTTTAAATGCCGAGTTCCAAGGAAGCAGGGTAAAATGATTTTTGACAGCTCCCAACCAAGAGCAGGCACAAATTTGATGGGTTTCTGGGCAAAAGGATCTGTTGTTCTCCATCTCTCTTGCCTATTGAAAAACGGGTTTGAATCTGTCCTGAGGCTGATAAAGAGGCAGGATTTATTAACATAGGGCCCTTTGCTTCTGGGTCAGCATCCAAACCTTTTTAACCCCTTTATACAAGTGTTCCAGGGAATTTGAAAGCTGTCCCTATGGGCTGGATACATCTCCCCTGAGGCGCTGCCTGAAGTTCCCTCATTGGTTATTCTTTCTGCTTAGGCATTGGCCTTTGGTTTAACATGCAGATGTGTCATCTGCGAGACCTGACAGTCTGAAGTGATAGAGTTGTGGGTATTATTCACATGCAAGTGTTAATCAGAGTAATATTATCATCCAGCTAAGCTCTAAGAGAAAGTGCAGTTAAGTTTTACTTGAAGGGAAAAAGCAGTGGAAAACCCGGAATGAAGAAATGAGTGGGCAGAAAGAGCCTCCCTCTAGGTTTGTTGAGGAATCTATTTAGAATCAGAAAGGCCTGTTGGGGGAATGTTCTGAACATCTGATGGACAATTGAATGAAATGATCTATTAGTTTTTACCCAGCTCTAGTATTTTATTACTAAGATTGTTGGGAGGGGAGCAGATGATAAAGGATCCTAGAAAACAAACTTCTTTCTTTATAGTTATGCATGGTAAAGCTGGCTATTCACCAAAATAATAGGTGCCTTCCTGCCATAATGTGGAGTTGTTGCTGGCAGGTGGTTACACACCCAGAGACTACATTTCCCAGCCTCTCTTGCATTCAGATGTGACCAAGTGCATAGTTCTCACTCATGTAATATAAATGGAAATAATACATACCACTTACATGCCTGGCCCATAAAATTGCCTTACCTGTACTTCCCCATGCTCTTTTTCTCTTCAAACTTAACTGGACAGAGGACTTCTAGGGTAACCTTGAACATCATATATTGAGGGTGGCAGAGCCCCCATTAGCTTGGATCCTATACCTCTTTGGGTATATTGTCTAATATGGTAGGCACTAGATGCATGTGGCTGTTTAATTAATATTAAACTCCAGTTCCTCAGTCATCCTAGGCATTTTGTAAGTGCTCAATAGCCACATGCATGCAACTAAGTGGCTACCATATTAGATAGCGCAGATGTAGAACATTTCCATTATTTCAGAAAGTTCTATTGGATTGCTATGCTCCATTGTATATGAGTTTTCATGTGATTTAAAATTTATTGTTGTAATAGTTGATCTATTAATATTACTATTAATACAGAGATAAGTACAAGATTGACAGAGGCTTTGCTGACCCTCAAAAGACAAATATTTGCTGGGAGACTACTTTGTGTTAGTAGTCTTCTAGAGTTTGGGAATTTGTCAGTAAATACAACAGAAAATTTTCCATACTCAAAGAGCTCATTGTTATAGGCCATGTGACTTAGCTATAGGATTTCTCAAGGTGCAAATTTAGGCAAATCCAGGATTTTTGAATCCATTATAGCAGCAATATTCTCTATAACCTGTTTTTCAAATTTCAGCTACATTCTGAGCAGCAGGTCCACCAAACCAGAAGCCTGCCTTTAGGAGTCCAAAAGATCAGAGGACCTAAGAGAAAATAGTTCTGTCTGTGAGGATATCCAGTGTGGCTTTACTGGCCAGCTTCCTTGATGACCATGACCTTTCCAGGGCTCTTGTACTTGGGGCTTCCCGAAAGTGTGTCTGAGTGCAGTAGTCTTTTTATATCTGCTGGAGGCAGATGCTTTAGTTCCCTTAGTTAAGACAACGAAGACAAGAGAAAGATGAAAATGGCTTGCAAAGCAGATTAATGACCCAATTAATGCTGAATTGTCCATTTCCCTTGTTAATGTGCCCTGCCTTCTCCCTACACTGTGTGGACTTCACACATAACATTCTCTACACGTTCATTGTTTATCTTTCTTCCTTACTGGACTGTACATCCTAGAGAAGAAGGGATTATGTCTGTCATATCTAACGTCGTATTTCTGGGGCCTGGAACATAGCAGAATATAAGAAATATTTGTTCCTGTCACTATATATTGACAATCATGTGATGAAAATATTTTTGCTTTTCCATAATCTGGTACAGCAATTTCTAATGTGTACCTCATGAAAGTTAATAGGTATTCCATAGAGTCTATGGAAGTTAATAGATGTTACATGAAATGGGGTGAGGAGGGTAAGTAAGGCTGCTTTAAATAAGCATGTTTCATTGCTGCAGGCCTTTCTGAACCACTCCTGTGGTAATACAGTGGTTCTCCAGCTTCAGTGAGCATCAGACTCACCTGGAAGGCTGTGAAAACACACATTACTGGACTCTGTCCCCAGAATTTCTGGTTCAATACTCTTGGTGTGGGCCTGGGAATTTGCATTTTAACAAGTTCCCAAGTAATGCTGCTGCTATTGGTGAGAGCCAGCATGGAGATATGTTATTGACACTTGGAGAAAATATACAGTTTCCATCATTTCCCAAAAGTGCTTGACTAAAGGTCTTATTAAACCTATAGTCCTGTCTGACTTGAGGATATGATGACCTACTTTAAACTCAAGTGCCAAGGAATTATAAATTAATGCATCCACATTTTAAAGGGGACATCTGGACAGATAACTACTGAAGCACAAATAATGTGTTGCTACTAATAGAATTTAGACTTCATTACAGAATAATAAGGACAAAAGTTTTGGGTGGAGTATTAAAAAGAAAGATCACCTACTCCTACTAGTTGTAAAATGAATTTGAACACAACTTATATTGCCTGGAAAAGAACAGTTTATGTATGAAATCATTGAAATTACTATTGTTTAAAGCAATTCTTATGCTTTGTATCTGCAGCTGTTCTAGTTTAAACACACATTGCTTGGCCCTGACAACATGCAGCTTTTTACTTCTTGGACTCTCCTATGATTTGAAATGTGTTATTCATAAGTTTGCTAAATTCCAAATATTTGAAAGAACAGATGTGGACCTAAAGGAATAATCAGCTCTTGCTGATATTGCTCCAAAAGGCAATATATAGAGTTGCATTAGAATGAAGAACTGCATTTGGCTCTTATGTTTTGAGATGTTGGAATGGCAGAGTGTCTGTAGGATAACCCAGTGTTGCATGCCATTTTATGCTTATAAGAGTGTTAATCATTCAGCTCAATGCTGATTAACCTCCTAGACACTGCAGATAATATACAAAATATAAGACATATTTCTTGCCCTCACGGAGCTTATAAGCTAATCTGGGAAGCAAGACATACACATGAAGTGATTAGAGCAGAGGTTTCCAAATTGCACAGTAACTTAAGAGAATATGCAAACAGAAATTGAGATTCCCAGGACCCATGTTAGTCCTATTAAAGCAGCTATGGAAAGGGCAGCTATGAAAAGCAAAGAATATGTATTTTTAATAAGTTCCCCAATTGAGGCTGATGACGAGACAGAGCTGGAACCCATGGGCTATATTAACAATTATTGGATAGTAAAAGGTGCTCTATCATTCAGTGTTACAATAAACTTTTCTTAATCCAGACAACATCTTCTGTATTCATTCAACAAGGTAGGTAGAGTCTGTACTATTTCATCTTGTTCTTTCATTGGCAAAGCCATGAAGGGCCCTAATTAGCCTAATTACAGAGGGCTGCCTAGTGTAGAGAGCTGCCATGCAGTTAAGAGATAATGAATACATTGTCAAAAAGAAGATACTGTGACAAAGAAAGCCACAGGTGGTAGCATTTTACAACATTGGACCATAGTTGGTTAATTAGATATTTATTGAGAACTCACTATGTGCCAGGCACTGTGCAAGGTACTGGGGATATGATAAGCAAACCAAGTGGCCTCAACATTCATAGCCCCTACAGTCTAGTGAAGATACACATAGGAAATAAGTAGTCATGGTCTTTTCCCTCTTTTTAAAAAAAATTTTCATAAACTATACATAAATTCATGATTTTAACCATTTTCAAGTATATAGTTCAAGCGACATTAAGTACATGCATATTATTGTCCAACCATCATCATCATCCATCTCCAAAACTTTTTCATCATCTCAAGCTGAAACTCTGTTCCCATTACATAATAACTCCCACAAAACCTGGCAACCAGCAATCTGCTTTCTGGTTGTATGGGTTTGACTACTCTGCCGACCTCATTTGAGTGAAATCATGCAGTATTTGCATTTTTGTGTCTGGCTTATTTCACTTAACATAATGTCATGAAGGTTTATCCGTGTTGTAGTATGTATCAAAATTTCACTCCTTTCATACTGAATAGTGTTCCATTGTACGTAGACACAACATTTTGTTTATCCTTTCATCTATCAATGGACATTTAGCTGTTTCCACCTTTTGTCTGTTGTGCATCATGTTGCTATGAACATTCATGCACAAATATCTGTTGGAGTCCCTGTTTTCCATTATTTTGGGTATATCCCTAAAAGTGGTATTATTGACAGTGAGTATGAGACCTTGGTTCTTATCTTCTTAGTTAAAATAATGTAAGCAAGAGACACACAGCAAAGGACATATGGCATAGAGCAATTTTTTGCAAAAGAGAATGCACACTCTGAAGGTTACGTGCAAAAGAGAAAGTATACTCTGAGAGATGATTCAGCGCAGACTGCTCGAAATGAGACAGCGTTGCCTGTTACTGGGGAAACTCCCTTTATAGGAGTTTTACATAATTATTCAGAAGGGGGTGGGAAGAGGTATTACCAGTAAGCATGTTCTGGGTGGCCCTCTAGGTGCACATGTGCAGTAGCTCTACTTGCTTGTTCATACATGCATGAACTTGCAAGAATGCTTGCATGTCTTGTTAACATCTTAAATCTCCACCCAGGGGTGTGTTTTTACTATTATAATAATCAAAGGGTCAGTCTGAAGACAAGTAATCAAAATGTGCATGCTCTCTGCAGGGGAAAGTCCCCACTGAAGCTAGTTCTACTTGGACGAGCTTGACTGAAATGTGAGCACTAGGGCTCTTTGTGTTGATGCGGTCACCATGGTTACCGCGTTCCCCAAAGACATGGTTACTTCCTTGACTACCTATCCTGCCTCAGTATTGCTGGATCATATGGTAATTCTACATTTAATTTTTTGAAGAACTGCCGTACTGATTTCCCCAGCAGTTATACCATTTGATAGCCGCGGTCTTTTGGCAAGATAGCAGAAGTTAGGTATTATTCCTATGAGGAGTTTATGTTTATCCTAATTGTTTCAGAAACATTAAGGTTGACTACTTCGGGGCCACATTGCGGCCCCAGGTCCCAAATCCACATCTCCTCCAACCCACCCTGCCGCCTTTTCCTGTCTGTCCTTCCATCCATCCTCCCCAGTGAGGAAAAGTCACAGCAGTGCACTTCAGCTTTCAGAGTAAAAGATCAAGACAAGCCCAGGATCAGGTGGCCTGTAATGTGTTCCTTAGAATCACAATTTCTCCATTCCTGGTACAGTTTTCTGTAATTCTGTTGCCATACCCCAAAGGAAAAGCTTTGCTTTTAGAGAACTCGCGGTCTATTAAGGTTGAGCAAAGGCCTTGGGCATAGGCACTGGGGAGTTCTAATCTCAACTCTGCTCCATATTGTGTGGCAGCCCCAGGCAGGTAATTTAACCTCCACAATTCCTCATGTTTTCTGACTCGCCGAGATGATTGTAATGACTTCCCTTTGGAGCTGCTGCTAAGGAAACTGTAATGATAGGTGGAGGAATGTTTGTGAGATTTTGCCGGACGTTCACTAGGCTGCAAAAGACTTGGACTTAACTTGCTCCCGTGTCTTTGTGTGCACATCTAGAATTGGGGTCCCTCATGCCAGTCATATCATTACTCTCAGATAAATTCCCCATTGCCTTATGAGGATTGATCTAGGCCTTGATGTTCATCACCAGCCTTTGCAGTTAAACATCTGGTTTATGGAGGGTTTTTTTTCTTTAGTTCTTTGAGAAGATAGAAAAGAACTTGGGAGAGAAGGGCATGATATTCCCTGACATATTTTTTTTTCTTTTTTTTTGAGATGGAGGCTCACTATGTCACCCATGCTGGAGTGCAGTGTGCGATCTTGGCTCACTGCAACTCCCACCTCCCAGGTTTAAGCAATTCTCTTGCCTCAGCTCCTCGAATAGCTGGGATTACAGGTGGTGCACCAACATGCCCAGCTAATGTTTGTATTTTTAGTAGAGACAAGGTTTCACCATGTTGGCCAGGCTGGTCTGGAACTCCTGACCTCAAATGATCACCTCACCTCAGCCTCCCAGAGTGCTAGAATTACAGGTGTGCACCACTGTGCCTGGCCTTCCTCACCTCTCTTTCACCCAGAATACTCAGAATTGAGCACGAATATTCTTAAGAATGTTGTTCCCATTCCCTTCATCGGCTTACCTGTATTATGTGTATATAATGTCATCTTCATAGGCATTCTCTCTATTTGTCCCATACTATCTTCGATGCAGAGCTCAATACTTCTTCATATTTGTCAGGGAAATGTCAGTCTCACAAAATATTAGAGAGAAATGCAGATTCTACTGAAGATGTCATAGGGGAGCCAGAGCAAGGGGTTCACCTCTCACCTCCTGCTGCAAATGTCTTGATTAACATTTTAATCGATGTATCTTTCTTCCTAAGTCAGTGTTTCTCTTCTGAATCACCGTGAGGGCTCCTTGCCTCTGCCTTTTACCCCTAGTACATCCAGAATATTTTGTCTTATTTCTTCCCTCCTACCTTTTAAATCTCAAATTCCTCCTCACTCCTCATGTCATACAGAGCACCTGACTGACCAGCTTCTGTCTCAAAACACTTTATATGTATACCCTTTCTCAAAATGCAATGGTAGATCATATATATTTTTTCTTTTACTGATGGAAAAAATGGGTTTGCTGTAACAACTGAGATAAATTTTATATTTCAAGAATTTTAAAATATATCCTTTAAAATATTTTGGTATGAATTTGGCACTTTATTTCTTTGGAAGATGTACATCATGGTAGACAGATATCTAAGATGGCGGTCAAGATCCTTGCTCCCTGGAGTAAATACCTTATATTCTTTCCTTTCAGTGAGGGAGAAACTTGTAAATATGATGTGATGCCACTTCTGTGATTATGTTATTGCCTAAGGGATTCTGCAGATGCAATTAAGGCTACTAATCAATTGATTTTGAGTTAATCAAAAGGGAGATTTTTCTGGGAGTCACCAGCCTAATCACATAAGCCCTTCAAATCTGGGTATAGAGGTCACAGACTAAGAAAATCAGAGAGTGGACATGTGAAAAGACACACATGGCAAAGAACTGAGGTAGCTTCTAGGACCTAAGAGTGGTCCCCAGGCACCAACTAACAAGAGAGAAAGAGCCTCCGACCTGGGGCAAAACTTTGATTTCAACCTTGTAAGACCCTCTTCAGAGCACCCAATTCTCTGTCTGGGCTTCTGAAGGACAGAAACCAGGCGATGACAAATAAATGCCACTAAACATATCATCTTCTACATAGCAATAGAAAATTATTATATGCAGTTTACTCAGAGCTTGTTTCCCTTCCATTTTGGATGGTAGAATATTCTTGCTTTTATGAAATGATCATCCTAGAAGAGGATAGGTTTTTCTATCTTAAACAAAATCTTCCTTATTTAGCAAAAAAGTTTACAAACCCATGTCAACTCTCCCTGCCTTATAGGGTTTGTTTGGGAATTTTAGTAAACAGTAAAATTGCCAAGTCTAGAAATCACAGATTGAAAATATCCCATTTCCCCATCTGTCATCTAAATTTTACTGCTCTCCCAAGCTCTCTTCAAGGAAACTTCTTCAAGGGTTTTGAGGTGTTTTCTGCCCCTGAGAAATTGTCTTCCTCTTATCAGCGAGTTCTTAAATTCTGTGCCTGAGTAGTAACTTTAATTTGTTGTCAAGATGGTTTTGAGTCCTGTGCGGTTTAGTTTCCCACTTTTTGTCTTGCCTCCCTGGCTATAGGCCTGGGGGCAGGACCACAGTTTCAAGCTCCTGAGTCTTCTGCTGAGTCTGGCCAGATACCTGAGGCCCAGTGGGTGCTCCCACATCCTTTTGAGTTGATGGATTTTACAAGGCAGGGGCCAAAACTCCCTACTAAATAATTGATCAACACGCCTCTTGGATTTTGTATCCACTCCTGTGTGTAGATATCACCTGCTGTATTTGGCCCTATCTTTGCTTAAAAAAAAAAAAAAAAGGCCTCTGGGCATAAATCCCTCTTTCAGAGAGAGAAATAATTTTAGCAGCAGCTGGTCCGTGGCATTAAAGATTGAATGACTGTAATGTGTTCAGACCATGGTTGGCTTGTTAGGAATTCTGTAAGGCAAGAAATAACCTGAGAGCCACAGACCTTGGAGACTGCACGAAAAAGATTGTTGGTGGTGATGTCCTTCCTTGAAGCATCATGTTGTAATTCCTGGGCCATTAACACAGCTACCCTTCAGTGGCTTCTCATTAACTGCAGGAGAAGCTCCAGCGTCTCTGTGTGTCACTGCCAGCTTCTCATCCCCTTCCATCCTCATTCCTGCAGCCATCCTTGTGCACTCTGTGATAAGTTTTACTCACCTACTTCTGCTCTCCTGTGCCCCTCTCCTCTCCTCTCCTCTTCTCTTTATTTTGGTGCATCCAATTCCCTCTTTTGGAGTAAATTTTCCTATAGCCTTTTCTCCAGTCTCGTTCACCCAGTGATTTCTACATGTGTCCTTCAATCCGTTCAAGTTTCACCTCCACACAGCCTTCCCTGACCTTCCCCAGGAAGTGGACTTTTTCAAAAGCACTTAGAGTGTTTTCCCTGCAGTAATCATTTTATACAAGTTCTCTTTCAGAATGCTCAAAACAGCCCGATGAGGTAGACATTATCTCTGTTTTTACAGAGGATGAAGCTAAGGTTTAAGGAAGTTAAGTTACCTGCTGTATTAGGGTTTTCTAGAGGGACAGAACTAATAGGAGATTTTATATATATATATATATATATATATATATACACACACACACACACACACACATATATATGTGTATATATATTAGTTTATTAAGTATTAACTTACATAATCACAAGGTCCCACAATAGGCTGTCTGCAAGCTTGAGGAGTGAGGAGAGCCAGTCCTAGTCTCAAAACTGAAGAACTTAGAGTCCGATGTTCAAAGGCAGGAAGCATCCAGCACGAGAGAAAGATGTAGGCTGGGAGGCTAGGCCAGTCTTGCTTTTTCACGTTTTTCTGCCTGCTTTATATTCACTGGAAGCTTATTAGATGGTGCCCACCAGATTAAGGGTGGGTCTGCCTTCCCCAGCCCACTGACTCAAATGTTAATCTCGTCTGGCAACACCCTCACAGACATACCCAGGAATAATACTTTGCATCCTTCAATCCAAGCAAGTTCACACTCAGCATTAGCCATCACACCTGCCTAAATTTTTATGGATACTAAGCCAGCACATAAGCCTGGAACTGTTATAATCGCAACCCATGCTTATGATGTCAAGGACTGTCTCTTAACCTCAGAGCTGTGGTGCTTCCTGGGCCCTCACAGTGCTTTATGCATTGTCTCTGAAGTAGCATTCTTCCTTTCCTGTTGCTGTTGAAATCTGTCTCCCTCATTGGCCTGTGAGCCTAAGCGGGGGAGGGGATCATCGTCTCTTCATCTGAACACATATCCCCAGAAACTCATAAAATGTTGAACAAACTTGAGCTTAATAAGTAAAGAATTTTTAAAAGACATTGCCAAAAGAAACAGAACTTGAAGGAAAAAAAATGTAAGGGAAATTATAATCTACTCAGTTAAATTTTCTATGGTAAGGCCATTACTGGTTTCATGAGGAGTGTCTTGAGCTTTTGTTTAATTGAAAGGAAAAGGAGATTTTCAAGGGGAAATACCACACAAAGTGGGGGAAATAAAGGAGGAAGGGGAGTAAGTCTATTTCTCTCACAGGTATATGATTGTTATTATATCAGTGGTGTTTAATTTTGCTTACTTAATGATTATTGTATAAAGTCTGCTATATGCCATTGTGGAGTGTTCAGGGGATTGGTTTTAAGACATTCCACTCCCAAAGCTCATTTTTACAAACTTGCCACCTTATGGTGTTGTCCTTAACATATGTGGAGGAGGAAGATTTTTATCCCCTAAAGTGGAGGGTGGTGGCATTTAATGCTTGGTTTCGGGAATATTCATGTCTACCTCAAAGATGGTATTATAAAGAAGGAGTAGCTGTGAAAAAGTGATATTTACATTCTCATCTTAATATTGCTGTTGAATATGTAATTTGAGATTATGAAATCATACCACATTCTACCAAAAGTTTATTACTATCCTCTTAGCTCTTTTGTCTTTTCATCTTGAAGTATGAGTGTTTCTTGAAGCTTTAAGCATTTTACAAGGGATAAGAGGACATCCAGTAACAACAAAATGAGGAAGCCACATTGCACTCCTTGGACATGTGCGTACAGGATGTGTAGTAGATACAACCCTGAAAAGCCTGGTTTAACCTAATCGGGCTCCTGTGGAGGAACCCAAGTTGGATTTTTTTTTTTTTTTTTGAGATGGAGTTTTGCTCTTGTCACCCAGGCTGGAGTGCAGTGGTGTGATCTCGGCTCACTACAACCTCTGCCTCCTGGGTTCAAGCGATTCTCCTGCCTCAGCCTCCCCAGTAGCTGGGATTACAGGCATGTGCCAACACACCCAGCTGATTTTTGTCTTTTTAGTAGAGACGGGATTTCACCAAGTTGGCCAGGCTGGTCTTGAGCTCCTGACCTCAGGTGATCCACCTACCTCCACCTCCCAAAGTGCTGGGATTACAGGCGTGAACCACCGCCCCCAGCCCCCATGTTGAATTTCATGTGCGTATCACCCCTTGTCTTCTGCCATCTTTCTCTTTGTCCCCTTTTTCCTCTGTCTTTAGTCATCCTCTCTTTCTTTCCCATTCCCGAGGATATTTTGCCTTCTTTTCCAAGGCTAAGACCTCTGTGTCTAGAAAGAAGTTGAAATTGAGAGCTCTTCAGTCAGATTTACCAGTTCCTGGTGACTTTAGGCAAGTCCCTGGGCTTCTTCAAGTCTCAGTTTTCACACCTATATAAAGGGGGGTAATAGCCCCTCTTTGCTCACAGCTGCAAGCTCTGCTGTTGTGTTTTCTCCCTAGTGAATGGGGCTTATATTCTCCTGGAAGTAGGAAGACAAAAACTAAACAGTAACATAATAAAAAATGCTTACAAAAATATACTTAACGCTTCTTCATTCTTCAAAAAGAAGTGAGTTTATTTGACTTTGACTCTGCATCTTAAGCCATACTTGCTTTTTTTTACTTTGGCTACATTGCAAAAGAAAAATAAAATCCTTATTTTCTTTCTCAGTGCCCTCACCACCCATTAATTCACTCCTTAACCTGCTACAAACCCCTTTTTTCCTTCCTTTCCTTAATTTCCAAATTCAACACCCTTTGTTCATTTTTCTTCTCTTTGATGTCTGTGTAGCATTTTAACTGCAATGGTCAAACTTCTCTGTTTTAAAATCACTATGAACATTCTTTTTGTTCTGTCCTAAAGGAGGGCTTCCTCCCTATTTTTGTTAAAGATAACGCAGTTCTTCAGATCGCCCACGCATCAGACCATATCATAAACTTTGAGTAACCCATCACTTTTATTTGCTCCATCCCAACCAATCCCCGGGCCCGGCTGGGCCCTTATTTGCAGCATACCCCTTTCCTTTCCTTGTGTTTCCTTCCCTTCTCTCGTTCTTACATTCTGTAGACAGATTAGTTGCATTGCATCTATGCCCAGCCTCAGAATAATTGTGTGGCCTTTGACAAACTACTTAGCTTGTCTGAGCTTTGGTTTCCTAATAGGTAATAGAAATAGTAATTATAATTTTTACCTCTAAAAGTTAATGTGAAGATTAAATAAAATAATGGATAAATAGTCCTATCTACTCCTATGCTAAACAGCTGACACATGGTAGCTATTAATATTATCTGCCTCACACCATCCCAGCCTCCTCATTCGGTTCTTTTTACTGGAACAAGGACCAGCAGTCATCTCATTTTAGTCCCATTATTTTTCTTTCCTCCAGTCTTCTCCATCCAATACCACAGAAACCCTGTACAAATACTAGATCAATATTACCACTGCATAGTTGGGAAGATGTATGAAGTAATATGTTACCACAAGAATACGGGCTTTGGCTTGAATTTTTATTCTGTATCTTGATAGCTGAATAATTTCAATCTGGCTTCTGAACCTCTCTGAGTTTCAGTTGCCTCATGTTGAAGATTGCAACACTATTCACAATTGCTAAGACATGGAATCAACCTAGGTGCCTATCAGTGGATTGGATAAAGAAAATATGGTATATATACACCATGGAATACTACACAGCTGTAAAAGAGAATGAAATCACATCCTTCACAGCAGCATGGATGCAGTTGGAGGTCATTATCCTAAGCAAAACATAGGAAGAGAAAACCAAATACTGCATGTTCTTACTTATAAGTGAGAGCTAAGCATTGGGTACACGTAGACATAAAGATGAGAACAATAGACACTGGGGGCTACTGGGGAGGGGGGCAAGGACTAACACCTATTTGGTACTATGCTCACTACCTGGGTGATGGGATCATTTATACCCCAAACCTCAGTGTCGTGCAATATACCCATGTAACAAACCTGCACATGTACCTTCTGAATCTAAAATGAAAGTTGGAATTATTTTTTTAAAGTTACAGCTACCATGCAGAGCTGGTGTAGGAATTAAAACTATCAAGCACCTAGCATAGTGCCTGCTACAGAGTTCCCACTCAGTAGATGGTAACAGTTGGTATTATAGCAGCCCCCTGCTCTCTTTAACCCAGCGAATGAACCTGTGAAACCTTTGATGGACAGTCAAGCTCCCCCATGGTTTAGCCTTTATCTCTGCTTCCAGCTGCCCTTGCTGTCTTCCTTGCTAGTATCCCTTACATGAGCTATTAGACCCATGAAAGGGGCCTCATTTTTCTGTCTCTGTCCTGCTGTTTTTCCCACTCCTCTTTTCTGGAATCCTAATCCTCCCTTCTTCTTCTCCCTGGACAAGATCAACTCTCACTTCATGAAATGAAAAAAAAACATACAAAGGATTTAAGATTGTTACTGGTCTAGACCTTATTATACTAGTCTGTAATTGGGAGTCTTTCACATTTATTGTATAAATGCACGACTTTAGCAAATTATGCTACAGTCTTTGGTATTATTTTAAAATCATATTGCTTTTATATGATTTGCCCCCTTGATGTTTTATTTCTTTGATGCCATGTGTTGAGCAGTTACACAGTAAAAACTCAGTAAACTCTTATTGGTGATTTTTGAGGTTGATTTTCATGGAATTCATAGCTCGTGAACCATCTGATCCTTAGGTCGCACCATTTATTTCTTGGCCTCTGCACAGAACCTTTTTCTTCAAGATGTTCCATCTGCTTTGCAGAAATTAGCTCATGAGTCATTTCCTTTCCCCACCCTCCTTGTAAACTGTAGCAGCAGAAGGGCAGCCCCTTTGGAATAAGTGGAAGTACAGGGGTCGCATGGAGCAGTAGGGAGTTCGAAGCAGGCTCAAATCTGTCAAGTCCTAGTTCAGGGTTATTATCCCCCAAAGCACTGAGAAATTAGGCAGAGACAGCTCTGTTCAGTGGAAAGAAAGTGCTTTGGAGCCAGACGTGACTGGGCTCAGATCCTGGCTCTGCCTGTTGTATGCTTTGCGATCTTTGGCAACACAGTTAACATCTCTGGGTCCTTGTTTCCTGTTCCATAAAGTGGGAATAGTAATATCTGCCTGCCAGGGCTATTGTACAATAAGATAAACAGTATGAAAAGACACTAGCATGGTACCTGGCACAGAGTATTAATTTCATAGTATTATTCTTCTGACCCAGAGAGGTTTCAGTGTCCCCCAAAGAGAACACTGCAGAAATTATTGACACATACACCAAAAACTTTGTAAATAACTTCTCAGCCACATTCGGGCCTGTTGTAAAATCATGTTTAAAAGTTAATTATTTTGTCCTTCTTGCTTAACAGGGTGGAAACTTGATAAAATACACCTGTGAGTTAGGGTTTTTGTTATTTCCTACCTGACAGCCAGAAAGAAAAGTCTGAAAATTACTTTTTTCTCTTTACTTTGAATTTTCAAGAGCTGATCAATTTTTATGTTCCCTAAAGAGGAGAATTCAATAAGGCAGTCTGGAATCCAACTAATAATTTTTAGTCGTGCATTCTAGGGTGGACCTTGATAGAATGTTTGTTCCATCTTTGTGTTTTATGTTCACTCTTTTAAACTGGGTAACTGAATGTTGAAATGTTAGCCTGGGTAAGGGTCAGAGTAGCACCTGCTTGGCCACATCCTACCTGGGTGAGACACAGCATTGCTGTAGCCTTGAGTTTCCTCATCATTCCCATTCAGGCTGGTTAGCGTGAGCCTCAGTTGACCAAACTTTCAAGAATTTCAAAGTGTAAAATTAGACCAGGTATATAAAAGTTCTTTAAAAAGCTGCAGTTGTATTTGAATACAATCAAATGGCTTTTTTCTACCTATGTTTATAAATTGGAAAATAACATAGTAATAGAAATAGCAATGGAGGGTAGCTATTTTTTGAGAATATTCTTTGTGCCCCAGGACCAAACTAATTTGAATCTCAAAAAATAAAATCCTACTGGATTAGGTTTTGGGTTTGTTTTGCCTTTTACTCATGAGGAAAAAGGGGCACAGGAAAATCAAGTTACTTTTGTCCATAGTCTTACTTGTAACAAACATAGGTGCCAGTACTCAAATGTGGAGAGGCTGTCTCCAGAGTCAAAGAACTTAGAGATCAAATAAAGAAATTGCTTACTCTAATATTCATTCCTTAATGTGGCAAATATTTATTAATCACTTATTATGTTCCAGGTGGTACAAAGCACAAGAGATGGCAGATTGAATCAGGCAGGGTTGGTTCTTTTTTTTTTTTTTTTTTTGAGACGGAGTCTCGCTCTGTCGCCCAGGCCGGACTGCGGACTGCAGTGGCGCAATCTCGGCTCACTGCAAGCTCTGCTTCCCGGGTTCACGCCATTCTCCTGCCTCAGCCTCCTGAGTAGCTGGGACTACAGGCGCCCGCCACCGCGCCCAGCTAATTTTTTTTGTATTTTTAGTAGAGACGGGGTTTCACCTTGTTAGCCAGGATGGTCTCGATCTCCTGACCTCATGATCCACCTGCCTCGGCCTCCCAAAGTGCTGGGATTACAGGCGTGAGCCACCGCGCCCGGCCGCAGGGTTGGTTCTTGTTCTCATCGAGGACACAGCCTTATAGAGTAAAATAATAAACAGGAATGATGAAATAAAATAATTGCACACTGGCAAATGCTATAACTAAAACCAGCAGGTACTGAGATGGAGAGCAAAGGGTCGGGGAAGGCCCTATTTGGATCAAATGTTCAAAGAAGGCATCCTGGGAGGAGTGACACTTATGCTGAGATGCACGAGATGAGAAGAAGATAGCCTACCACATAGGTGACATGTCAACTTAGCTGTTACATAGGGATACAGAGCTCAGAGAAGACCACGCCTAACATACTACTTTAGACTATGAAGGCATTTCACCCTCCAAACCTAGAAGGCCAAATGCAGGATGAATGGTCATGTCTTGCAGTTGAAACCTTGAACTTTGAGATAGGATCGCACTCTGTCGCCCAGGCTGGAGTGCAGTGGCAAGATCACAGCTCACTGCAGCCTCAATGTCCTGAGCACAAGCAGTTCTCCTGCCTCAGCCACCTGAGTATCTGGGACTACAGACACATGCCACCACACCTGGCTACTTTTTAATTTTTATTTTTGGGTAGAGACAGAGTCTCAGAAACCTTGAACTTTTTATAGTAGTTGTTCAATTATGAGTTACCTCTTTCTTGAGCCTTCCCAGCATGTAAAACAAACTTTGTCTTTGCTAGCGCAGACATTTGAAATGGATTTCTAATAGGTTAGCTTCCTTGGACTGAAGCTAGAAAATTGGGAAAAGGATTTTTTTTTTTTATTTTTGGAGTAGCAAGTGTCTTCACAAAGAGCTTAGGACTTGGAGATGGAGGACACAGTACTGAGGTTTTGGAGATGAAAGTCATACGAGTTGCTTTCCTTGAAATGGTGGTACAGAAGAGATAAAACTAACTCATTTGAATTCAGGGAATGCACAGTTTCTGAGCTTGCAGAAAGGCTGAATTTTGAACTGTGCTCTGCACCCCATTTTCTCGATTAGACTATAACATGGTGTCTTGCCCATCCCTTTCTCTACTTCCAGGATTTCTGGGAAGAAAATTAAAATACTTAAAGTAGCACTCAATATTTAACTATTCCAAAGCACTCAAGGTAAAACCCAGTCTAAAGTGGTTCCACAAACATTTTATTGCATTTTCTAAAGCACGGTTCTTATACATCTCTACCAGGCTCAATCTTTAAATGCCTTTTGATTTCCTGTTTCTTGAAACTTATAATCTCAGCCTATAAAAATAATTTTAAATGTCCATCAATTGGATATCGGTTAAATTACAAAATTTTTATAAAACTTAATGATGCATATCTTTTAAAAAGAATGAGGTAGATCTAGATAAAATTATCATAAAAGAATATTGTTGATATAACATTGACAGGAAATAAAGGTTATGGAGGAAGAATTGGCACACGTTTTCTGTAAAGGGCCAGATAGTAAATATTTTCAGCTTTGCAGACCATATGGTATCTGTTGCAATTACTCATCTCTGCTGTTTTGGTGTGAAAGCAGCCACAGACACTGTGTAAATAAATGAGTGTGGCTGTATTCCAATAAAGCTTTTCACAGGCTTTTACAAAAACAGGCGGTGGGCTCACAGGCTGTACTTTGCAGATCCCATTATAAACTATGCAGAGTGGGAAATAATCTGTTATTAAACAACAATTAAATATTTGGAAGGATATGTACCAGACTGTTTCATGATCCTTCTATTCTAGAGATAGAATAACAAAGTGATTTTTCTAGCATTTGGTATGTTACAATGAGCAATGATTGCTTTTATACTGAGCAAAAACAATGAAGGCACTACTATTGTGATGAAAAATCAGATTTTGCACTGTTCTAGGTAGCTTAGTCCTAATAAGTAATATTTAACTATATTTTTATTATGCCCGCAGAGCAATTGCCAGTATTTTATTCTTTGGAGGCAGAAACCAGAAGTACAGAATTAAACATTAAATTTACACAAGAACAGAGTATAGTTACCATCAGTGGTGGCCAAGGTTTCAGTCTTGAATGGAATAATATCTAGATATACAGTAAAGGTCTGTCTTTAGTTATACTCTATCTCGTATTCTAGAAGAAGATGAATCTTAATACAAACTCTTAAGGAATGAAAAACTTAAGATATAATGAAACCAGACCAGCCACAGTTTTAAGGTATTTCTCCGCAACCCAGATTTTGCATTATCAGAGCACTGCCCTGCTCTTGCATGATATTATCCTAGATTAGAATGTACTCTTCATTTTTTTCCCATCATATGGCATTAATAAACACAAATGAAAGGAGAGGTTATCTAAAAGTCTATTTTGTATGATTATTTATTTTGCCTGATGGCAATGTTGAAGATGAGATTTGAGCACGTGGTCTCAGGTGGGTGTGACAGCTCTATAGGTCCCTACTGACCCTGAGGCTCTCTGATTTCATGATTCAGCTGTTGATCAGATTCAGTGCTTTGCAAGGTTCACATCCTTGACTGGTCTTGACACGAAATGAGTGGCCATAATTCCGCATTTTAGATTCAATATCCAGGTGTAATTGACCAAACAAGAAAACTAAAGTGTAGCCCAGATTAGAGCTCATTTTAGTGAAAAAGGAAGCAGGAAGTAAACTCTTAGGTATTCAATGGCCTGTCCTCTGCTTGATTCCAGAATGCCAAGCCAAATATTTCTCCCACCTGTTAACATTTCCATATAAGTGAATCCTGCTTTTGGTGGATTTCAAATAGGGGTTAAATAGGGCAAAACTTATGGTTTCTAATTTACTTCTAATTAGGGGAAAGTCGCTTTAAAACTTTTAGCTAAAATAGGCTTAGTATTTACAAATACAGAAACATGGATTTGAAAATATATATGTAGTGAACATATATTTAGTGGTTCATCAAATTGCTGAAACATTAATTCAACCACTTTTCTCTTAGAGCAATTACAGTTATTCCACTGTCTTTCCACAGTTACAGTGAATTCTCTAATAATCATCACTGCACATATAAATTTGTCCTCCTTTTAACTATGCTGGACAAATGTCTGGGAGGAAATGCCCATCAATCAAGTGGATAAAGGAAATGTAGTATATATGTTCTATGGAATACTACTCAGTTGTAAAAAGGAATAAAATAATGGCATTCACAGCAACCTGGGTGGAATTGGAGACTATTATTCTAAGTGAAGTAACTCAAGAATGGAAAACCAAACATTGTATGTTCTCACTCATATGTGGGACCTAAACTGTGAGGACACAAAGGCATAAGAATGATACATTGGACTTTGAGAACTTGGGGGAAAGGGTGGAGGTGGCAAGGGATAAAAGACTACACGTTGGGTACAGTGTACACTGCTCAGGTGATGGGTGCACCAAAATCTCAGATAGCACCACTAAAGAACTTATTCATGTAGCCAAATGCCACCTGTTCCCCAAAACACTACTGAAATAAAAAAAAATTTTAAATGAAAAAAATGGGGGGGGAAAAAAGTGCTTTGGCACCTTAATTTGTTTATTCATTTGTAAACATTTAATAAGGATCCCACTGTATGACAAGTCCTGTGTTATATGTTGGGGATGAGTCACTAACTTGCTGTGTCACCTTGGACAAACTCCTTCATCTCTCTGGTCTCCTTTGTTCTACTGATGTCCTTAAGAAATCATTCAAAGAATATTTACAGCCTCAAGAGGATCCTAAGGATCCATATTGTCAAGTTGCTTCCAAAAGTTTTAGGCAAATTTGCAATGCTATCTGCACTAATTTCATCACAACCTTGCCAGCAAGGACTTTGTGTCCCATTTAAAATTGTAGTCATTTAAATGAGTGGAAAATGGCATGTGATTGGCTTTTTTTCTTCTTCTTAGATTATTAATGAGGTTGAAGAATGTACAACTTTGGCTCTAAGTCAAATGCAGTTTCAATTCCATATCATATTCTTAGATTTTCTTTGCCAAGAAACTTCTTTTGTAGTGGCAGGAAGTAGAAGAAAGGACAGGAGAGAACAATGCTTTTTTTAAAAAAATCTCATTTTAGAGAAAAAAATGTATTTGAGAAAACTATTTCCACAACACATTGCACATTGATAATGTGATGATGCTTCAAATGTTTTGATTGAATTTTTTCATCTCATTCCCCAAGGAAAATCCTCAATTTCTATTTTTACCCTTGTTCCAAATGCCACATGTATACTTCCATCCCTATTTCCCTCTTGGAGATAATATCTCAAGCAATAAGGCTGTTGCATACCTCTCTAGTCATTAATAAATGATCGTGAACCCTTCAAAATGCAAAATACTATATCGGTGTTTTGGGATGATGATGACAAGAATACCTCACAGGTAAATGGATAAAGCAAATGAATTAAAGTTTGCAAACAATTTTTAGAGAAAGACTTGAGTGTCGTCTTAGTCTGCTTGGGCTGCCATAACAAAATTCCAAGACTAGGTGGCTTAAACAACAGAAATTATTTTCTCATACTTCTGCAGTCTGGAAAGTCCCAAATCAAGGTCTGGCAGCATTTGATTTCTGATGAGGGCTGTCTTCCTGGCTTGCATCCTCACATGGTGGAGAGACGGAGCACTGGTGTCTTTTTTCTTACAGGGGCACCAATTCTGTCAGATCAGGGCTCTACCATTATGACCTCACTTAACCTTAATCAACTTCTCAGAAGCCCTATACTTAGTACAGTCACATAGAGGATTAGTGCTTCAACATATGAAGTTGGGGGAGGACCCAATTCAGTTCACAGCAGGTATCTACACAGGAACTGAACTGCTCATCTAGAGCTCAGTTGCCAAGATCATAATACATTGTCTGGCCCTCACCCCTTGTCACAGTTCTTTCATAAGCATCAGAAATGTTTCTAGTTTTCTCCCCTCTGGAAGGAATGGACTGGATAAAAATATTCAAGATGGTTTGGGTGACTTTCTTATCCATTGTCTTGTCAACCATAAAAGGTATCTACAAAGATCGTAGAAGATCGTAGACATGTAGATCTCAGAAACCACCCAGATTTTCAGATGGAGAAGCTGAAGCCCAGAAGGATGGAAAGACTTGCTGTAGGTACTTCTGATAAGCAGTTATCCAGATGATCCTGGAGGTCTTCGGACTCCCAATACAGTGCCCAAACTGGTCATGGATGTGATTGTGCTTTCAAATGGAAGAGTTTATGAGTTCCAACTTCATAAAATTAAGTCTTGATGTGAGTTAGGATATATTTGGTTGCAGATAACATAAATTGACTCTGATCCTAAGCAGAAAGGATATTGAGAGCTGACTGCATTGGTGAGGAAGGGAGGACTTGGTTTTGTGACTGGACATGGTCCCAGGTGGCTCCAGCAGCCACAGAGCAGGAAGTATTACCAGCATTATGTACAGGACACCACCTCTGCTGCTAGAGAGCACAGCCTCCACCACCATCACCTAAAGTGAATTGAAATCATCACTTTGTCTTTGAGAGACCTCATACGATGTCAGAGTGCCAGGTAGAAAGTTCCCAAATGTGCTTTTCTGGATCTTGCATTTATGGCTTGGACTGGAAAGAGAAAAAGATCTGACCCTTACATCTTCCACAAGGAGATGGAGGAGTCCTATTTTTACAAAGAAATAGAGCATATCCCAAAATAGAAAGTGGTTAGGTGCAGGACATTCAGAAAACAAAATAAAGCAAAACCAAGTATCTGCTGCAGTCTCCAGTGTGAGAGCTTCCATAGTAGAAGATGGTTTGTGCCAAAGTAAGTCCATTTCAAGCAAAAGTTTCATCTTTTAGCTTTCCCTAGAGCTCTCTTCTATTGCTAGACCAGTGTACATTTGGCATTACCTTTTCTTTTTCCATTCAGAATGAAATCCAGCGTTGAATTTTATTCTTTTATATTTGTTGATTTTAGCATTCTGCTCCCATTATGGCTCTAGACATATATAGTAACTTGTATGTTTCAGAATGCAAGTAAGCTGTCTTAACCTACTTTGTTAGTTTATTGCACACAACTAAGAGAAGTATCTCAAGGCAGGCTTGGGGATGTTTTTTTCAACCACCCACAGAATGCAGGTATATTTGTTCATTGATAATTTGGCTATGAAGAAATTATATATGCATCTTGAGTATTTGACCACATGGGTTCACTTTTTCACATGCGGAATTAACTAAAACACAAGTAACAATATCAATCACCTGCCCCTTAAACAGCAAGAGATGTATTTATCTTAGCAAAAGAATGGGAGTGTTTCAACAGCAATATTATCTCAGATTATGTGTCTTCTGGGACTTCCTACCTTTTTCTGTACAGCCTATGGTCATCTTCTGTCTCCCACAGCATAGCCAAGAAAGGAAGCTAAGGAACTGGTGTTCTGTTGGTGAGATAATGTATGGATCTTTATTTAGTCCCTGACATCAGCACCTCCATCACCTTCTTTTTTAGAATCAGATTTATAGTTTCTTCTGAACAGGGATACAGCACTGCCACTCAGAATGACACCTAGCTGCTCTTCATGGATCAGCCTAAGAATCTGATAAAGTTGTTCCCCTAGTTGCTGGCGAGTAATAAAAGCAATATGGTGGTGGGTTAGCAGCTGATTGGAGAAGCAAATGGATGTAGAGATTGGTGGCTACCATTTGCAATATTTATTAGTTTCATAAGTGGGCAAGAGAAAATAGACTGCCTTAATCCGTGTTTTTGATCTTTTACTGAACTATTTTTTCAAACATCTTTCTGCACTAGGACCTAGGCCTATTCCCATGGTTACATGGCAGAATAGGCATTCCATCTGCATAAGTGATAGTTGCCAAGGTGAGTGTGTGTCTGTGTGAGTGTGTACAAAGCTTTGAGAATAAGCTTGTAAAATCACACAATGAGCTGCTTTTCTGTATCTTTGAGCAGGGTAACTGTATACCAGTGGATGGAAGAGCCTAGGAAGACTCTTGTGACATGGCTCTGCCCCTGTCCTTCACCTCAGCCTCTCCTTCCAGGGACTTGATAACAGTCCATTGGTCTTGGGGTATCTTACTTTAGTTTTCTCAACCTCTGGCCATAGTAACATTGCAAAAATATTTACTCACACTTTGCCATCAACTTTACCATTTATTTCCCTCTTCATAACACCTGAGTCTTCCCTCTGTAAATATTATCTATATCCAACTGCAGTAAGTTTAGAACACTGATGGAGCTCTCTTTCTGGTTTGAATGGAGTCAGATTAAAAATGTCCAGAGAACTCCTAATAAGTGCTTTTACATCTGAAAATGTTTAGTATAGCATAAATGCAAGAGCAGCTCTTTCAAAGGTGAAGTTCTTAACATATAATGTGAAGCATGAGGGAAGTACAAAAAAAAATTACTTCTTAGGGCATTTTTACTAAGCCCATGCCATTAGGAGCTTCGGGAATATTGGAAGAATTCTGTAGAATATACCAAATAATTTATTACTTATTTTGTGTGGATTTCACAGGACTGTTAATTTTTTTTGCCTGATATTTCTGTATAATTTGCATAAAAATCCATCTGAACTGAAGCCAAATTTTAATTTCAATTGCTGCTTTACAAAGAAATGTATTTTACTTCTTTTTAGCATGCTGGGGTGACCGTGCTCAGGTTTTTGCTGAGATAAGATATCAATGAGATATTTCCACCATGGCTTTTTGAAGAGATTCTTTACTGTGTAATTGCTAAGACAATTAGCTGCAAGCTACAGCTACTATTCCTTAGAAATGAAAGATGCTTTCCACTGTAAGAATTATGTTACTCCTCAGTGGTGTTGACAAGATGAAGAACCATTTTGGATGTTATGATTCTGAAATGGCTATCTGTTGGTGATCCATGCTTCAACGTGGTTATGAGTCAGTTCTAGTCAACTGACATTTATAGCTTTTAGTTTATAGACTGGGGCTTTCAATTCAGCTCAATCAGGTGTCTGCAAATAAACATCTGTTATATTTAAGTTTTCCAGTGTCTTTCTTTCAACTCTTATTTCCCTTAAATCAAATGCTTATTTAGCAGAGCCTGAAAATAAAAATAAATAAATAAATACATAAATAATTAAGAAATGAAAACAACTCCAAATGGTCTCAATGGAATACTTCACAGAAAACTGTTATGAAAAGGCACAAAGAAAGTATATGAAAGGGTTTAAAATGGAGATAGCCTAATTTCTTTCATGTCCATTAAACTGTTATTAATAAAGAGGGTAATAACCCAGGCCAGATTACACAGTGCATTCAAGGATTTTCTCTTAGATCGTTAAAATAATTGTCATAATCAGGTTATGATACATTCGAGTGACACTTTGACAGCGTGGATTTGCATCCTGAATCTGCAAACTCTGTGACTTTGGATAAATTGCCGATCTCATATTAGTATTGGTTTCTTCGAAGAAAATCTGTAAACTGGATGCAAACAGGCAATGACTTTGACCACCATGGGTCAGCACAACTGTCCCTGTGACCAACAAAACTCAGCCACACATGATCTTATGGTCTATAATATCATCCTCATACTTGGTACAATCATCTCTTAAGTGAAGATGTGGTATAAAGGGCATTATTTCAGAGGGGGAGAATGGGTGACCCCGTGAGCAGATAGGTCATATCTCAATAGCCATAGAATTTAAATTGCTAAAAGAGCCCTTAAGTAAATGAGCGCTTTTAGCAGCACTTGAAGCTCTCTGTTGGGGTCCATTTGGAAATCACAGATGCTACTGAAAAAGCAGGGGGAATTCCTTCACTTACTCTTTATTGCCTTTGGAAAGATTTCTGATTATGCTCTGGTTTAGGGATAAGTCCTAATACCCAATCTGTGAGCCTTTACCGGGCATGGCATTCAGCATAAATGTGAAATGACAGTGTGTGCCCTCCGGAAATTACAGAGATAAATACAGCCTCGTATTATGCTGGGCCCGCAAGTCCATGGAGTGCTTTTGGAAACATACACCTTCCACCCACCAGCTCAGAGTGTTTTATCAGCACTTTACTAATGTGATTTCCAATGAAGGTCAGAAAGTTAAACTTATCACCCAGTAGCCAGGGTTGATAGTTCATATCTTGATCTTATCATTGGGCCTCTTTTTCCCATTCCAATTGCTTTTTGAGGGCTTAGCACTGTTCACTTGGGGGAACTGTTTGCTGTGAGCAGGAGCTTAATAAAAATAAAAATCTTGTTGTATAAGGCAAAACCAAAATGTCCAAAACAATATCCCTGTTTGCTCCCCAAATGTGGAATCTGACCCATCAATTTCCATCAGAATGATGTGACCCAATAACAAAGTCACTGTTTTGTTTTTGTTTTTGTTTTTTTTCTTCTGTGTTTGACTCTTCTTTCTCACACGTCAAAGAAAAGCCTGTAGTGAGCAGGTAACTGTCAAAGGATTCCTCTTTTGCTTTTTCCACTTCCCATTCAAATATAATTGATTGCAGCAGCATCACAACAGCTTTTTAAAGGGAGCTACACTTGAAATGCAGAAGGATTCACTGAAAATGGCTATGCCACAAGATCCTCGATATCCATAAGCAAGATAACCTACTATGTTCTAGAATCTCCACATTCATGAATGTCATGGTATATAATTTTTCAGTTTCCTTATATATAAAGCAGGGTTTCTCAACAACAGCACTTTTGACATTTTGGGCTAGGTAACTCTGTTGTGGTACATATCCCATGCACAGTAGGTGCTTATCAACATCTGTAACCTCTGTCCTGCTAGTTGCCAGTAGCAAACCCCCTACCCCATTGTGATAACCAAAATTGTCTTCAGACATTGCTCTATGTCCCTTGTTGGGCAGTTGTTCCCTTGTCCCAGTTGAGAACCACTGATGTAAAGTGAGGTTAATATTTCCTTCTGTAGGTTGCTAGGATCACGAAAGGAAATTTATCCTTTATTAAATTAAAAGAAATAGTGCACAGGGTGAGACCAAGAAATCGGCAAGTTGTGAATGCCAGAGGCCTGCAGTCTTCACTCACAAATGATTTGATTTACTCAGACACAAAACTCATGCTGCAAAATTAGTCTTACAAAGGCATATAAGCTCCATTTCACGAGGGTCATTAGAAACAACTGAAAAAGGAAATATTAATTAATTAATAATTAATATTTAATTAATTATTTAAATATTATATTTAATATAATTAATTATATAATATAATATTATATTTTATTATAATATAATATAATATATTGTATTATATTATATTTTATAATATTATATTTTATTATAATATAACATTATATTATATTTTATTATAATATAATATATTTTATTATAATATAATATATTTTATTATAATATAATATATTATAATTTTATTATAATATATTATATTTTATTATAATATAATATATTATATTTTATTATAATATAATATATTATATTTTAATAAAATATAATATATTTATTTTATTATAATATATTAATTAAATAATAATTAATTAATATTAAATTGGCAAAGGGTACAGGTCTACTGGAGTTCCCTGTACCTTCGATGTGAAGGTTCACTTAATATCTAGCATCATTTCTTGTTTTGAATGTTACAATTTGCATCTTGAGAACACTGCCTGACACTTAACATATGCCCAAAGAATGTTAAACGGAAGGAGGGAGGGCAGCCTCTCAAGAATAGACCCAAGATCCAATGATCACACAGGCCCAGGCTAAACTTCAGCATCCTGAAATCTTCTAATCAATTCCTGGGTTCTTCTCCATGCTTTGTGTATGTCTTGACTCTAAAGTCTACTATGTGACCTTAGTAAGTAGCTTTACTGTTCTGTGCCCTAGCTTTGTCATCTATAGGATATTAACAGTGCGTACCTCCAAGAATTGTACCAAGGAGTAAGTACCTGGTACATTAGTCAGTGATGGCCAATACAACTATTATCGTCATCATCATGGTCATATTATAGTTTTAGGGTGAAGTTGATTTTTTTGGATCCCAGGGACAGAAAGATGAGTTGATCCTACTCCTCTGTTCGTGGCACATCACTATTATTGATCTGTACAGGGCTCTAATCTTATTTTAAAAGTAAAATACTTTCTTTCATTTCCATATCACATTTCCACTTCCCCTTCCCAAAATCATATTGTTGGTACCATAGAAAATCATTCTAATGTAGCCATTGAGTACCTTTTGTTTTTATATGTTCATGCATATTGTCTTGTATGCATGTATCTAATTTTCATAAATAAAATGGTGTGTATCTGATTTCTTCTTACTCTTTTTACTCTGCCTGTTACTGCATGCTCGTATACTCCTTTGTAGTTGCCTGATGCCTAACAATACACACCAACACATTTTACCCCTGTATTTTCCAGTGAAAACCACACAAGTGGCCTCCAATTCTCCACAAATAACAATCATGAATGTCCTCGTTCATAAACCCTTCAGATATGTGTGAGGATGTATTTGGGATATGCGTTGTGCACACATCTCTGTTAAAAACCTGATACAGGAAACCATTCCAAATTTTTGGTCTTGCCACATCAATATCACTGTTACCTGCAGTTTCATTCAGAGTAATAGCATCAATATATCAAGATGATGGCAGAGATAAATACATTTATTTATTGCATGCGTTTTTATTTGCTAGGTAGTATGCTAGGTATTTTATGTCCTCAAGACTTCACATTCAGTAATTCAAGAGGAGGACTCAGGGCACTCAGCATATGGCTGTACTCATGGCCATGACTTTCTTCCAGCAAAAGGACGCTAAGCACAATCAGCAGAGGAAAAAGGTGCATGGGGCACCTTTTCGAGAAGAAATCAGATGAAATTATTCAGAGTCCTCTGCCAGTGGAGTCACACTGAATGCACTTAATTCCCTCAACAACTAAGTGTGACAATATGTGTGAAATGTTGCCAACCAGAGGAACTTTTTTTATTGAGGCTGGCCACGTAGGCAGCCTGTGCCTGGGATATACCAAAATCCCAGATTCCCAGAAGGAAAACACATGTTCAGCATAAACCCTATTGTCGAGGAATAGCTTGCCATTTTTATCCTTTCTGAGAATGCTGAGAAACTTTCCAAAATCCAACTTCCCAAACTCCAGCGAAAGCCAACCTTATAAGCAACCCTTTCAAAGGACAGCAGTCAGGCCCAATACGTTAACTCTTTTCTTGCCCATTTTGTTTTCATTATCTGTCAGTGCACTGAAAGCTGGTAATTATGTTTTCATTTTTAAATGAGAAAACCAAGAATTTAAGTAACTTACCCCAGGTCACAGTTCAGAAGAGGAGTCAGGATGTACCCCTAAGCTTCCTGGAAACCAGCCTCCTTTTTAAACTGCCTTCAAGAATTGATGTTCTCTCTGCTATAATTTCAGCTCATTATTAGCAATTAAACACACAAAATTTAATAATTTCTTTCTTTGCTGAACATAGCTTAATCTGTCATTTTCTTCTTTTAGAAGCAGCTTCTTGGAAAACTTTAAGTTAATACATTGACATAAGCAGAGGGTTTGGTTATTGCTACAGTCCTGAGAAAGGGACATTTTTTTCTCTACTTGGATGACGGGTTTTTTTTATTTAATTTCCATAGTTTTGGGGGTACATGTTGTTTTTTGTTACATGGATAAGTTCTTTAGTAATGATTTCTGAGATTTTGGTGCACCCATCACCCGAGCAGTGTACACTGTACCCAGTATGTAGCCTTTTATCCCTCACCCACGAACTCACGCTTCCCCCCGAGTCCCTAAAGTCCTTTATATCATTCTTAGCCTTCGTATTCTCATAGCTTAGCTCCTACCTACTAGTGAGAACATAGGATATTTGCTTTTCTATTATTGAATTACTTCAGTTAGAATAATGGCCTCCAGCTCCATCCAAGTTACTGCAAAGACCATTATTTCATTCTGTTTTATGGCTGAGTAGTATTCCACAGTACATATATACCAAATATTCTTTATCCACTCATTGGCTGATGGGTATTTACGTTGGTTTCATATTTTTGCAATTGTGAATTACGCTGCTAGAAACATGCATGTGCATGGGTCTCTTTCATGTAATGACTTATTTTCCTTTGGGTGGATACCGAGTAGTAGGATTGCTAGGTCAAATGATAGTTTTACTTTCAGTTCTTTAAGGAATCTTCATACTGTTTTCAATAGTGGTTATACTAGTTTACAATTCTACTAGCAACGTAAAGGAGTTCCCTTTGCACCACATCCATGCAAATATCTATTATTTTTCGACTTTTTAATTATGGTCTTACCACCTTACTCCTCTAAGCTGGAGGAGTAAGGTAGTAAGTCATTGTGGTTTTGATTTGCATTTCCCTGATAATTAGTGATGTTGAGCATTTTTTATGTTCATTGGCCATTTGTATATCTTGAGAATTGTCTATTCATGTTCTTTAATTATTTTTTGATGGGATTATTTGTTTTTATTCTTGCTCATTTGAGTTCCTTATAGATTCTGAATATTAATCCCTTGTCGGATGCATTGTTTGCAGATATTTTCTCCCACACTCTAGGTTGTCTCTTTGCTGATTATTTCTTTTGCTGTGCAGAAGCTTTTTAGTTTAATTAGGTCTCATTTATTTATTTTGGTTTTTGTTGTATTTCTTTGGTGTTCTTAGTCATGATTTTTCTGCCTAAGCCAGTGTCTAGAAGAATTTTCCTGATGTTATCTTGAAGAACATTTATGGTTTCAGCTCTTAGATTTAAGTATTTGATCCATCTTGAGTTGATTTTTGTGTAAAGTGAGAGATGAAGATCCAGTTCATTCTTCTACTTGTGGCTTGTTAGTTGAATAAGGTGTCCTTTCCCCACTTTATGTTTTTGTTTGCTTTGTTGAAAATCAGTTGACTGTAAGTATTTTGCTTTATTTCTGAGTTCTCTACTCAGTTCCCTTGGTCTGTGTTCATATTTTTATACCAGTACCATGCTGTTTTGGTAACTATAGCCTTGTAGTATAATTTGCATTTGAGTAATGTGGTGCCTCCAGATTTGTTCTTTTTGCTTAGTATTGCTTTGGCTATGTGGGCTCCTCTGTGTTTCCATATAAATTTTAGGATTCTTTTTTCTGGTTCTGTGAAGAATGGTGATGATATTTTGATGGAAATTCCATTGAATCAGTAGATTCCTTTGGGCAGTAAGGTCATTTTCTCAGTATTGATTCTACCCATCCATTAGCATAGAATGTGTTTCCATTTGTTTGTGTCACATATGATTTCTTTAAGCAATGTTTTGTAATCTTCCTTACATAGATCTGTCACCTCATTGGTTAAGTATATTCCTAAGTATTATATTTTTTGAAGCTGTTGTAAAAGGGATCATGTTCTTGATTTGATTCTCAGCTTTGTCGTTGTTGGTGTATAACAGTGCTATTGATGCATATGTTGATTTAGTATGCTGAGATTTTGCTGAATTCATCTATCAGATCTAGGAGCTTTTTGAGTGAGTCTTTAGGGTTTTTTAGATGTACAATCATATTGGTGAACAGCGACAGTTTTACTTCCTGTTTTCCAATTCGGAGGCCCTTTCTTTCCTTCTCTTGTCTGATTGCTCTGGCTAGGACTTTCAGTACCATGAAGAATGGAAGTGGGGAATGTGGGCATCCTTGTGTTGTTCCATTTTTCAGGGGGAATCCTTTCATCTTTTCGCCATGCAGTCTGATGTTGGCTGTGGGTTTGTCATAGATGGCTTTTATTACTTTGAGGTATGTCCCTTCTATGCCAATTTTGTTGAGAGGTTTTATCATAAAGGGATGCTGGATTTTATTAAATGCTTTTTCTGCATCTGTTGAGATGATCATATGATTTTTGTTTTTAATTCTCTTTATGTGATGTATCACATTTATTGACTTGCATATGCTAAACCATCCCTGTATCCCTGGTATGAAACCCACTTGATCATGGTGAATTATCTTTTTGATATGTTGTTGGATTCAGTTAGCTAGTATTTTGTTAAGGATTTTAGTGTCTGTGTTCATCAGGGATATCAGCCACAGTTTTCTTTTTGGTTATGTCCTTTCCTGGTTTTAATTTTAAGGTGATGCTGGCTTCATAGAATGATTTAGGGAGGGTCCCCTCTTTCTCTATCTTGTGGAATACTGTCAATAGGATTGGTACCAATTCCTTTTTTAATGTCTGGTAGAATTCTGCTGTGAATTCATCTGGTCCTGGACTTTTTTTGTTGGTAGGTAATTTTTAAATTACTATTTCAATCTTGCTGCTTGTTATTGGTCTGTTAAGGGTATCTAATTCTTCCTGATTTAAGCTAGGAGGTTTGTATCTTTCTAGGAATTTATCCATCTCCTCTAGTGTTTCTAGTTTATGTGCATAAAGGTGTTCATAGTAGCCTTGAATGATCTTTTGTGTTTCTGTGATATTGGGTGTAATATCTCCCATTTCATTTCTAATTGAGCTTATTTGGATCTTCTCTTTTCTTTTTTTAGTTAATCTCTTTAATGCTCTGTCAATTTTATGTATCTTTTCAAAGAACCAGCTTTTAATTTCATTGATATTTTGTAATTTTTTTGTTTCATTTTTATTTAGTTCTGCTCTGATCCTTGTTATTACTTTTCTTCTGCTGGTTTGTAGTTTGGTTTGCTCTTGTTTCTCTAGTTCCTTGAAGTGTAACCTTAGATTGTCTGTTTGTGATCTTTCAGACTTTTGATGTACTCATTTAATGCTGTAAACTTTCCACTTAGCACTGCTTTTGCTGTAACCCAGAAGTTTGGATAAGTTGTGTCACTATTATTCATTTCAAATAATTTTAAATTTCCATCTTGATTTCATTGTTGACCCAAACATCATTCAAGAGCAGATTATTTAATTTCCATATATTTGTATAGTTTTTTGTGGGTTCTATTTGTGGGTGATTTCTAGTTTTATTCCACTGTGATCAGAGAAGATACTTGATGTGATTTTGATTTTCTTAAATTTATTGAGTCTTTTTTTGTGACTTAGCATATGGTCTATCTTAGAGAATATTCCACATGCTGATGAGAATAATGTATATTCTGCATCTGCTCAATCCATTTCTTCTAGGATATAGTTTAAGTCCATTGTTTCTTTGTTGAGTTTCTGTCTTGATGATTGATCTAGTGTTTTATTGAAGTCCCCCAGTGTTATTATGTTGCTGTCTATCTCATTTCTTAGGTCTAGTAGTAATTGTTTTATAAATCTGGGAGCTTAAGTGTTCGGTGCATATATATTTAGGACTGTGATACCTTCCTGTTGGACAAATTTTTTAATCATTATATAATGTCCCTCATTGTCTTTTTTTTTTTTTTTTTACTGTTCTTGCTTTAAAGTCTGTTTTGTCTGATCTAAAAATAGCTACTCCAGCTCACTTTTGGTTTCCGTTTGCCTAGAATATCTTTTTCTACCCCTTTACCTTATATTTATGTGAGTCCTTATGTCTTAAGTGAGTATCTTGAAGACAGCAGATATTTGGTTGGTGAATTTTTATCCATTCTGCCATTCTGTGTCTTTTAAGTAGAACATTTAGGCCATTTACATTTGACATTAGTATTAAGATGTGAGGTCCCTTTATATTCATAATGTTAGTTGTTGCCTAAATAGTTTGGTTTTTTTTTTTTTAATTGTGTTTTGTTTTAGAGACCATGTGAGATGTATGCTTTAAGGAAGTTCTATTTTGGTGTATATTGAGGTTTTGATTCAAGATTTAGAACTCCTTTTAGCATTTCTTGTAGTGCTGATCTGGTAGTGGCAAATTCTCTCAGCATTTGTTTGTCTGAAAAAGAATTTATTTCTCCTTCATTTATAAAGCCTAGTTTCACTGGATACACAATTCTTGGCTTACAATTGTTTTGTTTAAGGAGACCAAAGATAGGACCCAAAGTCCTTCTGGCTTGTAAGGTTTCTTGTGAGAAATCTGCTTTTAATCTGATAGGTTTTCCTTTGTAGGTTACCTGATGCTTTTTTCTCACAGCTCCTAAGTGAGAAATACTCAATACTTTTTCTTGACTTTAGATAGCCCAGTGACTATGTGCCTTGGTGATGATCTTTTGTGATGAATTTCCCAAGAGTCTTTGAGCTTTTTGTATTTGGATGTCTAGATCTCTAGCAAGGGAAGTTTTCTTCAATTACTTCCTCAAAGTTTTTCAAATTTTTAGATTTCTCTTCCTCAGGAACACCAATTATTCTTAGGTTTGGCCATTTTACATAATTCCATATTTCATGGATACTTTGTTCAGTTTTTAAAACTCTTTTTTCTTTATCTGATTGGTTTAGTTCAAAAGTCTTATCTTCTAGCTCTGAAATTCTTTATTCTCCTTGTTCTAGCCTACTGTTGAAACTTTCCACTTTATTTTTTATTTCCCTAAGTGTGTCTTTAATTTCTAGAAGTTTTGATTTTTTTTCTACTATTTTTCTGGAAAGTTTTTTATTCATATCCTGGATTTTTTTAAGTTGGTTTATCCCTTTCTCTGGTATCTCCTTGAGTAGCCTAATAACCTTTGGAATTCTTTATTGGAAATTCAGAGATTTCTTCTTGGTCTGGATCCATTGCTGGGGAGCTTGTGTGATCTTTTTGGGGTACCATAGATCCCTGTTTTGTCATATTGTTAGATTTACTTTTCTGGTTTCTTTTCATTTGATTAGACCATTTCCTCAAATTGTTCTTGAATTTATTTTTGTTTGGACTATGTTTTTTTTTATTTCATTTTTCCTCTCAACGATTGGACTTTAATGATTATTTTAGCTTAATTTGATTTGTGGTGCCTTTAGGAGTGAAAACTTTGTATGTGTTTCTTAGTTGAAGGGATTATTTGTGTGCTGGCTTTCCCAGATGTGGTTGTAGTCGTTATGTTCTTGGGGTGTGGGAGAGTTCACTGTCTTCTTTGGGGATGAAATGGCAGAGATCTTTTGAAGCTTATCTCATTCTCTCATGGTATACACTTAATTTTTTCCCAGTATTTTATTGACCAAACGATGATTCAGGCTTCAGGCCAATGGGAGAGGTATCCCTGGGTAGGGACTGGTTGTAGATAAGGCAGGTGGGTAGATATAATACTCAATGGTGGGCCAAGATCCCAGTCTTGATGAGGGTAGCTGGGGGAGCTCTCAATTAGATGTGCTGAGGTTTCATCAGGGTGAAGAGGGAGAGCTATCCCAGCTCCCCTGCCAGGCCAGCAGGAAAGCTATCCACCTCACAGCCTCATTCCTATTTTAGTGTTTTGGCTATTCAGATCAGACAGGCACCTCTTTTCATCTGTAGAAATGTTGATGTTCCAAGTAGGGAGGGGTTGTGACTCTGCTTCTCATGCAGGTCTGACTCAGATGTCTTTTTTCTTTTTCTTAAGATCTGATTATCTCGATTATCTCCTCCTGTGGGGTTGCCCTCATCCTGGATTGTTCCAGGAAGGCTGTCTGTAGGTGCATCCATGCTGCATTCCTGTAGGAGAAGCCCCAGCTTTGTCTGCAGTGGTGTGCCAGAGGGGAACAAGGACCCCTTCTCCAAGTCCCTTCCTAATCAGAGAGGCTGCCTGCCTATTAGGGTAGAGGTGCAGACTTTCCCTACTGCCCCCAGCACTGCAGTTATGTCTCTGCTGTAAGAAACCTCCCACTGGCAGAAAGATCTGGGACTCAAGGTCTGCTGTTAAGATTATTTTGTCCCACGGGGTAATCCCTTGATGTGGTACTGTCCCCCTTCCCTTAGGAATGGGGCTTCCTGAGAGCCAGACTGCAATGATTGTTTTGTTTTTTGTTTTGTTTTGTTTTTTGGACAGAGTTTTGCTCTTGTCACCCAGGCTGGAGTGCAGTGGCGTGATCTCGACTCAGTGCAACCTCTGCCTCCCCAGTTCAGGTGATTCTCCTGCCTCAACCTCCTGAGTAGCTGGGATTACAGGCATGCACCACCATGCCCAGCTAATTTTTGTATTTTTAGTAGAGAAGGGGTTTCACCATGTTGGCCAGTCTGGTCTCAAACTTCTGAACTCAGGTGATCTGCTGACCTCAGCCTCTCAAAGTGCTGGAATTACAGGCGTGAGCCACCGCACCCAGCCAGACTGCAATGATTGTTCTGCTTTTCTGGGTCTAGCCACCCGTGGGACTACGAGGCTCTGGGCCGGTACTGGGGAATATCTACAAAGGGTCCAATGATGTGACTGTCTTCAGGTCTCCCAGCAGTGGATACCAGCATCTGCTCTGATGGAGGTAGCAGGGGAGTGACATAGACTCTGTGAGATTCCTCCATTGTAGATAGGCTAATGTGCTGGCTTTCTAGTATGCTAGTTATGCTAGTAGTGAAGTTGTCACAAGGACAGACTCAGGACCTCTGGTTAGCCAGCATGTTACAGGTGGTGGAATTGGCTGTTATTTTCTCTTTCTTGCGAGCAGTATTTCTTTGTCATGGGTTGCTGTAAAGGCCTGAGTTGGTTGGCCTCCAGCCAGGAGGTGGCGTTTGCAAGACAGCACCAGGTACAGTAGTAGCAGTGGGATTTGAGCTTATCCAAAGTTGGCCAGGGGAAGTATTCTGGTTTCTCAGGCATTGGGCGGGGCCATAAAGCTCCCCAAGAGTTTATGTCCTTTGTGTTAAGCTACCAGGGCAGGTAGAGAAATACCATCAGGTGGGGTCAGGGTTAGGCGGGTCTGAGCACAGACTCTCTCTCCTTGGGCAGGGTGTGCTGTGGCCACTGTGGGGGATAGGGGTGGTTTTCAGACTGCTGGGGTAATGTTCCACAGGGGAGAATAACTGCCACTGTTGTACAGAAGAGTTCACAAGGGGAGTAGTGAGTAGCAGGCTGTGATAGGTCCCACCTAGCTCCCATGCAGTTGGTGAAGCTGGTCTAACTCCCACAGTGCCCTATTAACAGCAACGGGTTTAGATCCAGGCAGCCTGCACACAGAACTTAGACCTGCCCCAGGCCAGAAGCTTCCTTGCAGAGATAACAAGCAGGGCTTTCAGACCACGCTCCTTCCTATATGCCTGTAATGCCAGGCACCTAGCTCCTGCATGTGTATCTGCAGCACTTCCTGCTCACTCACAGATTCTGTTCAGGAGAGTTCATCCCACTCAAAATTATATCACAGAATTCAGTTGGGGGTGTCTTTCAATGATGGGTATTTTGAACCACAGATCAAAGTTAAAATTTTTGTGACTTACAACAAATATAAAGTTAGGTTAATTTTTACATTGCAATCAGTTTGGAAAACAGTGTCTCTTTTCTGGTCGAGAAAGAACCACTCACTCTGCTCTAATCATTCTCTCTCTGTTCTCGCTGTCATCATTACAGACCCTAATGCTTCCAGATGTTGAATTTCTGAAATGGCATCTCTCTAGTAAGTTGGGGAGTGGGGATTTGGACCAGGCAGATACCAAAACCATAGCCTATTCACATGCTCTACTGCCTTCCCCAAACACCATTCTAACGGTGATCCAGAGTAAACTGGGTTGGGAAACAAGTCCCATGAACTAAGCAGAAGAACAAAGGCCCACGTTGGTGGCTGACCACCTTGAAACCTCAGTTTAGCACTTGGTTGGTGAGCATTAGCAAGCCCCTGTCTCTTTGTGCCTCCGCCTTCTTGTTTCCAAAATGAGGCTAAGGATTCCTGCCCTACTACCTGTACAGTATTAGTGTGGCAATCATGTAGGATGGCAAATCTAAAATCATTTTGAACAGCTAAAAGGGGCTTACATCAGTTATTACTCTTTTAGTTGTATGTGATATTAGGCAAAAAAGTCTTTTATCAGGGCAGAAAGCTGACAGCACCAAGCAATGGCCTGTCACCATATGCAGCTTGATAATAGGGTAAACATTGTCAACACAAGTTGGTTTCTCCCTGTGCATGTTTCAGGCCCCATTTTTCTTTATGTAAGCCCCTTTCCCAAAGTGTCTCCCCTTGTGGTTACAAGATGGCTATAGTAATTGTTGACCTTGACCTTGTTGTCTCAATGTCCAATACCTCAGGAAAGGCAGAGACAGCTGCTTACATAGCTAAAACTGAGATTCCCAGAATCAAGTCTCATTGCTCATGATTGGCCTCCAATGGGTAACATGACTGGCTATAAACCAATCCCAGTTACCAGGAGATGCCAAATGCTCATTGGCTAGGCCCAGGCCACGTGCCACTCCTGCAGCTGAGGATACCATCAGAGCCACCTGGAAAGGCAGTATGGAAGGTGTGCATCTCTAGCTGGCTAATACCAGAAGAAGGATGATTATGTTGGTAAAGAAGTTTCAGTGACATCTTCTGAATGCTGTGTGTGTGTAAAGTAGTCTTATTAAAACATCATGATCTAAGAAAGCAGTATGTTCCATAAACTGATTGGAGTAAGGCAAAACTAAGATACACTTTTCTGAACAGAGTTTAGATGGGAGGGATGGCTCCCCGCACAAGCATACCATTTATTAAACACACAGAGGGGAAATGTAATTCAATGATGGTGAGGCTCCCTCCCTCTCCAGTCCCATTTAAGCCTTTATTTTTCAGCCCTTGTCATATTGGCCCACTTAGGGAAGGGTAACTACAGAAGGTAATTACTAAGATAGTATTTAATTAGTTTTGGTTTCAAATAAAGGTATTTGCTGCAAACCCGGCCAGCGATGCTGATAGACATTAATGAATGAAGCCGTATGATTAAAACATCTGGCACTGTCAGGCAGGGTAGATTCAGGGTGGGGATTGGCCTGTCACTGGGAATGTGATGATGGCCACAGAAAACCAAATTAGCCAAACTTAATGTTTCCCTAATCATTAGGCGATTGAGTTGACAGTGATTGGTCACAAACATGCACCGGTGAGCAGTAATGAAGTTGCTACCAGATCAGTTCAGCATAGGTTTTTCAGGCTAATTAGCTAGACAAAAATGTTAATTTAATCAAAGAAACATGTATTCATTAAAGGTGTATAAGAGAGCTGGAGGAGAAAATTGGCTCAGTCATTGAGGAGGCAAAATTATAGCTGCCAAGCAAGTCATCTTGCTTCATAAAATCATTCCTCAATTTATACTATCTCTTAGAAAAGTCTAGTTACACTTAAGCGTGTCATGTGGACTTTTTTCTTAAGATCTGATTATTGTAAAGGAAAGATCATCTGCAGAGCAATGTAGAATAAAAGCAAATACTTAACTCATTTTATCCCCAGAGGATTAATTAATTCCTGTAGAAATGTTCTTTTATTTTGATTCATAGACTGTAGGAATAGAAACAGTTCTTAGGGATTATCTAATTCATGCCATTCTATTTACAAGAAGAAAATGAGGCACAGAAAGGCGGTATTACTTGCTCAGGGCTACACAGCTTAACGCATTTTAATTTGTGCCCTAGACACAAAGATTCCCTGTGTAGTTAGTGGCGTGCAACTTGTGAATTAAACATTGGAAATGGGATTTCCCCCTTTGCAGTATATTCCCCTGAGGATATACTAAGGACATCCTCAGATATTTTTACAGAGAGACATTCATCTCAAAAGATGACAATCTGTCTGTACTTGTAATTGTGAAGAAAATGAAAAATCTGTATGATGGACAAATACAATTTGACTGTTTATTTCTTGGTGTGGAATCATATATGTGGAAGTGCTAGAAGTAATAAGTGCTATTTAGATATCAGCTGTTGCTACATCAGGGGCTAAAATTATTTTCTGTATCCGCTCTTGAATATCTCTTTTGCAGGTGATAGGGAGATGTAGACTTTCCTTTGCAAGTTCTGTATCCTGTTATTAATACTATGATAGACCTCCTGAGTCCATGTATGCTAATATGCATGGGCTACTAACTGTTTAAAAAATTAATGTATTGATTTGTCCATCTGTTTATTAATTCCATTAATACTTCTGAAGAGAGGTTGTGGTGATACATTGTTCAACTCAGGCCTTTGTAAAATTCTCTCTGGATTGGGACAGGGAGAAACCCTTAACTCCCAATGTTTACGCAGGCTACCTTCTGTCCAAGATGCTGTTTGCCGTTATCTTGAGCTGGTAAAATTCTATTCATCTTTCAGCACTCAGTTTGAATATTCTTTCCTCCAAGTAGCTCTCCCAAGTTCCCAGACCAAGTGTGGACCCCACCTGTGTGCCCCTAGCACCCAAAGCCTACACTTATCAGGGTAGCTATCACTCCATTTGTCTGTAGCCTGTTTGTTCACCTGTCACTCACCGGGCCACAGTTTCTCAATGTGGACCAGGTACCACCCACAGCAAAACTGCCTGGATTCTTTGTCAAAAATTTGAATTGATTTTATGTGATCCACATTTAATCGGAGGGGAAGAGGTGTAAAATGGATTTTGGTCAATTTCTTAGGTTATCACACACTATAAGATTTTAAAATGCTATGTTGTTCTCTCAGCTAGCTGAAACATGGATAGGCCCACAGAAAGTGCTCAAGATGTATTTGTTGAATGAATAAATGAATGAATGATTGCACAAACAAATGGGTTCTTATCATATTGAAATCAGTTGTCAAGTCATATAGTCAGAACTTTCCCAAGGAATTTGACTCACGGCTTTGCTAGTGTAGGATTCTGTTCCTTATCTCTGATGCTGTAGAACCTTAGGAGTTATAATATTGTGGAAGCTAAAAGGGCCCTTGAAGATCATCCAATCCACTCCTGTGATGGAGATGACCAGATGTAAAGAGGCTTGCCTAAGATTACAAAGCACGTTAATGACAGAGACTAAATCAGAATCCACATTTCCGTGTGAGTCCATTGCCTTTCCTATTATATCATGCTCCTGCTGCAGTGGCTAAATTTACCCTGTGAAGAAGCAAAGGTATTCTTGCTCTGGTACCTTGAAGGAAATGTCCAAACTCTCTGGTTTTATAAAGATTTAGAAACAAATCAAATTTTTGATAGTTGACATGTAACCACCCCTCCCAGAGACCCCTCCTTTATAGCTAACCAACTCAGCCAAGTCTGATACATGGAAAGGTGCTCATGAAAGTGTCAGGGTGCTGATTATTTCAAGTTGTAAAAATCAATTAGGAATTGCAGCCACATAGAATTGGAGCATCTTATGGACAGAAAAGTCCTGGCTGTCATTTCATTCAAATCCTCTGTGTCCCATATTTTTTTTTATTCCCATTCATTTCTCACAGTTGTTGCTACGTTCAAATACCAAACATTATCCTTTAAAATAACTTTTAAAGAAAGATTGAGTTCATCCTGATTAGTAGTATTCATGGAATCTTGTGTTTGATGTGCTAGTTTTCTTTCTAATACTTATTTTAAAGTATTATTTTAATTGCCATCCTTGTACCATGTAAGTCATCTTACATGTAATCAATGGTACATATGTTGTGGTTTGGGATGCAACTTCCTCATTATTTTAGTTGGATTCTGTCATCTTCCCATTATACTTCAAAGGGGAGTATTCATACCTTTTCAGAAGAAATGTTTTATGGTCTAATTTAAATGAAAATAAAGATGTTATCCTAGAGTCATCTTAGTTCCTCTGAAGTATTGTCTATGGCAAAGGAGAGCTGACAGTCTTATTTTGAAATCACGCCCTGAGCTATTTGGTTATTATTAAAGAATGACAGATGGCACAAAGGATGCTAAGGTAGAAATTAAGGTTTCTTTGTAGGTTTGGCAAATGTTATAGCATACAAGGGCTGTTTCAGTGCTGTGATTGAACAATGCAAACAGTATTGCATTAGCATCTAAATTTTACATCATTTTCAAGAAAACAGAGTCCCGGTAACAGATGGACAAGACTGATATTTATCTAGCAACAAAGGGGAGTCACAATTTGACTGCTGGATACTTAAATCTCAGCCAACAGGGGAGATGGCAATTCAGGGAAATTGAAGAGGAGATAGCTAGTGTCACTCTTTTGGAGAGGGAAGAAAATATATATGTGTTTTTTAACTTTTGGAAATGATAGCCAAGTTCAAGTTTTGGAATTACCTCTGTGATTTATTACAAGTGGATATTTGAATGAGCATTTCAGATCATTTCCAGATACACATTTTCTAGGTTTGATGCAGAGAAGCTGTGAGAATCCTTGAAGCTGAAGGAACATTACATTTAGAGGGATTGAAGGCTTATGCCTAAGCATGCTACCTGGAGGATACATTGGGGAGGCTGGATTTGCAACTTTAAAATGGCACCACACTCAATTGGAAATTTAAGTATCTCCGTTAGGGTTTTGAATTAGGAGAGAGCATATTTGTCAGATGTGAGGACAGTAGGAAATCAAGCATTTTTGGAAAACCATAAATGAGTTAATGTAGTGTTCAGGACAAGCTGTGAACTGGCCTCTAAAAGGAGGTTTGTAGTAATAACCTGCTGTAAAAATTACCACTGCTTTTCTGGCGGTTTTGACCATATGCTCCTGCTCTGAGAGCTGACATTTTCTGGCAGTCACTGTAGCTTAAGGACCTATTATTCTGTGTGGTGGACTTTGGCTCCGTTTTCTGTGTGCTTTCAGGTGGGCAATTTGCAGCAAGGGAGGGAAGCCAATGGGAAGTTAAGTCAAGATGGAAGGATCTTTTTCAAAAGGTTGTTTTTTTCATGCACAGCAGCAAAGACAACAGAGCCAAAGAGAGGTGTTTATGTTTCTACATGGTAGAAAAGAAACTCCACTTCAACTCCCACCTTTCCCAGGACACTTTCTTTTAGCTCCTCCAGCTCATGCTGTTCTCTCCTGTTTATAAAATTGCAAAGTACCTGTAATCTCTATTACAGTGTTTAGCGATTAATCATATTCTACCAACTCTTTTCTTTTCTCCTCCATTCTTCACAGGGAAACTTAACCAAATGGTGTCCCATTTTCAACATTTTTGAAAGTCTTTTGTACCTTCTATGGCACCTAGTTTAATTATGACAGCCAAGTAGGCTAACAGTAATAATAATAGCTGCAGTAGTAATTGTGATAACAGTCATAACAACTCAACATGAACTAAATGCATTTAAGGTGGTAAAGGCTGTTTAAGCTTTCAAAGAATTAAGTCTTTTAATCAAACAAACCTGAGAGAGTTACTGTTATTTCCTACATTTGACAAATTGTAGGGGCATTGAAGGCAAGAAATGTTAAGAAATTGCTCAAAATCAGAGCAAGTACTTAAGCTCAGGCAAATATTCTGTCTTCAGAGACCCCACTCCAAACCACTGGGCTCTTTCCCTAGGTCATGAAAAATAAGTAATAGCAGCTAACCTTGATAGAGACGTGAGACTGCTCCAGGCACTATTCCAAGGACCTTCAAGGTATAATCCCATTTAATACAGCAACCCAGTGAAGGAGGTGCCCTTTGCAACCCCTTTTTCCATTTGAGGAAACTGAGTTTCAGGGAGATTATTAGTTGCTCTGTGTAATGCAGCCAGTAAGTGAAAGAGCTGAGGAGTGTCTTATCTTAATCATTGTGTGACATTGTGCTTCAGGACGTCCTTGAATTTACCTGGATGGCAAACAAATATTATTTACTTGACGACTCCTTCTTGGGGAAACTTAGTACTTAAGAGAAATGGATTGTTCCTGGTTTTCTTTCTTTATCTAGGGTAGAGTTTCTCACTACATTTTTAAATTATTGCCCCCCTCAGGAGCCTGTTTAAATCTTTTTGCATAATTGCCCCCTACTCCCCACCATGGTGGGGTTAACATTCCATGGTGAAATGTTAATACCATGAATATACTGCATAGCTATTTAGGTACTACATGAATATCTGCGCTTTATACATGAGAAGAGTAAGAAATTTTAACCATCAGAAAACAGTTCTTATCCTTTGGGGACAATGTTACACCAATAAGAATGCATGGAAGCTGCTTTAGCATGAACTCTTGAAAAGCAATGCATAGGAACATTTTGATTAAAGTGAGAGCTCACTGTGCAGGATGCTCCACTTAATTAGCCAGGAATCCTTTATGTTTATACCATTAATGAATATCTTGTTGTATCAGATTGTTGTGGAAAAAAAATCATGGAAATCAGCAAGATTTCCCATTTGTGCCTTTCACTCTATCTTTTGATGCCCAGAAAGCATTGGAAACCCATCCTACAGAAAGTCAGTGCAGTTTTTTTAATTGAGGTGAAATTCACACAACATAAAAATAACCACTTTAAAGTGAACGATTCAGTGGCATTTGGTATATTCAAAATGTTGTCTAGCTGCCATCTCCATCTAATTCTAAAGCACTTTCATCATCCCGAAAGAAAACCCCATGCCCACTTAATCATTCCCCAATCTCCCCTTCCCTGTAGTCATTGGCAACCTACCAATCTACATCTGTCTCTATGAATTTACCTATTTCAGATATCAATATGTCATATAGATGAAATCATACAACATTTGGCTTTTGGTGTCTGGTTTCTTTAACATAGCCTAATGTTTCATCCATCAGTACTTTATTCTTTTTTATTGCTGACTAATATTTCTTTTTGTGGATTATGCCACATTTTGTTTATCCATTTATCAGTTGATGGGCATTTGGGTTGTTTCTGCTTTTTAGCTATTATAAATAATGCTGCGATGAACAACATTTGTGTACACATTTCTGTATGGCATATGTTTTTAATTCCCTTAAGCATAGAGTGGAATTGCTGGGTTATATGGCAACTCCAGGTTTAACTTATTGAGGAACTGCTGTACTATTTTCTGTTATGGCTGTACTATTTGGCATCTCCACCAGCAATATAAAAGGGTTCTAGTTTTTTCACATCCTGGCCAACACTTATTATTCATCTTTTTTATTATTGCCATCCTAGTGGGTGTGAAGTGGTACTTCATTGTGTTTTGATTTGCATTTCCCTATTGATGAATGATAATTGAGCATAATTTCCTGCACTTATTGGCCATGTGATATACCTCCTTCAGAGAAACATCTATTCAAATCCTTTTCTCCTTTTTTAAAATCAGTTTGCCTTTTTATTAAGTTGTAAGAATTCTTTATATATTCTAGATACTAGACCCTTATCAGATATGAATTACCAATATTATCTTCCATTCTGTGAGTCATCTTTATACTTTCTTGGTGATATTTTTGAAGCACAGTAGTTGTAAATTTTGGCCAAGTAAAATTCATTGATTTTTATTTGGTTATTGTTTGTGCTTTTGGTGTCATATCTAAGATGTACTGGCATTTCAATGGGACTCTTACAGCTATTAGATCCTTAACCTACAGGATTGAAACTTTAATATTGTGATTTTAAGCCCCCTGGTAGGTGGCGTCAGGAGCAGTGTTGGTGGGAGTGGCTTTGGAGCAGCATCTTTCTAGTTGATACATTATCACCGTCCTACTCTGAGCATGGTAAAGCCTCCATGAGGACATGGAAGATTCACCTCTAACAAGCGTAATACATTGGTCATAGACACAGCGTTGGAGGCAAATAGACCTGAGTTTCAATCCAGCATTTACTTGCTAGCTGCATGTCCTTGAGCAAATTAACATATGTCTCATAATTTTTGTATTCTTTAAAGGGAGGATAATAATACTCTCCTTCATGGGGACGTTTTGTAAATAGCTAAATATCACATGTGATACGTAGTGCATGCTTGATAAATGTTATCATTGTCATCTATATTGTTAATAATTATTACTGTATTCTTTACTAATCATTACATATGGTACAGAACTAAAAATGATCATTTCCACATTCAGTGGTTCTGCATTGTCTATGCAACATTTCTTCTCTATTAGTGTGACTAATTGAAAGATGATTGCACAGATAAACCTCCTTTATTTTCAATCAAAATTTGCTATTGCCATGTAGCTTAGTTATATCTTTCTCCATGGGTTTTATAATGAGACGTCTATTGGTCACCTGTATAAGTATAGAGAAAGTTAGCCTAGAAATGTGTGTGGAATCTAGCCAAGGCCATTTCCTTACTTTAGCTCTCTGCAATTTATTATTAGGACATCATGAAACCTTGGGGGTTAATTTCATTTACTTCCTGAGTGCTGCAAATGAATAAGTTGCTCAGAGTCACCTGAGGTGGAAATGGCTGATTTGCGTGGAAGAAATGACTGTGACTGTGCACTCACTGTCATCAGGGCACTTTTCTAACTGTGAAGTTAACTCCTTATCCAAGGAAGGAGGTAGCAGGCAGCTGTTTGGGAGGAGGTGGTTCTAAATCTGGCAGTCCACTTTGGCCTCAAATAATGGTGTACTTGCTTAGATGGCAGTAACAATTTAACAGGGTCTAGAAAGAGGAAATAATAGATTTAGCTCAGAATTCAGCCGCAGGGTTGTTTTTTCAGGGCAGAGCAGTGATCGAGTGTAATCACTTTAAGAAATTGTGCGTTGTTTTTCTTTATTCTCTGAGCTGATGAAATGTATGCAAATCAGCTGAGTAAGTTCTGCAGGTGTGGCTGGGTTAACAAGTAAGGATGCTAAAGACACTCCCTACCCCAGAAGTCTGGCTAACAGAGTAGAAAGGGCTATGAGACGAAATTGGTTTACATTGGTTTAAACCGCTCTACCATTTCCCATCTCTGGACCTTTTGTAAGTCCCCACGTCTCTGGAAGTCAATTTCTTCAACTGTAGAGTTAAAAAATTCTGTTGGTGGTTGTTAAATTATTTCATTTTTAAAAAGACAATGCATATATACTGCAGCATGAAATTCAAACGTACAAGTGTATATTTCAGTCCACAGTAGGCAGGCACTTTTGTAGCCTGCTCATTTCTCTTTCCATTGTATTTTGAGCAAATATTTCCATAGGTTTCCAAGTCATTTTTGTAACTATCATTTATATTCTTCACTAATAGGTCTGTTTGTCCTAGCTGTTCATCAAGATAAAAGCCCTTTGTCTTCTATTATAAATGCTTTGAATTTTATTTAAGTTAATAAACATACTTTGTATATTTACCTTGTATCAGGTACCATGGAATGTATTCAGGATTATGATAGAAAATAACACAGAAAATGTCCTTGCCCTTACAGGGCTTATGTTCTAGTGGAGGATGTAGATAGTACACTAGAAAACACAATGATTTTAGACGGTGGTTGGTATTTTGGAAGGAAACCGTAGCTGTGATGGAGCAAAAGAGGGAGTGGACCTACTTTATAGAGGATGTATATATTAATGCATGTAGCCTTTTCTACCTTCTTTTTTTTGAGACGGAGTCTCTGTCACCCAGGCTGGAGTGCAGTGGGTCAATCTCAGCTCACTGCAACCTCTGCCTCCTAGGTTTAGGTGATTCTCCTGTCTCAGCCTCCCGAGTAGCTGGGATTAGAGGCACGCACCATCATGCCCAGCTAATTTTTGTATTTTCAGTAGAGACAGGGTTTCACCGTGTTGGCCAGGCTGATCTCAAACTCCTGACCTCAGATGATCTGCCTGCCTTGGCCTCCCAAAGTGCTGGGATTACAGGTGTGAGTCACTGCACCCAGCCTTCTACCTTCTTATTGACTGTTTCCTTTTAACGTATTTGAGACTAACATTTCAAAAGATAGTAACAATTTCACAAACTCTTGATAGCAGACACAGGTTTTGGAAATAGTTTTGCCAACATGAATAGCAACAGCATCATGTGATTCTGCAGCGTTTCCACCCCAGGAATCCTCAGAGTGTGTCTCTCTCACTATTGTCTGGGACTGTGGGTGTTAGAAGTTGGACTGAGCTGATTAAAAGCTGAACTCATGATCATCTATTGAAGTTTGGTTTGCAGGTCTATGTTTTATTCCAGCCTGGGTCACTGCTAATTGGGTGTAATTAACACCCTCATGACATGTAAAGACTCCAGGATTAGGAGCAACGGGAGCACTAGGGATCTCTTCTCATATCCGACACTAACTTGCTTTGTGTCTTTGAGAGAGTCATGAACTTCTCTGGGATTCAATTCCTCTGCTGTAAAAATGAGGGGGTAATTTGTCATGAAATAGCTTCTAGATTTCATCCCATGTGCCAGTGTTCCACTGGATCCATGAGAAAGAGCACACAGCAGTGGGCTGTGGGCAAGGGACAGGGGAAGATGTAACACACTTGACTTGCATTTGCTAACCCCAAATTAGGTAATTTTTCTAGTATCTTATCTAACTATAAAAATCTGCTACCTTTATAAATCAGAATCTCAATTCTTTGAAATTTTCTGCATCCTAATGACCCACCTAAACAAAACAGATACTTGCTGATTTTGGACATCCCAGCACGCTTTGGAGACTCTTTCTCTCCTTCTCTCTCTCTCTCTCTCTCTCTCTCTCTCTCTCTCTCTCTCTCTCTCTCTCCCCTTCCCTCTCTCTCTCTCTCCTTCCCTTTCTCTCTCTCCTTCCCTCTCTCTCTCTCCTTCCCTCTCTCTCTCCTTCCCTCTCTCCCTCCTTCCTTTTATCTCTCTCTCTCTCTCTCTGTGTTTCTGTTTGCTTTTTCCTCTAGCTGTCAACTCATCATCATTAGAAGAATGACTGTAACTGTCAGGCTTTGTGTAACTCCGCAGGAGCCTCAAAACCCTACACAAAAAATAATATTTCTATCCTTTGGGATAGACACGGTGCCTCTGCTAAAATGCTTAGCTTAGAAGCTTGGTTAGGCTTCCAGATGTGTTCTGACTCAGGAGGCAGTTTGCACTTTCAAAACTGGGTCTCCAACAATGCTGGTTGAAGGTACACAGCTGGCTCAATGTGCTTAGAGGCTTGCTTTCTTCCGAAAGATGATTTACCTGAAAAGGTTGACATTCCTGAGCATAAGAATCTCTCTGTGCCTCCCCGACTTCCACCCCCCACCTCCAGACCTCCCTGCCACCCAACAAAATGCTTCTATTGGAGGAAGAAAAAGGTTCTGTCCTGAAACTACCATAAATAGCTTTTCCTTTCTTTAGACATTATGGTTAATTTCATTACAGTATATAATGAATGAAGGACATTCAGCATGAAAATGTATCTATCTATCCACTGTAATTACATCAACATTTTTAAGCTTAAAAAAATGTTAGAGAAAGAACTCTTTCACATCTATAACCAAGAATGCTCCATGTGTTTTTACAAGAGGATAATAAAGACACTAAATGGGATAGATGGGGCTAAGTAGTTTTACAGATGGTGGTTGCATATTAAAGATTAAATTGCTGTCTATAAATAAAACCACTTTTACATTAACTAGGTTACTGCTTTATCTTAATTTAGGTATAATTGAGAGCATTAGCGTTCTTCATAATAGCCCAGTGAATGTTCCCGCAGACTGTAAACAGGACTCCATGGAATGCTAGCTGATGAATTTCCTTTGCCACTGAGAAGCCCTAACTTAAAAGGTTGCCCTAGAAACTGCTGGTTTCCAGCTCTTCTGTTTGACTACTCTGACCTAAAAGTGGTACATATCTTTTCATTGCCTTATGTCGATGAGTGTGTGTATACATTGTACACTGATATGTTTTGATCCCCAATGTTGGCTTTTCTTCTGTATTTTGATCAATATGACTATAGGTAGCCAGAATTATTGATCTTCAAATCTTGACCTCCTATCTGCCTGGTAAAATGAGAACCATAAGGTCAAAATGGTTACAAAATAGGAATGTATTTTGAAGTGTATTTATTTAATTTGAGGATGAGGAAAAAATGGGAAATACAAAATATCAGCTTTAGAAAGGGAAGGGAGAAGTAGAGCTATAACTTCTCACTTTGATTGTGCTGTCACTGCCCTCAGTCCGGTGTTCATGATTGAGAATGAGATGTTAGCAACGTGATTATAAGTGTGGTCTAAGGAGCTGGACTAGCGGGTTTTAGTTCTCCCCCCGTACTATTTGTGACCTCTGTGACCTTAGGAAAGTCACTTAACCTCTCTGTGCTTTGGTTTCCTTCTCTACAAAATGACATCATAACAGTATCTGTCACACAGGATTCCTGTACAGATTAAATGGATTTATCCATGTAAAACTGTGGAAGCAATTGTGATGCATAGTGATAACCCCAAAATATCACACACACACACACGCACATGCACACACACATACGCACCCATGCACACACAAACACTGTGTTTTTAACCGTCGTGTGCTCTTGAAACAATTTTATTCATTCATTCCTTCACCAAATGTCAGGGGAATATGTACTATGTAACCTGTACTGTGCTAGTTGCCAGGGAGAGAAAAATGTAAAAATAGAGTCTATAATCTCTAGGAATTCTTGTAAGAATATATATTCCGAAAAAGCAGGGGTCTTGTCATTCTAATCCAGTAGCCTCAGTGCCTGGCATGTGGTTGGTGCGAAAGCCACTTGCTGAATAGACAAAATGGATCATCTGAGATCCTGAACTCCACCCACAGAGCCCCAGGAAATGCAGGCAGAGAGGTTTCCCTTGAAGCAAAATTAATTTACTTTTGTCAAAAGAAGGCATTATAGGTGCTGGGCAGCAAAGATAAGTGTCCCCTATAGACACAGAAAAGTGAAGTCTATTTGTGTGAGTTTAGAAAACCAAATGGAAAAGATGCCATAAGACAAAGTGAGTCATAAAGACAGTTGCACTGGGGTAGGAGGTAAGAGAAGCTCAGTGTAGGCGTGAAAATTCTGATGGACCTTAGGGTGTGGAGAGGGTTTTGATGGCTGAAGAGAACTGGACTAGGATATTATTGTAGTGAGAAGCAGGGGTCTAGAAACTCAGCCAGCTTCAGGGTTCTAGAGAAAGACAAATCTTAATCAAAAGCCCTTTTTATTTACTGGTTTTACAATGTGTTTTGTGATTTCTCCCAACAGGGTTTACTTCCCTAATTAAATTTATCTTAGGCAACCATTCAAAAACAGCGTCTTTAGCATAAAGGGACAGATGGCCAAAGTTCTACCTCCCTTCCCTGGCCGAAGGAGCTGAGTCCAAGAAAAGGTGGGCTGGGTAGGAATAATTGTTATGCAAATTACCCTTTGGTAAAATTCCTGGAATGAAATGATTTCATGAGGATGAGATAATAAGGCAAAGAATGTGAATCCCAGACTCCTCACACTAGAGCTCAGCTATAAAATCGTAGAATTTTAGAATTGGAAGATATCTATAAGCCCTCCTCTCCAACTCCTTTATTTTATAGTTGAGAAAACTGAGGCTCGGATACATTATGCAAATTTCCCAAGGTCATCCATCAAATAGTGGCAAACCTAGAGCTTTAGCCCAGGTTTCTGCAAGCATCAGCAGAGACCATTATGCCCTGTGCCTGAAAGAAAGTTGAGAACACAGAAAGGATGTTAAACAGATCTAGACAGGATTCTAAGGATGGGATAACACAGGTCGTTAAAGGTCTGCAGGGAATTTCACGGCGTTTTATTGGGAATTCTGTAGAATTACAGAACAGATTCTTCAGTGAGATTAATTTACACTCCTTCTACTTACCATCAAATCATTCCTTAAATCTGAGCTGGGAAGGTGTGATTTGGAGCACACCGTTTCTGTACAGATAGAACCATATAAAATTTCTAATCAGTGACTATTTTGGATGCCCAGAAATGGAAGTTTCTGTAGCATTCAATCTAATACAATATAACACACAAATGAGTGCTTATTTGCTATTCTGAGAACACAGCAGTGTGGCCAGGAATAATTCATACTTCCTGAATCCCCTAACCAAATTTTCCAGTCCTGCTGTGGCCATGTTGCCTTAATCAAAATTCATCTTTCTCCTATAATCTTGGTGTGCCTCATAGAATATAAATACCCTATTGGGAAACCTAGGTGTTTAAAAATCTGATAATGGAAACATATTTTAAAAGTCACAGTGTTCTCACAAGTAGGAGCCGAACAACAAGAACACATGGACACAGGGAGGGGAAAAACACACACTGGGGACTGTTGGGAAGTTGATGGAGGGTGGGAGAGCATCGAGAAAAATAGCTAATGCACGCAGGGCTTAATAACTAGGTGATGGGTTGACAGGTGCAGCAAACCACCATGATACATGTTCACCTATGTAACAAACCTGCGCATCCTGCACATGTATCCCAGAACTTAAAATAAAAGTCATAGCAATCATTACCTGTTACTGAGTACTTACCATAAATCAGGTGCTGTGCTAAGTGCTTTATGATTGTATTTTATTCTCATTATTACCCTATGAGGTATAAAACACCTTTGTTAATCTCTGTTTTACAGGAGGGGAAAATGAGGATCAGTGAGATTAAGCAGTTTTGTACAAAGTCAAACTAGTGTTCAAACCTGGGAGACAGAATTCAAACTCAGGTCTGTCTGAATTCTAGATCTGTACTTTTGACTTTCACTGTATTCTGCCTTTGAAAAATACCATTGTACTACATCCTCCTCTCAAGTCACCTTTTCTGTATTTGTTGAAATCCTCAATGCAAATGACTTGCATTTCCTAAGGCACTACTATCATTAGATGGTCCTGACTTTTCAAAAGTTTGTCCTAATCTCTTACCCAAAATGCCTCCCATTCCCTTTCCACTCATTGCTTTGACTCAGCCCTGTGGTATACTTATTACAAAAAGACATCAATTTCAGTTTAACCACCTGCCTAAGTCTGCACAAGGTAAAATGAGATCACATTAATTAGAATACTCTACTGGGGATGAAGTATATTGGCCTCTCAAGCAGACCGTGAGGATAAGAAGTAGTCCTTTAATTTCTTTTTAGTGTGATCTCTGGTATAACACTAGGCAGCAGCAGCCTCTCCATGGAACAGCTTTGGCAATCCCATCTTTTCAGGGTTCAGAAGCATAAGCTGGAAGGACTGGTTTAAATAGCCTCACATTGCCTGGAAATTAATTTTCAGGGCATTTCTGCATATACATATAAACTTACTTACCCTCTTGGCAGTTGCCTGTTCCAGGGACAGGCAACTCATGGTGATGTGTTTGGGCAGAAATAACATTATCCATGGGTTGCTTAAAGGGTGGGAGAAGTTTCTTTTTCTTTTTCTTTTTTTTTTTTTTTTTTTTTTTTTTTTGAGACAGAGTCTTGCTTTGTTGCCCAGGCTGGAGGCTAGAGTGCAGTGGCACAGTGTTGGCTCACTGCAACCTCTGCCTCCCTGATTCAAGTGATTCTCAAGCCTCAGCCTCCCAAGTAGCTGGGATTGCAGGCATGCCCCAACCCCACCACACCCAGCTAATTTTTGTATTTTTAGTAAAGACTGTTTTTACCATGTTGGCCAGGCTGGTCTGGAACTCCTGACCTCAAGTGATCCACCCACCTCAGCTTCCCAAAGTGCTGGGATTACACGAATGAGCCACTACACCCAGTCAAATGTGGAAGAGGTTTCAAGTCTTTATTTTGCTTTTCTATAAGGGCTTTATCAAAGCATCCAAAGCATCTGTGCTATGTCTTCTTTTTGACTGAAGTCTTCAGCTCCTAACTGTGTGTTCTTTAAGAGATCAGTTCTATACGATTGAGCAGGTTTTACCATGAACAAGCATCTGCGATCAGGTAAGTTTATTAAATACAATGAAGCAGATTTCTTCCTCTCAATTCAAAATTTATCTTTATTTGTCAAATTATTTGGATCACGTTTGTTGCACACTAGACCATAAGTTTTGTAAGGGCGGAACTAAGTCTGAATTTTCTCACCACTGAATCTCTAGTAACTAGTTCACTGCCTGAGAAATTCAGTATGTTTGTGAACTGAACAAATAAGTGAGTAAAAGAATGAACTGAAGGGACTTAGACAAGGAAGGATAGGGAAAAGGCCTGAGAATTTACTAGGAGGAGGAAAAGAACAAGATTAAGAGAATAAAAAAGAAGGCCAGGCTTGGTAGCTCACGCCTGTAATCCCAGTACTTTGGGTGGCGGAAACGGGTGGATCACCTGAGGTCAGGAATTCAAGACCAGCCTGGCCAACATGTTGAAACTCCGTCTCTACTAAAAATACAAAAAAAAAAAAAAAAAAAAAAAAATCAGCCGGGCATAGCAACAGGCACCTGTAATCCTAGCTGCTCTGGAGGCTGAGGCAGGAGAATTGCTTGAACCTGGGAGTTGGAGGTTGCAGTGAGCCAAGAATGCGCCACTGCACTCCAGCCTGGGTGATAAGAGTGAAACTCCATCTCAAAAAAAAAAAAAAAAAAAAGAAACTTTTTCGACTTCAGAATTTCTCCAAAGCTGGTCTTGCTATCAACTCTGTGTGTGCATATTTGGGTTATTTGGCTTCATTAAGATGGATGGTTATAGTCATTTGTAGTGTCTGAAAGCCAAAAGCTGCGTATTCTCAAGATGGGAGGAAGGATGTGAGCATCTGGGTACAAACTTACTGTGAGCACCCTCCTTTTGTAACCCTTCAAACCCTGGCAGCTGGTCAGAGGAGTCTGGTTAACAGTTGCTGCTGCATTTCAATATTATTCTGTCTTACTCCTCTCAGAAAGCTTCGGTAGGCTACAGTCTGCATTGTCCATTTTTCCTGGAGATTGGATTTGCCACCTTTGCTGGCAGCTTGGCTGTTATCATTGCCCAAAACAGCCAATTTTTCATGTCCACATCATCAATGGGAACCTAGGTGCAGAGCTAGGAAACAAAAATGTGGACACATGTTTAAAGCCTGCCCCAGCTCACATAGGTCCTATGCACACTGGATAGGGGGCTTAAGGAGACAGTAAAGCTGCCAAAGGCAGGAATTTGGTTCAGAAAGAGAGTTCTTAAAGCTGCATTTAAAAGTCATCTAAAGTCACTCTACATTTTTCTAGCAAATGTAAATAAACCAGAACAAGAATTGCATACAGTAAGCTGAGACATTCATTAAAAAAAAAAAAAGAAAAGAAAAAAAAGTTAGATTAACTATGTATCTAATTTGGAAGGATTTTTTGTGTTCCAGATTAAGAGATTCAATAAACAGTATTCTAATTGTTTTCTATTGTTATGGTGGGAGTTGTGGAATCCTATTGCCAACAAAACACTGGCATTCATTTTCAAATCATAATAAATATTGTGTAGAATTTCAATTGCTTTTTAAATGAAAACTAATTAAGAGGAGGTAGCTGGAACTTAACATAGAAACAAATTAAATCAGCGTGTGTGTTTGTATGTATGTGCATGTATGCGTATATATCATTTGAAAAGTACTTTCTTTTTATATTAAGGTAATATAGACATTATAGAAAATTTCAAAAAAAAGAGCAAAAAAATAAATGAATAAAATGTATGCAGACTCCAATAATTCCTGAAAGAAGGGTTTTATTTTCTGTTTATCCAGGGATGGGCAGACAGATTGGACAGTCCATGTACTTTCTTTTTTCCTTTCTTCCATCTCTCCCCTCCCTTCCCTTCCCCTCCCCTTGCCTCTCCTCCCCTCCCCTCCCTTCCCTTCCCTCTTTCACCATACTATTTTCCAGCAGCCTTTTTCAACTAAAAATTGATGGGTTTGATTAGTAGATCAGTTTAATGCCATAGATGTGTGGGTCTGGGTTCAGTGAGGCATTTAACAATGTCTCTTATTACATACTTGTGGACAAGATGGAGAAATATAGTCTGGTTGGCAGCATAATTAGGTGAGTTCATGGCTGGCTGAACAGTCATACCCAAAGGACCTTGATTAATGCATAGATTTCAACAAGCAGGAAGGTCCCTGTGGTGTTGATAAGAGTATGTTTAATAGATATTATGTTCAGACAGTCCCCAGGATGTGTCCTGTTAAGGAATTTTTAAAGAAGTGTTGATCTGTCTACTCCAGATACCAAAATCTTGACAAAACTTCCCATCGGAGTCCATTAGGCAATGATGGAGCAGTCTTGGAAGAATGGAATCATAAAAGTAGAGATGATAGCCTTGAAATTGCTATGGGCACAGAGAAATCTGCCCTCCAGCACTGATTTGCTACCAAGCCTGGAGAAGTTTTGATAACTAAAGGTTTTACCAAGAAGACAAAAGTTATGAAATATTTGCTAAATCCTTACTCAGTGAACTGCTGAGTTTGCTAAATAGTTAACCTGATGTGCAGTAGAAGAATATCAAACTACAATATGGTACAGGCAATTACTTACACTTCATTCTGTCTGCACTGAGAAGTTATTGACATACTTAGCTAATGAATAATGAAAATATTTCTACCTGGTTCCATGTTAGATAACAAAGCCATTGGCCTTTGTTGAGCTGTCGTTCTGTGCCAGATACTGCTCAAGACTCTATATAACTTAGCTCATTGATTCTTCCAGCAACCGTATGATACAGGTATTAGTATTATTGCTATTTACAGGAGAGAAAACTGAGGCAGAGAGAAGCTACTTCCCTTGCCCATGGTCACACAGTTGACTTAGGGCATGGCAGGCAATCCATTCCAGGCAGTCTTACTCTTGAGCCTGTGCTGGTCACCCCATGTAGTTGTAGTAGCTTCCCTTGACCTCCTGAGTCAACCATACCCACCGTGCTTCAGCTGCATTTCCACTGCCCAATTTTCATGCTCATCTCACTTCCAATCACTGCTTATTCTTACCACGATTTTTCATCCTCATTGCAGAGAGCTCATGGACCTTGTAGTTTTTCAAAAATTATGCTCTAGGTATAGTCTCTCACTAAGTTTTTCTGAAGAGTTTATTTCTTTTCCCACATTTTTCTTTGGATAATGCAAGCTGCAGCTCTCTGCATTTCTCTCTGACCACATTCTCCTTTTGCTTTCTTCCCTTTTCTAAGATTATACAACCACACTTAATAGGCTTTTCAGATCCCAAAGTTTTTGCAAAGAAGAAACAAAGTACCCTCCTTAGGTTACACATACAAAGAAATCCAAATTGTGCAGAAACAAAATATTTCTTCTTAGGTAACCCTCATAACAGCTTTCCCTTTTATAGCCACCAAGTTTTTTAGAATACACCTAATAGATGCATGCCAAATGAATGAAAGCCAACAGGGTCCTTGGATTTTCTTTCCTAACATTTATTTTAAAACATAGGAGTTAGAAATTACTTTTAATAAATTTCTGAATGCCATAAAGCTAAGATTCCACGGTGAATGATACAGTAAAGATTCAAATTAACCCTGACATGCTGGAATGATGGCTCATGTCAATAAAATGAAAGGTAATGTAGATAAATGTGAGATATTATATTTGTGCTATCTCCCAAATAGTTGCACAAGAATGGAATAAAGAAAAGACCCTAATTAATAGGAATTTCCATAAAAATGATTGGAGATAGAGTGACTTGAGCATAAATTTACTATGACCCAGCCGAATCTTAAGCTACATTAGGTAGAATAGTTTTACTCAATGATTATAAACATTCATCTTTTGTCTACTATTAGATAATATTTGATTCAGTTTTGAATATTGTATTCTAAAAATGTCATTGCCAGATGACATGTGTCCTAGAGAAGACAAATAGAATAGCATGAACTTAGAAACTGTGATGTATGAAGGAAGGCTGAAGAAACTAAGGATTTTTATTCTGAAAGGGAAAAATATTAGAGGAGAAATAAGATAATATGACATTTGAAGCACTGTCACATGGAAGAGGAAACAGGATTGACTTGTCCCGCTAGTGTAGAGCAAATGGACAATTTCTTCTTTATGTAGAAAACATAAAGGGAACTATATTATAAGGTTCAGTTACAGAACTAGCTGTTTTACAAGGTAGTGAGCACCCCCACCATCACAAGTATTCAATTAGGGGCTGGAAAATTATATACCATGGATGCTGTGAAAGCAAGTGTTACATGTAAACATGAATGTTCATAGTAGCTGCATTCACAATAGCCCCAAACTGGAAACAACCTAAATGTACCCCAGTAGGTGGGTGGATAAACCAGTGATGCTCAACCAGGGGTGGTTTTGCTCTCTGAGGGGACATTTTACAATATCTGGAGATATTTTTATTTGTCAAAATTGGGAAGGGCGGTACTCTCAAAGTAGTTAGAGACCAAGGATGCTGCTAAATATACAATACACAGGACAACAGAGAATTGTCTGGCTCAAATGGCAATAGTGCCAAGGTTGAAAATCCCTGGAATAAAAAACAAACAAACAAACAAAAACTCTGGTACATCCATACAATGGAATTGGTCAGCAAACTGCTGATACATGCAAGACCATGGATTAATCTCCACACCATTACACTTCATGAAAGAAGCCAGACATAGAAGAGTATAACTTTATTTGTACAAAATTCTAGAACATGAAAACTAATCTACGATAAGAGAAAACAGACCAGCAGTTGCTTGGGGCCAATGGTGATGGGAGAGAATGTATTGCAAAGGGTCATGAAGAATCTGTTGGAGTTAGAAGTGTTCTGTATCTTAGTTGTGGTGGGGCTTTCACAGGTCTGTACAACTGTCAAAACTCATTGCATTGCATACTTTTTTAAAAAAGTGTGCTTGATTATGTATAAGTCAGACCTCAAATTAATCTTTAAAGGAAGGATATCTGCATTGGAAAGGACTGCACTCAAAATGTTCTGTTTTGTTTCTCAACTCCAAGATATTTTATTTAGGTCCATTGTGTTACCAATCCAGTGGACAGAGAAAAAAGTCTGTATAAAACCTTGTTATATCAGTGAGGGTCCAATCATGAGATAGAAACCACACAATAAGTTAAAGAAGGAAAGTTTAGTAAAAATAGCTATTAAATTCTGATGAAAGAGTAACAAGAAGACATAAGGAAACTTTCCATAGTACCCCGGGGCTGTGAGAGATTACCCAAGGAAGGCTAAACTAGAAGGGAAACTTCTCCCCAAGATTTGGATTTATACTTTGTTGGAGACAATGTGGTGAATTCAGCTCATTGAATAGCAAAGAAGTTTGCTTGTTTGTACAGATAGGAGATGCTCTTCAGTCATTGGCCAAGCAGCAAGAAATCCTCTGGAGTACATACAGGATATAGGCAATTATCAACTGGTGGTGGGAGTATACAAAAGGAAGAGTTCATGGGGTGCAGGTGAGCCAGGCATGGTTCTACAGAGAGAGCATTGGCATGGTGGCAAGAGTGGTGATGATCCTGGCTGCAGGAGAGTTGAGTGTGGACTTGAAGATGGAATGAAGGCTCTGATTTGAGGTCAGGAGTGCTGGAGCTTGTGATGTGCCTGTCAAGAAAACTGCTTCTAGGTTATTGTCAGGCAAAGCAAAGGTTGTAATGTTGCTGAGGAACTGTGTGCTCTGGACATGTGGCTGGGTCAGAACTCCACTGGAAGTCCTCATACCTGCAATGCTGATACACTGTGCATCAGGAAAAGACGACAAGAAGAACCTCCCTTCTGCAATGTGCCTTCAGGAGAGAGTTCAACATCATCTTCCTTGTAAAGAAAGGACGCTTAAAGAAACTGACCATTATTTAAAAGCACAGCACATATTGAATGGTGACTCTGGAGTTGATAAGCAATAAATAGATACTTGGCATACTTTTTTTATTGTTAGGGTTGAATTATGTCCTGCATAAAGATATACCAAAGTCCTTAGGCAATTACAACAGCTTTACATGATAGGACTCATGGAGGAAAGCTGCCCTGCCCACACCATGGTTGGGGCATAGCCAGTGTATGGCAGTCTCTGAAGGCAGTTGCAGTCAAGGACGCAGGGTCCCTGGCTACTTGTGTTCCTACTCATGTCTGCATTCCTAGCACAGATGCCTTCATTCAGAGACCTCTTTAGCAGGGCCCTCCTGGGATAATATCTTCCCCAGGTACCTTTGCTGAGGGCTTCTTAATGGGAAAAGGGGAGAAATTTCAAAGACTTTTTTTTTTTTTCACTGTGGCTTAGTACTCAGTACTTTTCCACTCCTATTCCTACCCTCTCTCCTTCCCTTGGCCCCTGTGTCCATAACATGACAGGGGCATTTTTGGAGCCTCCTTCGGTAGGAAAGGTGATTCTCAAGCCTCTGCTGACCACCTGACCCTTGCCTGGAGCCTTGCATAGAGGAAGAATGAAACACTGGGGAACCAGCACTTTCTCCTGTCCAGCTTCTTGATAGGCTATTACAGTGATTGAAGGCTTGATTTTTATTTTAAAAAATGTATCAAAGTCCTAACTCCAGGTGGCTGAAATGTGACCTTTTTTGGAAATAGAATCTTTGCAGATATAATCAAGTTAAGATGAGATGGGCCCTAATCCAATATGACTGGTGTCATTATAAGAAAAATGCCACGTGAAGACAGAAACAAATGGGGAGAATGCTGCATGACAACAGAGGCAGAGATTAGACTGATGCAGCTATAGGCCGGGAATGCCAAGGATTGAGGACCATGGCCAGAAGCGAGGGAGAAGTCTCAGAGGGAGCATGGTCCTGCTGACACCTTGATTTCAGACCTCCAGTCCCCAAAACTGTGAAAGAATCCATTTCTGTTGTTTCGAGCTACCCAGTTTGTATTACTCTGCTATGACCATCTTAGAAAACTAGTGCAGTTTGGTACCAGGAAATAGGGGACTGCTGTAACAAATATCTAAAAATGGGGAGGTAGCTTTGGAATGGGATAACGGATGGAGGCTAGGAGAGTTTGTGGCACTTGATAGGAAAAGCCTCCTTGAATGTTGGTAGATGTGTACATGTTTAAGGCGATTCTGGTGAGGGCTCAGAAAGAGAGGAGAGCTGAAGAGACAGCATCTTTCCTCTTAGAGAATATGTGTATCATCATGAACAGATGTTACTAGAGATGTGAATAATAAAGGTGCTTCTGGCAAGGTCTTAAACCAAAACAAGGAGCGTGCTATTGGACACGAGTTAAGACCATCCTTGTTGTAAAGTGTCAGAGAATTTAGCTGAATTATGTTCTGCTGTTGGGAGGAAAGTAAAACTTGTAAGCTATGAAGGTGAAGAGATTTCTAAGAAAGAGTTTAGAAGTCTCAGCCTGGTGTCTCCTTGCTGCCTATAGCAAAGTGCAAAAGAACAGAGATAAATTGAGGAATGAATTGTTAAGCAAAAAAAATCTCTGGGATTACCAGAAGCTGGAAGAGCTGAGGAAAGTTTCTCTCCTCCAGGCTTTAGAGGGATTGTGGTTTTGTTGACGCCTTAATTTCTGACTTCTAGTCTCCACAACCATAAGATTATAAATTTCCATTGTTTTAAGGCCACAAGTTGTAGGTATTTTGTTACAGGAGCCTTAAGAATCTAATACACTTGGCAGGTTTCATTCATTCATTCAAGTTTTGAATTAAAACACATTTAGTAATTATAAATGGTTTGTGGGTTAGAATATAGACAAAATTTTATTTTTCTGTATTGTAGTAAAAAAATCACATTAAACCAAAAGTAACTTGGTCTCAGTGAACATGGCTTGATTGGAGCATTTGCCTAAGGAAATATTTTTAGTTTCTGAAGTTGTAGCATTCTTCAGTTATTTACATTTTACTAGAACAGAAACCAAAACCACATTTTTATGCTAACTTTCTTATTTGCTTTCCCATGTGTGAAAATCTTTGTTTATTGTACTCCATTCAGAAGCTGTATTTCTTCAAAATAGTAAGGGTTTCAGCAGAGACACCTTATTTTCTTTAAAAATACAAATATTTCTAAAATAGCATTTTTTAAAAACTTGCTTTCATTCTTCAAGTTGGTCACTCTTGCTATGCCTTTGATCCTCTAAAATAATTTCTGACATATATAAAAGGGCAACTTGACATTCGCTGATTGAATATGTAGTAGTTGTTCACAGGAATTTAAATTTCTTTTATAACCTTTACAACTTCCAAAAGTTAAATGCTTAAACCAGAGTCATTTCCATAAAAAGCACAAAACAGTAAGTATTTGACACATCCATTCAAAAATGTATCAAATATTCCATCCCTGAATGGTGGCTTTAGATATTTGGGGATATTTAGTGAAGCACCAAATTTATACTATTGTTTTGGCTCACATTCAGGAAAACATAGAAGCAAATAAAATTCTCTCCACTGTTATTTCTGCCTTTGCTTCAAGACCCCTGCCCAGTAATATCTGACCCTGGGGCAAACACAGTAATCTGAGAAGATATGAAAGCTGAATCCTTTCCCTATGCCGCTCATAGTAAGGACAGAAAAATGTAAATGTCTCTCATGCCCTACTTCACAGTTGGTTGGGAGACATGTGTTCTAGTCCCTGTTTGAGAGCTTGGGAATTCTGAGACTATTTAACTCCTCTAACTTGTTTTCTTATTTGGGATATGTGTATGCAAGTGATGGTGTCCAAGAGACCTGGAGTCCAGTCCAGGCCTTTCTATAACCTAGCTGAGTGACTTTGGGCGGTTTAGGACCTTTCCCAGCTATGCTATGTCTTCCAGAGCCACTGATGTGGGCCAACCCCTCCCCAGTCCCAGCCTACAAACCACACTGTGCCAACGCCCAAGTCTTTCTGTGGCAAACACAAGGAAAGGAAGAGCCTGTCAGAAGGTGCAGTGGCCATGGAAAGAGGAGCCCAGCAGCTCTGATCCCCACAGGTTCCCAGACCTGTGCTGAAGGAGAATCCTCATTCCCCAGCAGGCAGGCAGGCAGGCACACAGGCCAGACACACTTTCTCCCTCTCCGTCCCCATAAGGACAACTCTATGTACATGCCCCAAATACCAAGACAGGCATTTCAGTTAAATATTAGTCACTAAGAAAATGGGGTTTTGGAAATTCACTTTGTAACATGTTTATTCTTTTGCGTGACTGTAGGTTTTGGGGGATTACTTTTCTGATATGTTTGCTTTTACCAAAAAGGAAAACTTACTGTTGATGTGATCGATGTAGTAGACACCAATCTGAGGGTCAAACCCTGATTCCCATCCCCATGGCAGCTCATCCCCAACACAGTCAGCAAATGACAAGGGCTTCGTTAACCTACAACAAACCAGAATAGACACACCAGTGATTCTTTCCCTCAAACCGCATATGTCAAAATTCAGCACCTTGATTAACATCTCTAAACCTCAGATTTTTATTTGTAAAAATGAAAAAAATACAATATTCATGCAGATATTGTAAGAATTAAATGAGATAGTCTATGTTAAGGATAAACACAAGTTACCTTGTTAAGAGCTCACTCATGATCATCATCACCAACATCACGATCATCCACCTGAAATACAGGGACTATGATGCTTGAATTTCAAGAGCATGATGAGAATCACATGGGAGAGCCTTTGTTAAGTGTTTAAACAAGTGACTAGAACATGGTGAGTCTTCAGTGGATTTTAATTTCTTCTTTTCCCTCAAAACTTGAAACTCTTTGAAAGATGCCAATTTTAACAGGGATTTTTTTAGAGGCTAAAGATAGGTTTCTTTTTTAAAGGAATTTAACCTGAATCATGAATAAAATAAAGCCCTTTCAAAGAATATTGTAATTATCTTATTTTTCATTCAACAGAAACCATCTAAGAGTGCAGGATCTCTTGATTAGATGCCAAAGTGAAGGGAAAAAAAATCACCTGAGTCCAAGCACCCTGAATAAAGTACTTTTTTGCCCTTTCTCTTTCCCTCCTGTCTTTGTCTTCTCCCTTTGTTCCCAACCTCCACTTTATAAGTACATAATTGTGTGTATACTATGTGGCTTACACTATTCTGAGTGCTGAGACAGATGGACATTAGATAAACAGGTTCACTGCACTCAATGTTCAATGTTCTAGAAGAAAGCTTGTAGTCTAAGTGGAGAGTTAATAGTCTCTCTTACTATCCCAGTCATTAAATCCTTAAAACAGGACTTTTCAAACTTCTGTGTGCATGAGAATCACTTGAATGATTTGTTAAAAACAGTCTCTTAATTTAAGAAAATGAGAGTCAACGGTTTGGCAACTATTTCCCATTTTGCCTGTGTCTTGGAGGAATTGTTTTGTTTTTCTGGGACTCAGAAATAGCTCAGTGGCCACATCTTACACAGGAAGAAATGAAGAGCCCTTTCTTTGCTTCCCATGTCTTCTCTCATGTTTTAAAGAATTGTAGTAAATATTTATTAGCGCTTTGATAAGTGCTTGATGATTTAAAGAAGAGTATCTAATCCATTTAACATACCATCATTGCATTGAAAATTAGAAAAGGCCAATTAGCATCTTGACTTAACTGTTTTCAGTGAGGCGATTTTCAAGGTTTAACTAAACTGATGTGTAAAGTCATAGGTTCAGCTGGACAGCATGCATTTACCTCCTGTTTCCTTCTACAGATTAGCTAGGATTTCTTTTTTATGTTCCCTGGGGGTTTGAACAAGGAAGAGGTAAGTATTGGCTGAAAGATTTCATGCTCATTTACAGGGAAATCTTCTTTAGATAACCCCTCCTCCTTTCCACCCAGACTATTCAAATATGTGTCTTTATTGCATATGGCACCGCTATAATGAAAGCAAAGGCATCACTAATGGATTGATACCATCAATAAAGCTTCTGTTTGGCTGAGGTCTTTCCTTTCAAACCTGAGCTGAAGGTCAATTAGAACAATGATGGAAGGCAGTTAATTTCCTGTTTATAAATAGAGACTAGAAAATGTAGTATTGATTGCTGCATTTCAAGGAGGGGGACAACTACCCTCAACTGTGGGCAGTCTAGGATGATGTAATTTATAAAGCCAGAGAGGACAGTGTTGCTGCTTATATCAACTGAACAATGATTTATTTGACCAAAACCACATTAAGTCTTTGAGTCTGAAATAAATAAAATATAGCCCTGCCTTTTAAAGGTTTAAAATTTTAGACATGAAATCAAGATCTGGAAATCATTATCATAATTGTGCATATGCTAATGCTTTTGGAGTTCAAAGATGGGAAAGATCCACTGGATAATAGGCACTGCAATAGAATTCATAAAGGAAATGGGATTTGACCAGAACTTTGAAGAATGGGAAAGGTCCCAGTTAGGCATGCCACAGACAGAGAGACCAGACAGTGATGGATCCAGCATGAGCAGTCTTAAATATTGTGTCTGGTTATCAATGTTGTTGTATGAATGAGTTAGTGACTGACTGACTGACTGAATGAATGAATGATAATCTGGGGCCTGTTACCCTCAGCTCATTTATTTCATAGCCTGAGATAGTTAAGGGGTGACTCACTCTAGTATACCACAACCCCAGAGTCTTAAATTAAGAGATACAGTATAACAGCATCTACAGGATGTTAAAAGATGGTTCACAAAAAGGAGTTCCCTAACCAAATAAGTTTTCAAAACACTGAGGTGAAGTTAAACAGATCACATTTTACTGCAGGCTTCTTGGAACCTTGAACAGGTGGCTATGCCTTGTCATTCTTCAAGAAGTTAATAGAATACACAACATTTCCCAAAATGATTTGGCCACAGAAATAATGAAATTAATTAAATATGTGTGTAAATATAGACAGATATAGTAGAGATTTTTATTTCCAGAATAGCTCATAGAGAAAGTGGTTCCAGGGCATACTTTAGAAGCTGCTCACACAAAACCGTTTTCTTTTGCTAGGCTTTTCTTAAACCAGGAGTACCTTTCAATGTGAGTCTGTGCCTATGTCCAGACTTTTCATTTCTTACAGCAACTCTTCCCCTTTGTAATGTCAATTCTAAAAAGCATGTAAAAATGTCAGAATATGTGGTATAAGATGTGTATTGCATTCTTATTATAAAAGCATATTGTTTTTTAATAGTTTATAAAAGATATATAATTAGGCTATTTGATGTACTTGGTCTTTCCTGTTGAGTTAACAAATGTCAAAAAACCCATCATATACTCAAAGGAGTTTCTGTAACAGGATAACATTACCAGAAATTCTGGAAGAAAGAAAATGAGGAGAACTTTATTACTATGAAATGAGAGTAAATTTAATGTGACAAACAAGCGGATAAAATGAAACAATTTTAATTTTGTATTAAAGATAGCTATAATGAAATATAATTTTCTTAGGGGGAAAAACCTTTCAGGCTATAAATTAGTTTTCATATATAAAATATTGTTAATAAATTCATTTTTGCCATGGATTTTCACTCTTTTTTTCTCGGGTCCTTTCCCTTTTTACTTATCAGGAAAGATAAGGACTCTACTCTGGAGTTAATGTTGATAATTTTACTTCACATAATTAAATCCCAAGTCACTCATATTTACTCAAGGAGCAATAAGCCTTTAGGTTCTACTTAGGAGGGAGATATGAAGTAGAAATCTCACACTTACTCATTTGACTTTCTTCCTCTGAAAATATCCTTTGTGACTGACCAGGTTTCTTTCCTTCCTTCCTGGAAAATAAATTCTGCATTGCCTCTAGTGCTGTATATTAAATCAAAAAAGTTTGGACCCTAATTGTACCTTGAGACCTTGAGCTTCCTACCTGCATAGTTCTTACAAATATTAGAGATTTAGGCCAGAGGAAGAAGTATGAGTGAAGGAAGAAATATGTGAAAAGCTGTTTATACAACAGTAACACTAAATTTTATGTACTGAAGTTCAATTATATAATGACTCAGAGGACAAAAGAAATGGATGGGAGGTGGGAGTGAAAAGAGGAAAATAAATATCTGTGCTTTTCCTCTTGTTCAAATGAGGCCTTGGCCTTTTAGTTCCATGGCCCAGGAATCCACAGCCAGATGACAATAACAATAAAAGCTAACTGTGAAATGTTATGTTTCTAACAACCCAGCTTCTGGCTTGAAGGAACAATGATTTAAAATTCCAAAGTTAACCAAGACTATGTGCATGTATATTTTTTTTCTACCTTATGACTTCTGACACCTATTCCTACTTAAGATGCTACTCTACTGAAATTCACATTATATAACCTTAGAACTGAAGGAAACCAAAGAGATATTTCTTAGTTTAATAACTCTTACTTAACTATTGGAGAAATCAAGACACAAAGAAAGGAAAGGACTTAATTTACTAAATTTTGGGTGGGTAGATACAATTTTGATCTCTTTAATTCTAACAAAGTATCCATTTCACTGTGCTTATAAATCAGATAACCTAACTTATTAGAATTATGTATAGAAGAGGATTAAGTGGATTTTGACTGGCTAGCAATAGAAATAATAGTGAGGAAAGTATTCTTTTATGAATAAAACACAAGTGTTTAGAATATACAGATTTTTCTTTATTCTCATAGTGAAATTCTCAACAGAAAGGCTATAATGGTCTTCTTTAATTTTATGGATTTACATTAGGTTGGTACAAAAGTAATTGCAGTTTTGGCCATTACTTTCAATGGCTAAAACTGCAATTATTTTTGCACCACCCTAATAGAATTGTATGAGTTTAGCCTTTATAGAAGGCTATAATTTTATGGGCTATGAACTTATGCAGACTTATGAATAATAGACAATTATAATTAATATGAATTCTGATGAATTATATTGTGATTCATCAAGAGCTTCTTATTCTTGAGAAAAGTTCAGCATGAAATAAACCCAACTCTCTCTTCTTTCAAACTCTTCCCTCAATTTGGAAAGATTGTAATGACACTTTGAAAGAGTGGCCCACTCTGGAAAACATCAGAGACAGTGTGTATTAACAGCAGTTTGTTTTTTTGGTTTGTTTGTTTGTTTGTTTGTTTGAGACGGAGTCTCACACTGTCGCCCAGGCCACCACGTCTGGCTAATTTTTTGTATTTTTTTTAGGAGAGATGGGGTTTCACTGTGTTAGCCAGGATGGTCTCGATCTCCTGACCTTGTGATCTGCCTTCCTTGGCCTCCCCAAGTGCTGGGATTACAGACATGAGCCACCGTGCCCAGCCTTAATGGCAGTTTTTAAAAAGGTGTTGACTTTTCCCAAAGAAATCCCTTTTAGAGAGCAGACGTATAGTCTTGGCTTTCAAGCACTGATAAATTTGTAATAAAGTTCTATGGGATTTAGGCTTTGAGGCACAATTTTTTTTTACCTGAACTATACTTTTTTTGGATAAATTAATCTCAAGAGGGAATGTTTTTTGTTGAAATTAGTGTGGTGTTTTCTGAGGTATGGATGGCTAAAAGGAACAGAAAGGGAGAACTGAGTAGATCTTTGTTCTCCTAATATCAAGAGCATAAGATTGTGCCTTTGTCACTGAAGTTCTGTCTCCTTCACTTACTTCACTCCAGATGGGTGTGATAAAAACTGCCCAGCTAAGGCCAGGTGCGGTGGTGCGTGCTAGTAATCCCAACACTTTGGGAGGCCCAGACGGGAGGATTGCTTTAGCTCAGGAGTTCTAGACCAGCCTGGGCAACATGGCAAGACCTCATATCTCAAAAAATCAAAAAAATGAGCCAGGCATGGACAGGAGGATTGCTTTAGCCCAGGAGGTTGAGGCTATAGTGAGCCATGATCCTGCCACTGCACTCTAGCCTGAGTAACAGAGCAAGACCCTGTCTTAAAACAAAACAGAACAAAACAAAGCTGCTCAGCTAATGATGATGATGAAAAACAAATTTTAGCTAAATTTACTATGTGCCAAGTACCGTGCTCAATGATTTGTATGCACTGTCTTGTTTAAAACTCACAACAATCCTATGAAATAGTCACTATTATGATATCCATTTTACAGATGTGGAAACTGAAACTAGAAAAGATTATGTAGCTTGCCCCCAAATCACACCACTAGTAAGTGGAAGAATCTAGGTTTGAATCTACATATTTTTTTTTTTTTTTTTTTTTTGAGAAAGAGTCTCACCCTGTCACCCAGGCTGGAGTGCAATGGTGTGATCTCAGCTTACTGCAACCTGTGCCTCCCAGGTTCAATTGATTCTCCTGCCTCACCCTACAGAGTAGCTGGGATTACAGGCATGTACCACCATACCTGACTAATTTTTTGTATATTTAATAGAGACAGGGTTTCACCATGTTGGCCAGGCTGGTCTTGAACTCTGGACCTCGTGATCCACCTGCTTTGGCCTCCCAAAGTGCTGGGATTGCAGGTGTGAGCCACCATGCCCGGCCTTGAATCTACGTTCTTAGGCACCATTTTATATGAGAACATCTTCAGAACAGACATATACAGAAATATAGGGAACTGTTTCTTCATAGTGTTCTTAGAGACCCTTGTTGAAATCAAAGCAATGGTAAGAAAGGGTGCTTGATTCACCGAATCCCACTTTTAGGAGAAAACTGGGAATAGTACTTTAACTTCCTCTTCATGCTTTCTCTTCCCCTTGAACGAACATGGCTTGCACAATACACCACAGTTCATGAATGTTCCGTGTTATGTTTGTCAAATAACGTAATGACATTTAGGAGTGGGTGGAGTGTAGCAGAGGTATTGTAGCCCCCAAATAATTGAAAGGCTTTTATATTGCTATTGATTTTTTTAAAGTCAAAACTCCAACCATTCTATGGCTTTAACATTACGGCATTTTTCTATAGTTGAACCAAAATGCTACTTAGGATAAGGACATTCTGCACACTTCAGATTCGTTGAGCTCTCTTAGAAGCAAATTTTCCATTGTCTCAGCTGCAGCTTGAAAATAAATTGGATGTTACTGGACACTCATCCACAGTGCTGTACCCAGGGGCGTGTATGATTACCAGAGGGATTCAGGGAGGGGCGTGTGTGATTACCAGAGGGAATCAGTGTTACATCCTCTAGGATTCCCTCCAGGAAACCTCCTACCTACCTGTTACAGGTAAGGACCTTAGGTGTATTCTTAGATGGTGGTTCTCAAACCTTCATGTGTGTATGAATTACTGGGGAGCCAGTGAAAATACAGATTAAAATTCTGTAGGTCTGGAGTGGAGCCATGTGGTGCTGATGCTGCTGATCCTCCTAGCTATAAGGAAGAAAACTTTTGTATCCTAGTGAAATGAATTGATATACCTTGTTAACTTTGGGAAAATAAAATCTTTAGGCAACGTTCTACAGTTACTTCTGGTAAGGTTCATGAGAACATTGTAAACTTGGCAAAATTTCTTTTTAGACATCTCCGTAAGTACAAACGCACAGCACAGTTTGTTTCCTTTGGTAACTCTCACTCCCCAGACCATTAGGTATTCATGATCTTCTACCCTGGAGGCCGCCTCCAAGAGCATCTCTCTTTCATCCCACTTGGCTCTGTATCTCCAAGACTGTTGCCGCTCTTGTCTCTTTCTGACCCACATCAAAAGTTAACTTTCTCTTGTCCCACACTTCCAGAGGCTTACCTTCAGGCTCGTTCCAATTGAATCAATTCAAAGCCTTTATCTAAAAACAAACCAGTCAGGGAAGTTGGATAGAGATTTGGCACCGGAGGAAATTCCTGGGACCCTTGAGGTGATGTCACACAGATATTGGTTATTGTTTGCAGCAACAGGACTCAGCACTTTCTACTAGGCTAGCAGTCTCTTGTACTCATTACTTGAGACTATCAGACTTCTTTGCTAATGGACATTTTGTTTTTGTTTCAGAAGTTCGTAGTTGGTATGTGTTGGAAAAGAAAAAGCAATATACTTATTCCTTCCCCTTTGGGACAATATCTTTCAAATCTCTCATTTCTGTGCAGCCTCCCAAGCTTTCTCTGCAGCCAGCAATGTCATATACAAGTTGTAGATAACACCGGAAGGCAGCTTAAATTATTTTTCAATATATTGTGAGAGTGAAAACGCCAAGTCATATATTTTAGTGAATAGATGCAACTATAAAAATTCAGTGTTTCCTTAACTGGCGAACTATAGGGGAGGATTAGGTGACAAGGGAAGTCATTTCATCTCTTCTCTTGGTAAAGGCTTCTACAAAGACTCTAGAGAGTAAAATGTTTCAAGAAATAAATTTTTTTAACTCTTGTACACAACTATTTATTTTCAAAACATGTTACAAACACTGATTAAACTACCTACTAGCTTAAAGAATAATGACGACTATCGGGCGTTCAATTGGTCCTCATGTCTTAATGAAAAAGTTTTTCTTCTGTTTCTGGTAGGTTTTGATTCATTTACCCAACTCTCCCCTCAGTCACTTCAGCACAGTGCAAGTCAGAGAGAATGTGTGGGAAAGTGATTAAGAGTACACACTCTTTCCAGAGTCAGGCAAGAGCTGGATTTGGGTTCTTACTAGATGTGTGGGCTTGCACGGATAACTTAGATGCTTTAAAATTTGATTTCCACATCTCAATAATGGGTGACTGCTGGGACAGAGAAACATTATGATGTAGAAGGATTGACTTCTCCATTAAGAAGAGTAGGTGCAGTATCCACAATACTTTTAGATCCCCCACAAAAGTATTTTATTTGAAAATTATACCAAAAAAAGAACTTTCTAGTCAAAGAAAATGTTTTAACATACATTTGATTTATACCAATGTAGTCATAAAATGCAATTTTTTATTTTTTTTAATGAAGAAAGAGGCCACAAAGACAAAAGTGCCTAGGACCCACAAAAGCCACAAAGGGCCTGTAGTGTATGCCGATCACTCAACACAGTGACTGGCACATGGGAGACATGTTGAAGGTTGATAAACATAGAGGGCCAGACGGTATTTTAGGCTTTGCAGGCCAGATGGTCTCTGTTGCAGCTACTCAACTCTGTTAATGTAGTGTGAAAGCATCCATAGACAAAGTGTGAACAAATGGGGAAGGCTGTGTTCCAATAAAACTTTATTTACAAAACCAAGTAGCAGGCTGGATTTGATTCATAGGCCTTATTTTCTGGCTCCTAACTTAACACTAAGAATTTCGTTTTTGGTAGTATTGAAAAGAATTTTAGTTTTATTCATTTAATTATCTATAAAATATCCTCAAGGGAAAAGGATATACCTGATATATTTTGGAGTATTCCAGACAGTCAAATAAAAGAGAATTTTGTTAAAATCTCAGTTATTCAGGATTCATCTGGTTAGAACAAACCATCACATTTTTTCTCACTGCACTAAAGAAAGAAAGCAAGCATAAGATAATAAAATTCTATGGTTCTACCTCAATGTTCCCAGAAACACCTGTATGGAAAAATAAAGCACTAATAAATGCAAACAATCTCTCTTGAGTTGTGATATGTGTATTTATATAAATCCATAAACAGAGATGGAGCATGATGACATATGTAGCTATGTTCTGCAACTATCATTGTATTAATACTTTCAATCTCTAGAAAGCTGCTTCCTGTGATTTCTTTGGCAGATCAAGCACTTGCTTAAAGAGAAAAGACACATATAATTAAATTGGAAGGGCAGGCAAATCTTCCCACAGACTAAGCCTTCAGTACAAAGAACTATGAGGCCCTAAAGAAGTGGGCATGAGCCCATATATTAAAGATATGTATTTATAGACTATAGGTTGCTGTTCATATTCTCTGGAAGCCAGAAGTTTAGTTCACATCAACTTTGGACTAAGGAACAAATGTCTAGCTTTGTTGGAAGTGTATGTGAACTGTGGTGGCTATTAGAAGTAGGAGGAAAGGGAAGGATCATAGCCTGTAGAAGTAAATTCAGAGTTTGCTGCTTGCTCACTCTGCAGTGTTAGGAAGCTGATTTAAGTCTGAGTTTTTATAACTATAAAATGGGGTTAAGAATATTTATAAATTGGCCAGGTGTTGTGGCTCATGCCTGTAATCCCAGCACTTCAGGCAGCCAAGATGGGAGGATTTCTTGAGGCCAAGAGTTTGAGAGAAGCCTGGGCAACATAATGAGACCCCATCTTTGCAAAAATTAAAATATGCATGGTGGTGCATGACTATAGTCTCAGCTACTTGGGAGGCTAAGGTGGGAGGATCACATGAGCCCAGGAGTTTGAGACCACAGTGAGCTATGATTGTTTTACTGCACTTTAGCTTGGGTGACAAGAGTGAGACCTTGTCTCAAAAAAAAAAAAAAAAAAAAAGATTATAAATTGTTTATGGCCACTAAGAGGATTGCATGAGATTTTACATGTAAAGTCCTTATATCATTGATTGACATAAAAGAGGTACTCAGTAAATCATTATATTTTAATATTTACTAAAAGTAGAAATAATTATTGCTGGGTTAAATGACAACAGAGAAGGGACAACCTAAAAAGAACAAGTGCTAAAACTGTGGGCTCTAGAATTTGAATCATCCCCGTTGAATTGTTAGGTGTTTTATACTGCACAGGTTTTCTTTGTCTGATCTTGAATTTCCTCATTTGAAAAATGCATACAAATAGAACATACCACATAAGACTGTTGGGGATATTAAATACAATAATGTGGCTGTGTGTGGTGGCTCATGCCTGTAATCCCAGCACTTTGGGAGGCCAAGATGGGTGGATCACTTGAGGTCAGGAGCTCCAGACTAGCCTGGCCAATGTGGTGAAACCCCGCCTCTACTAATAATAAAAAAACTAGCCAGGCGTGATGGCACATGCCCGTAATCCCAACTACTCAGGAGACTGAGGCAGGAGAATTGCTTGAACCTGGGAGGCAGAGGTTGCAGTAAGCCGAGATGACGCCACTGCACTCCAGCCTGGATGACAGAGTGAAATTGTGTCTCAAAAAATAATAATAATAAGGTGGATAAACTTTGGCCTAGTGTCTGGCATGGTGCAAAGTTCCTGACATATTGTAAATATTATTTACGTCTTTCTCCTTGTCTTTGCTTATTGCAAGGCATGGGTTCTTGGAATTCCCCTAGAGACACATGAAGAGCATATAAATCCTCTAGAAACTCTGTGTCTACCCAAGCTTGTGTTTTTTGTTGTTGTTTTGAGAGTTTTTTTAGTCCATATTTGCATTTTTCTGGAGTTGAAGTCCATAGCTTCCATCCACTTCTCAAAGATCCATGACACAAAAGGATTAACAAATCGTGTTATTAAACAGTCCAAAAGCGTACATTTTGAGGGCATCTGCCATAGCCTGTATTATGATTGCTTATTATGATAATCCAAGCTATTAAGAAATCATTCCCTAAAATTAGTATACCATATTTAAAGAGCTACCCAAGTATGCATAGTAATATATTTTAGCAAGATTTCCAGATACTGAAGAACAGATTTTTATATTTATTTAAAGGAGTGAATATTAGTATTTTGGAAAATCAATTGAAGTGAAACAACTCATTCCTTAATGATTCTGGTAATAATTGCACCATGGGGCAGAAATACAATAGCTAATACGCATTTATCTTTTCCAGTACCTTCCTTACAAGTGACTTATATATGTATTATGTCATTTAGTCCTCACTACAACCCCAGGGTAACACACTGTCATTGCTAGTTTCTTACTTGAGATTAGCTCTTTCATATGTTGGTGTAAGATGACAGCTCGCCATCGATTTGATTGGGAATGAAAGTACTATTGTTCTCTGCTATTGGTAATGAATACTTGGTTTGACTCAGCTATGAGAAGAAATGCTATGAGGGACAGATCTGTCAAATAACACATTCAGAGATGCGTAAACATGGGCCAAGTTAAGCTGAGGCCTCTCATGCTGCTAGTTCTCAAGTCTCCAAAGTTCACACTGGTTTAATAAACTTAGAAAATATGCTGATTATAGAAAGGGGCACAGTTTCTGCAGTAATCAGCTTCTACTGAGAAATATGTATACATTATATTCAATGTTTCCATGCCAGGCTAGGTTGCTAAGGGCCTTGGGAAAATAAGTTCACTTGTATGGTAAAACAGCCTTTTTCTGGATGTAAACAAGCTTTCTTCAAATTCATTTATTTCTTGAGAACATGAGAGGAAAGATACATTTATATATAAAAATACTTGTATATTCACCGTTAGCTTCTCAGCTTACTTCTGGGATATTACGTGAGAAGATATTAAAATAGAAGAATTATTCCATATGCTATTTGTCTAAATATGAATGATTGTTACATAATTCATGAAGTTGCTGATGTTTTGAGTTTTTTTTTTATACTTTAAGTTTTAGGGTAGATGTGCACAATGTGCAGTTTAGTTACATATGTATACATGTGCCATGCCGGTGTGCTGCACCCACTAACTCGTCATTTAGCATTAGTTATATCTCCTAATGCTATCCCTCCCCCCTACCCCCACCCCACCACAGTCCCCAGAGTGTGATGTTCCCCTTCCTGTGTCCATGTGTTCTCATTGTTCAATTCCCACCTATGAGTGAGAACATGTGGTGTTTGGTTTTTTGTCCTTGCGATAGTTTACTGAGAATTTTTTTCTATCATTTCTTTTGCTCCAAATTTTTCTCAAAAAGACTTTTTTTGCTAATACAAGTTTGTACTGTAACAAAACATTTGAACATGAGCAAATACAGAGGATCTCAAAAGCAATCATAATAAGGACTAATTTTACTCAAATTGTGTTCATCTCTAATAATGATAAATGTTGCATTACTGATTTTTGGTTGTAAGCAACAGTTTCCTTAAATAAATATTTGGAAACGTACTGCGTAACTTACTAAACTGAAGGAAAACCTTAATGACTAAAGTATACAGAAGTATAAAAGCTAGGTCACCTCTAGGGAGCTCAATCAAAATCCCTAAGCCTTCTTTTTTTTTGATGTTGAATCTGAAGGATTCATCTGTTCAAATTTAAATTTTGAATAAAGGGATTTAACTAGGCAGCATTAGCTGGGTGACTTCTCACCCATTGCTAGGCTATAGGTAGTATTATTACAATAGACAAATACAGCAGGATTTACATGGAATGGAGAAGAGACTATTCTCTAGGAGAGAACTATTAAAAGACATAATTAAATAAAGAGGTATACCATAGTCATTGAGCAGAAAATTCCATATTTTTAAGATACTTCTCATCACATTCATCTATAGTGTTAATGCCGTCATGATCAGTGCCAAACAGGCTTAAGAAAATGACACACTATTTCTGAAATTTATGTAAAAATGCAGAGGACTAAGATAGCCAAAATAATTTTTTAAAAAGAAAAATGTTGAAGAACTTACACTACCAGATTTAGTACAAATCTAAAGAATTAAGATAGGTATGATGTTGGCAAAAGAACTAATAAATTGAATAATAGGACAAAATATAAAGTCCAGAAATTGACTCATACATATACAGTCAACACACATACCGTCAATTGATTTTTCTATGAGAGTGCTAAGGTCATTCGATTTGAGGAAATAAGGCATTTTTACAAATGTGTAGGAAAAAGAAATTTATTTTAAAAGAACTTCAACCTCTACCTTACACTATACAAAAAATTAATCTGAAATAGTTCATATACTAAAATATAAAAGCTAAAACTATTAAACTGCTAGAAGAAAACATAAAGAGATTATCTTTATAAGTTTGAGAGTCAAATATTTCTTAGGACATAAAAAAGCACTAAACATAAAAAAATTAGTTAGACTTTCTCAAAATAAAAACTTCTCATCAAAAGACACCATTAAGAAAATGAAAGGGCACAAAAGACTTAGAGAAAAAATATACATACACAACGAATTTATATCAATAATGTATAAATGATTTGTATAATCAAGAATAAAAGACAGTGATTTTTAAAAGGGCAAAAGACTTAAACACTGCACAAAAGAAGATTTATGAATGGCCAATTAAGCACATGAAAATGTCCTCAACATCATTACTCATTAGGGTTATTCAAATTAAAACACCAACTAGGTAATTTTCCATACACTAGAACAGCTAAAATGGAAAGATTGACTAAACCAAGTGTTGAGGATATGAAGTAACTGAAACTCTCATACCTTGTTGCTGAGACTGTAAAAAAGCGTAACTACGTTGGAGAATTGTTTGGAATTTTCTTAAAAAGCCAAATGTATACCGATCTTATGACCCAGCAGCTAAAAGAAATGAAAACATATATCCAAAAAGGGCTTTCAAAAGAGCATTTACAGCAGCTTTTTCATAATAGCTGAAAAAATAGAAATAAATATTCATCAACAGAAGAATGGATACATTTTGGTATATTCCTACTCACCAATAAAAAATAAAGAACTAATATATACAATGACACAGATAATTTTTTTTTCTTTTCGAGGCCGAGTCTCACTCTGTAACCCAGTCTGGAGTGCAGTGGCATGATCTCAGCTTACTGCAACCTCTGCCTCCTACGTTCAAGCGATTCTTGTGCCTTGGACTCCCAAGTAGCTGAGATTACAGGCATGAGCCACCACACCCGGCTAATTTTTGTATTTTTAGCAGAAATGGGGTTTCACCATGTTGACCAGGCTGGTCTCGAACTCCTGACCTCAGGTGATCTGCCTGCTTCTGCCTCCCAAAGTGCTTGGATGGGATTACAGGAGTAAGCCACCATGCCCAGCCATGATACAAATAAATTTTTTAAAATGCTATGCTGAGTGAAAGAAACAAGACACCAAAGAATACATACTGTGTGATTCAATTTATATGAATTTCAAGTACAGATAAAACTAATCTATGTGATAAAAGAGAAATGTTTGTCTATGGGATTAAGAATTGACTAAAAGAGATAGGAGGAGACTTTGGAAAGTGACAATATTAGTTGAAATGGTGGTTTCATGAGTGTGTATGTTTATCAAAATGTTATAATCTATGTATTTCACTGTATATAAATTTGCCTACAGTAAAAAAAATAGCTGGTAGAATTCAAATGTTATCTAACATAATGTACTTAATTTATCCAATGCCTACATTGAATAATTACAACTAGGAATTTTCATCTCCAGTCTCACGAAAGAATTGAGTGACTATTTCAGCCGTTTGCCTCTTATTTTACCAACTGTGCAATACTTACCACCTGTACTTAATGATATACAATGTTCCCATCTCATCCACAGGAGATAAGTTCCAAGGCCACCAGTAGATGCCTGAAACCACAGATAGTACTGAACCCTATACAGATGCTCCTCAAGTTTCCATGGAGATACCTCCCAACAAAACTATCATACGTTGCAAATATTATAAATTAAAAATGCATTCAATACACCTAACTTACCAAACAGCATTGCCTGCGGATACACTGACAAAGGGATGATTCATGCAGGATAGAGAGGGACATTGTGAAATTTCATCATGCTTCTCAGAATGGCACACAATTTACAACATATGAATTGTTTACTTCTGTTATTTTCTATGTAATCTTTTTGGACTGCAATTGACTGTGGGTAACTGAAACCACAGAAAGAAGAACCATAGACGAGGGGACTACTGTGTGTTTTTTATAAATTGTTTTCTTTGAAAGAGATTGTAAACTCCTTGGGAGTGTCATCTGTATCAGTGGCTCTCAAACTTTAATATACAAAAGAATTACCCAAGGACTTTATTAAAATGCAGAATTTCAGGCTTCACCCTGGGGATATGGTGATTCATTCGATTTGGCATTGATCCACGGAATCTGTTTTAAGGAGCAATCGAAGTGATAATCCACTGACCACCTTTTGAGAAAAAATGATCTATATTGTATTTGAATCATATCCACAAGGCTTGAGTGCTGTATGTGTCAAGAAGTAACCTATCCGATAAATAAATTAGATGAATTTTAATACCTTTGATACCAGTTTTCAACTGTAGCTGTTTTTTTGTGTGTGGGTTTTTTTTTTTTTCTGGACACTGTTAGATAGCATTTCAGGAAAGGATCCTAAATTAAAAGATAATTTTCCCCAGCCCCTTCATTTTCTCCAGTGGGGGAGGGAGAGCACTTTGTCTCCCACAAGACACTTGGCCTGTCTATAGATGTTTTTGTTTATCCCAACATGGGTAGGGGTTGGCATGGCTGGCATTTTTGGGTAGAGGCCAGAGATGCTGCTAAACACCCACAGGACAGTCCCCATGAAAAAGAACTATCAAGCCCAAAATATCAATAGTGAAAGATGGAAAAACTGTAGGATAGTCTTTTTGGAATTTAATGAACCCAGATACTCCTCAGAGTGATTCAGCCTTGTGCAAGCACCGTGTGTCAGGATCTCACCCAGGCACTCTAGGCTGTGCTATGCACTTATGCGTACCCTTCCTGGCCTGGGACCTGAGGCCTGGCTGCTGACGCTCCTTTCCTGTAGGTAGCTTGTACTGACTCCTTAGCGCTTCTATAGCAGCTTGTCTCATTTCTTTGACAAAGCATCTGCCAGCAGCAGGGCAGGGAGCCCTGAACATGGGCCACTCCAAGCTTGCCGACAGCTCTCTTTAGTGAGATTGGAGATGCTCCAGCTGGTCACAGAAAGAGGCAGCCAGCTGGGTTTGAAAGGAAAACAGATTTAATTTTGGTCCCCATTGAAGCAGAAACCAATCTAGAGATGTGCCTGCTCTAATTTGGAATTCTTAAAAGGATAATTGGGGAAACAGGTAGAAAAAGAACCACATAACCCAGGATATAAGGAAGGATGGATGCCCAGTGAGTGCCAGAGTTAGTTTGGCCTATTTTGCCATGATATTAGGATGGGATTAACTTGATATACGTGCATTGGATCTCAGTGGTTCAGCACTTCCTAGTTCTTGGACCTTGGAAATTAAATAAACTGCTATAAGCCTTGGTCTTCAGACTACAGAATGGCAATAATAATGATGCTAATTCCATAGGGTTGTTGTAAAGACTAAATGAGCTAATGCATGTAGAGAAAGATTTTAATGTAGTGACTGGCATATAATAAGCATTAAGTAAATAATAGCTATTAGCCATTATTCTTCTGCACCATTAACCTGCAAAATATGCCAGGCTCCACCAGCCTCTGACTATTCAATAAGTCCCCTTCTACCCTTTTATACCAACAGTATGTTGGCACAAACTATCCCTGCTTTAATAACTGTAAGTTAGCCATTCTCCAAGATACCCATTCATTATTTTTTATCCATTACAGGGTCTCTCCCATGTGCCCACAAATCAGTCTTTCAGCTGCAGCCACCATTATCCCTGACTAATCTTTCTTACCTGAGCTGGCTTCCCCTCCCCACAAACCCATTTGCAACTGTCCCTGCTCTGTCATAGTGACAGTTCAGACTATGGGTCCTTCCAAGCTGCTGGTGTTGGGGAGGTCAGAGTCCAGCTGAGATTCATGCAGAAGAGAAAAAGTATCTGCAATTCTGTCCCTTTTTGTAAATAGACCACAGCACAGTGCATCTCTTATTTAGAAATCTTTGCTGACTGGTTCTATCATTTTGTTCCTTTAGCCCCTGTCTCCAAGAGAACCTCAGTCTAGCCAAAAGATAGGAAGGAGGAGACAAGATACTTTGTAATTCCTATTTTCTCCCCGAAGCCAACACTTCCAGCCAATACTTCTAGCAAGCCTGCCGCTAACCAAGTAAACACCCCCAGACAAACCAACAGCTGCAAACAATTCCTGGAGAGTTCTTCCGAAGTGTATATTTCTTTGATGGTTTCAGGCCCCCCAACTCAGCACATTACAAGGAATTCTATTAGAATACTAGAGGATCAGGACAGGGTCCCAAAAGAGGAGCTATGAAGCACTTGGAGGGGAAGGAGACCAAACCTAGGGAAGGCAGAAAGAAAAGGAGAAAAATAAAGATGTGGAGGACAGGCAGCACATTCCTTGCAGCAGGGTGCATTGGAGCTTGAAGGTTAAGCTTCCCAGGGCTGCAGAGTGAGAAATCAGGGAGGGAGGCAATTGTCTGCTTTGTTTTGACTTGCCGTGGCTGAGGGTAACAGTCAGCTGTGACCTCTTCCTCATGACTAATGCTGAGCAGGCTTGGCTAGCCTAGGTTCCCATGTAACTTATCATTAAGCCAAGCCAAGAACTGGACAACATCTAAGTAGTCCCCTACATGGCTGTTTCTGGGGGTATAGGAGAATAGCATGGAGATTTGTGGGGATCCTGCAGGCCTGTCAGCAACCTCCAGTGCAGTTCTGGGGGTCTACTTTTTAACCAAGTAAAACAGTGAGTTTTCAGTTAATCTCTGAAAAAATTAGTAAAATCCACAAAGTAGTGAGAAAAGAGGACATTCCAGAAAGGAGCTGACTGTGCATAAGTGAGAGCGGCCGAAGTGGAAGCAGAATTAATTTGACAGAGGAGCTGAGAGGGAGTGAATTAAAAGAAATAAAAGATTCCATAATCTTTATTTTTTACCTGTAACAGCTAGAAAGACCAAATTCTAGTACAGTCATTCTTTTTAAACATGGCCATAACAGACTTAAAATTTAAGACTTTTAAAGCGAAGCATTTGAAATAAATTGTGAAATCAGGGCATAGAAGAATTATATCTGAAACTGGAGAAAAGAAAAAATGCCTTCAAGAAAATAGGGCATAGTATAATGCTTCCGTAGCTAAATGTTGCACACAAGGGAATTGGAACACAGTGAATGGTAAATCCCAAACCTCTTCAGCAAGATCATTGTAGAGGAAAATTGTCACCTGAGGGAGGAACCCATCCAGGCTGCTTCAGTTATAACAATGACTCTGGGAATCCTAATCAGGTGTCTGATAGGTAAACTAAATCCTTGCACTTGAAAAATACACCTCCAGTCTGGCTGATATTACCCATCTAAGTCACAGGTTTGTCTTGAAATAGATCTTAGCGCTGTGATCTCAGCAGGGATTTCTTCTTTAGAGAAAGATATTTTATGAGCCTAGAAGCAGCTTTGTTGGAACTCACAATATCCTTGAACTGCAAGCAACAGCAATTTTAGACAGAGCGTTAATTCAGTGAATTTCAAGAGAAAAAGAAAAAAAAAAAAAAAGGAAAACCCATACAGTTGTCAGTGCTAAATGAACTGAAAAGCAGTTTGAAAGAGCATTTCAGAGTCAGTGCTTTCTATGTTCTGTTGTTATGTTTAAGGAATCCTTTAGTATTGTCGAGCCCCATTGAGTAGAATGGTACCAACAAAATATGGTATTTGTTTAGATATGTATGTTTTTATATAATACTTTGGGAGATCCGGTACATTGAGCAAGTGAGACTCACAAGATGCAACCAGACAGTGAGGTTATTCTTCCAAGTACAATATAACCCATAGAACCCACTCCTTATACTCAGCATTTTTCTCATCTTTGGATAAACATAGGACAGGCCCCATGACTTTTCTGGCCACTCTTAGATAATGAGGAGTCATCTGACCAATTTGAGTCACAAACAATCTCATTTCAATTATTCTAGACAGAAGATATAAAAGGAAAGGGAAGTATTCCTTGGCTAAGTACACTTGTAGCTGGTAGCAGTGTTCTCTGCACTTGGCCTCTATTAAGGAGACTTTCTGTCTCATGAGGGACTTTGCAGGCATCTCTCATGAGCTGTTGCCTTGATGGCAACAATAGAATCATCCTGGTTTTTTATAGACAACACAGCTTAAAAGTATTTGAGCAAAAAAAAAAAAAAAAAAAGTGATGTCAAGGTCATAGGCACTTCTTCTGAATTTTGTTTTAATGATTTGAACTAATAGTAATGGAGGTAAAAGGTAAAATGGGCAGCTAAAATTTTCCTTTCAATCTATTATTTTCTATGTCATTAGGTGCAAAATGCAGCATCTCTACAAGAATATTCTCTGGAATGTGGGTTCCATGAATGGTTAACAGTAGAGAAAAAATAATATTTTTATGAAATGCTCATGGAATCTCTGGATCAAACTGTCGTCACCATTTAGGCAGTGCAGGAAATCATAAAGAATGGAAGGAGTGGGGAGGGGAATGGGAAATCCTGGGAGAACAATCAGAGGGGGAGCATTGGTCAGTGGGAGCTGGGTGCTGGAGTCAAGGGTAGGGTGTTGTATAGCATTTCTCGCCCTTACCTCATCTGTTAAGTAGAAATAATGGTTCCTACTTCAATGGTTATGGCTGCTTCATGTCAAGTCAAATTTCTTTATTTTCATTACTTATCTTTCTGTAATTTCTGAGTGTACTGTCACTAAGATTGATAAGGGACCTATATCAGAAATTCGAGTGGGCTCCTTTCACCCAGCCAGGAGTTGAGCTCAGCCTCAGACCTCAAGGGCAGTCACTGATGGCGTTAATGCCCCACCAATGAGGTTCTTTTGAGATCAGGCACCTGTGCAGGTGGCTCTGCTCCCCCTGGGCTACTCTGAGCCACACGCATCTTTGTGAGACCTCTTGCGATTACTGAGTTGAGCTTTCAGTCCTGAAAGGAATCCATGGAGCTATCCTACTCAGCAATTCTGTCGCTTGGTGTCTGTGTTTAAGCAGTTTGGGGGAAACAACAGGCCCTCCATTCACCTTCTACATCTGGCTGAATCATTCTCCAGTTGACTTTTTTTTGTTTTTGAGACAGAGTCTCGCTGTGTCTCCCAGGCTGGAGTGCAATGGTGCAATCTCAGCTCACTGCAACCTCCGCCTCATGGTTTCAAGCAATTCTCCTGCCTCAGCCTCCTGAGTGGCTGGGATTACAGGTGTGAGCCGCTACGCCTAGCTAATTTTTGTATTTTTAGTAGAGACGGGGTTTTGCCATGTTGGCCAGGTTGGTCTCGAACTCCCAACCTCAGATGATCCACTCACCTTGGCCTCCCAAAGTGCTGGGATTATAGGGCTGAGCCACTGTGCCCAGCTCAGTTGCCATTTTTAGAAGCCAAACCCTACTACCTCTTAGTCCTTTCTGGTAATTCAGCCAGCTCCTCTGATTGTCTTTCACCTGAGAGCCAAATCGGCCCACTCTCATGTTTTATTTGATCTTGTCAGTGTTGGGAGGGGATATATGTATACATACAAAAATTTAACATTAAGACACTTTTAGATTAAAAAATATAATTCAAGATTCTTTATTTATTTTTATTTTTTTCCTGAGACAGTCTGGCTATGTCACCTAGGCTGGAGTGCAGTGACATGATCTCGGCTCACTGCAACCTCCACCTCCCAGGTTCAAGCGATTCTCCTGCCTCAGCCTCCTGAGTAGCTGCGACTACAGGCACGCACCACCATGTCTGGCTAATTTTTTTTGTACTTTTAGTAGAGACGGGGTTTCAACATGTTGGCCAGGCTGGTCTTGAACTCCTGACCTCAAGTGATCCAGCCGCCTCGGCCTCCCAAAGTGCTGGGATTACAGGTGTGAGCCACCACACCTGGCCAGATTTCAAGATTCTTATCAAAGATATTTAACTGGAGCTGAGAAACTCTGCCCTGTCAGGGTCTGTTCTCTCTGAGTTTCCATGTGGGTGCCCACTTCAGTCATTAAGCTCATGGGCCCAACCTCTGTAGGCATTTGAGTTTGGGACCCCTGTCTTAGACTTTAAAGCACTAAGACCTAGGGAGTATTCACCCATTTTGCTCCTACCCCTGTGGCATCTTACCTATGCTCACAACTCCAAGAATCCCTGCATTTGTCCTTTTGTTCCAGTACAATGAAGAGTAGAAGAAAGAAGATACAAATGCACTTAGGAAACAGGCCTGGCTTTCCTAAAAGTCTTGGAGTGATTTCTTTCCTCTTCTTTCTTTCTTTAATTTTGTTCTTAGAGAGGAGGTAGAAGGCATTGTTGACACAAATCACCCATTCACAGGTTACTGACTGATACAGCGAGTTTCAGAATCTGCTCTCTTGGTTCTTCCAACACTTTCCATAAAGAAGTTACCCGCTTTGACCTGAATATATGCAGTTGCTACAATTTCAAACCAAAGCAGACACCAACAGCTGCTGTCTTGCCCTGGGAGGAGCCCCTGTGGGTGGAAGATCAGCCCTCCAGCTGTCTTGGCTTACATTTCTTCACCATCTGACTGGGATGGCTGATGCAACAGCAAGGCAAGTTGCTGTCACAAACACTCTGAGTAGTCAGTAGGGAAATGTGCCAGTGAGCATGTTCCCTTGGTCTTGAGGGTTGTCTGACTGTCATTTCTCTGAACTTACCTGTATGAGTATGTTCAACTCTACCTAACAGCTCTGCCTTGATTAGACAGACTGTAATGGACTGGTAAGTAATGGAAGAGTTCAGAGGAAGTGATGCTTTGATTGGAGTTTTGATTCCATTCATCTGAAGTTCCCTCAGTTGTATTGCTCTGTTTCGTTGGATTCTTCTCAAATGCTTTCACTCATGATAGCAAAATGGCAGCAGCTGCTCCAGGCATTACATTGGCATACCACATATCTACAGTATGATAGAGCTTGTCTTTCCCCAGTCTCTTCTTGAATAAAAACCCTGGGCTTCACTCTAATTAAACCAACTTATTTCACATGCCCAACCTGAACCAGCCACTGTGCAAAGGAAATCAGATGACCTTGATGGCTTTTAGCTGGGATCTTTCCTTGACACTGGTGGTAGAGTCATACTGCATGGCTGCTACCCCAGATGGCACATGGGCCGTTATAGTAAGTGTTCTAATAACTTCTTTAGCTAACTAGATTTGTGGGGGAATGAATTAATGTTTTTCTGAAACCCTGCTCTCTTCTGGAGATAATGCTGGGTGCTTTACCTACTTTGCAATTGCCACTACTGAAAATCAATTGTTCTTTTTTAATTTCTCTAGAAAACTCTAAAAGCTAAATCTTAGGTGATTAAGGAACGTGCTCAATGGGTCTTAAGATGTCCATTAGGCATTAACACTCTTATTGCCTTCAAAGGCCACAACTACAGAATACTATGTAAAAGGTCACAATATATCTGAGAATTTGGTGGGAGGAGTGCTATAAAGTAATGGAAAGATGATTCCAGGAGCGAGTTCCAACCCATCCACTAATCGTTTTACATTATCACAGTTTTGAACATATTTCTGAATTTCTCAGGGCATTGGTTTTTGTCATCTGACAAATCAAGAGCACAGTAATAGTATGACTCCATAATGTTGGGGTAAAGATTGGTATAATTAATACGGTATAAAAGCACAAAGAAGGTCCATAACAAAAGTAAGTATTATCTCACCTAGAATATTGGTATGCATTAAGCTAGGGCCACAAACTCAAAAACCTACAAGGACTGGCTAGTGACAAGTAGATAAAAAGGCCCTGGGGAAAGTTGGGGGATGGTAGAGGTCTATGTTATTGGGGAAGGCTGGGAGATGGTAGGGGTCTGTGTCATTGATATTTTGGACTTGATGTCCCTGACCCTGTGGAAAGGTGAGTGGCTGCTCAGCCAGTTGTAATAATGTGTGAATTTGGGCCTTCTTGCTAAATCTTATGACTTTTCAAGAGAAACTCATAATCTAAGTGTCTTAGTTTTTGCTTTCCTTTATTTTTTATTGAATACACTTTGTGGATCCAAAAAAACTACATCTGCCAGCCCAAAATAGCCCGTGGGTGCCTAATTTGAAACATCTGTTATTATATGTCTCTTGATCTACATGACCCTGGGGTTTTCTTATCTGCATCTATCAGAAGAGGGAGATAATAATAGTACCTGCCCCCACAGGATTTTAGGGAAGAAGAAGAAATGTTTCTACTGTGAGTTTCAGATCCCTTACTAGGGTGAGTTATGAAAGGAGACTAACAGAAGCCTGTTTCATGGAAACATCTGAGGTCAAGGAGCACACCTGGACACAGAACCCAGGATCAGGGTCGGAACCCAGGGCCAAGGATTTGCTTTCTCTACTCCCTGTGGCCTCTGTGAGCAAGTCTTTGAAGAGGTGCCAGCTTCCTTTTGCATCATTAATCCTGACTGATCAGACACCACCTGCTTATGCCACGTTCAGGGACAACTGTAGACAGTGACTCAGGAATCAGCGGGACCCACAGACCAGGCAGTCTGGTCCCAGTCCCCTCAAACAGAAACTTGCTCCTTTCCCACATCTGTGCCTGGGTGTCACAGTCCGAATGTCAGGTATTTAATGAGATGTTGAGGAAAGCAAAGCAGTTGCTGAGACTGAAATATCAGCATTTGAGCCAAGGCGGAACCCAAGGGATTAGGTGTTGGATTCTAGTGCTATGGGGTAAAGCAAGTTTTGCAAGGTCATTGCAGCCTGAAAGATCACTATGATTTCAGTTCGTGCTGGAAGTTTTCAAAAATTGAAATCCTGAAAAAAAAAAACTGCTAACATATAGAAGATGCTTAAATCTCCACTGTCCGATATGGTAGCCACCAGCCACACACAGGAACACTCAGCTCATTATCTATTATATAGGAAGGGTAATATTGTTTCACTTTGTTGTTAGTGTTTTACACATATTAGCATTCCATAATAATCATTGAATCAATGAATGAAATAACTATAACTTCGTTTTTTTCTCCTTGAAGAAAGGGTCATATGTTTCTTCTGCCATTTTTTTAAATCTCAAAAATAGGGACAGTAATGGTTGCTAACTAGGCTTTGATAGATAAGAAGCTCTATGTTCTCTTTAGAAAAATGATCCTCTTTAAAGTCAAAGTATCATAATTCCATTGTAAATGAGTAAGATGATAAATGCCTTTTAAGCCTACTTGTATGATCTGAAGAAGTATCAAGAGCTAAAAAGAAAAATAACATTTATAAAACACTTTTCAAGACACTTATGTGAACATTATCAATTTCTATCCTCCCTACAAGATAATGAGTTAGAGCAGGTAGTATTATCCTTTTGGTCAGTTTTTTTTTTTTTTTTTTTTTTTTTAAGTAAGCTGAGACTAGCCATATTTGAATTGTTTAGGGTGGGGTTTCTCAACCATGGGACTTTTGACATTTTGGACTGGAGAATTCTTTGTTGCACAGGACAGTCCTGTGTATCATAGTATATTCAGCAGCAACCTCAGCCTCTAGCCACCAGATGCTGTTTGTTCCCCCACTCCCCCTTGTGACAACTAAAAATGTTTCCAGACATTCTTGCCTCATCTAGGCCTCATGAATGGTATTTGAGCAAAGACCTGAGTTAAGTGAAGGAGCCAGCTGTGCAGAGAGCCTGGAGAAGAGCCTTCTGGGCAGAGGGAGTAGCAGATACAAAGGTTCTGAGGCTGGATCCATTTAGTGTGTTCAGAGGACCAGTAAGAAGGTCAATGTGGCTGAGGTGGAGTTGTATTCTTCTCACTTTGCCTCCTAGCCCCCATGATCAAGCACTTGCCTTAGATGAAATCTTTCCTTTGCTTAGGTGCATGTTCAATATTTAACAGGTGTCAGACTGAGACATTTTTAGAAGGCAAAGAATCTCAGATGTCTGACTGTGAGGGAGAAGGGAGTCACCCCAAGGTTGAGGGGAGAGAATTGATACAAATTGCAGCTGACACAGTACACAGGGGCATACTTGCAGTCAATGCTTACTGACTTCTGCTACACACCCACGTTCATGTTACCTCATTTTTGCATTTGTGCATCGATAACCAAACAGAAGGCGAGGCCTGGGCATTTGGCAACTTCATTTGTATGTGGAGTCAACCATGGGGTGCATTCGGATTATTTCTTTTCTTCTGCATTTCTTAATCTCTCTCTTGAGAGCAGTCACCTTGGTAACTACCCTGGTGCCTTGCACATGGACTATGGTGAGTAAAATGTGTTTTTATGACCCTCAAAATAAGAGCCAAATACTACTTTATCCATTAAAAATGAGATTCACTTCTCTATGTGGCATTGTGGCCAGGTTTTTAAAAAATACCTGGTTTGGGGGCATTCCCGCTAACATTCTTACCAACTTTGAGACAGTGCTCAGAGCAAGTGCACTGAGCTAAATCGAGATGAAAGAGGCAATAATCTGCTGCCTAGTAGAATGGCTTTTGCAGCCTGATGTTAAAGGTTTCAGGATTTGAAGGTTAATCTGCAGCAGCAGAAGGAAACTGTTAGTACTTCCGCTAGTCTGAAATTGACATCCCAGAAACCGGCCCTTTCTAATAAACAGAGAAACAAACTCCAGTGAATCCCACATGTCAAGCCTAGACCTAAGGGAAATTACTCTGTGGGCTTCTGTCTGAATCCACTAAAAAACTCATACTCCAGTCAACGACATTGTCATTAAAGAAAAGGGAAACGTGAAATAATCCTAGCCTCAGAAATCTCTACCATTAACAGAAGGCCTTCTTTTTCCTGAAAAGATAGAGTATGTGAAGGCCACATCTCTATTTTTAAAATAAAGCAAGAGAAGTAACATTTATGGAGCACACACAACATGCCATGTACTACACTAGGTGACTTGAATATGTTGTTAAATACTTTATAGAGGAGGAAACTGCAGATAAAAGTATCAAGTGACTTGCCCAAGGTCATGTAAGTAATAAAGAGCACAACCGGCATTTACGAATGGGTCTTCTCAGTGCTAAAGCTGCTACTGCAATACTCTGTAAAAGACATTTATAAATTCGAAGTTAAGGAAGAAAGTATTGAATTATTCCCTAAGCTAGTATCTTAATTATATAATTGCTTGTTAAACTGTACATTTTTTCAAGCTGTTCATATTCCCCTCTTATCCGGATACTCGGAAATGGCTTTTTTGTATTCCTGTACCTGGTCTCATTCTCACATATATATTAGTCATGGTTACAATATACAGTTTTTAAGACTTTCTCATTAGAAGATATGGTGTGATGAAAAAGGTGGCTGAAATGATGAAAGATGATTGAAGAGTTTTTCTCGGGTCCCCTTGGAATGAATAACACATGGCCATTTATGTCACAGTGTTTCCTTCTACCTGAGCCTGGTAATTTCCAGGGGTCATCTTGGTTAAATTAGTTTTTAATTCCAAAATATTGTTGCTGGAAATGTTCCCACTGGCCAATTCATATCTCCTGAATAATAGGATTTGAGCCAAAATTGAAAAGTGCCAGTAAAGTAAATGAGGAATATCTGCCATATAACCTTTGGAAACAAACTTTTTTTTTTTTCATAACGATTTTTACAAGTGTAAGAAGTTGTTACTGCAATGCATGTGTCTGACATTCCTAAGAAACAGAGGTACTCTTCAGGACATTCTCCAGCTAACTTGAGGTCTCCCTCACCAAACCTTTTAGACATGGACTGAGGGCTGTTTTATTCTATGCACTCATTTTGTGTATCTCTTTCTTCCACATTTTGAGTATAAGGGAGGCTTCCTGCTTGTTAATTTTTCTGACATACTCAAGTTGTACAGAATGTAGGAAAAAACTATTTCTTCCTTATACTCAAAGTATATAGAGAGAGCCATTAATAAAGGTGGAAAAAGGAAATGCTAGAGGGGCCTTCAAAATGGCTGTGTGGGCCATGCGTGGTGGCTCACACCTGTAATCCTAGCACTTTTGGAGGCCAAGGCAGGTGGATCACCTGAGATCAGGAGTTCAAGCCCAGCCTGGCCAACATGGTGAAACCTGTCTCTACTAAAAATACAAAAATTTAGCTGGGTGTGGTGGTACACGCCTGTAGTCCCAGCTACTGGGAAGGCCGAAGCTGGAGAGTAGCTTGAACTCAGGAGGTGGAGGCTGCAGTGATCACGCCATTGCACTCTAGCCTGGATGGCAGAGCAAGACTCCATCTCAAAAATAAAAAAAAAATCGCTGTGTGTGGAGATGCCCAGCATTTGCCTCCTCCACAAAAAATACAGGACAAAGCAACAGGTAGATAATCCCACACTGAAGGAGCGTCTTTGTGAGAACACTGAAACTCAGCAGGGAAGTGATATTGGAGCTCTGAGGCAGGGAAGGAGAGAGAAGTGAAGCAGCTAGTCCAGCTGAGATCAGTTCAGAGCCAGGAAAAACTCCCCAGTGCAGAGAAAAGGTGAGAGATCCCCAGCAGTTCATGTTCCCACCAGGGACTCCTGCAATCCTAGTTACAGAAGAGCTCCTCAGGTTTTGCAGGTCCTGAAACTAGTATAGAGAGATACCATGCAACAGCAGTGTTCCAGAGAGGGAGTCCACACTAGGTCCCACATCTCTCCAAAGACCCAAGCAACTGTAGCATGATGCCATTTTGAGATCCCAGCTCTCAGCAGACTATATCCTGCCCTGAGGCCCAAGAATCCCTGCATCTCCACATTCCTGGAGCCCCACTGCCATCCCTTCATGTCCACCCAGAAACCTGTGTGTCACAGTTTTCTGGGTGGACATGAGGAGCTAGTGGTGCATCTAGATCTTCAGAACTCTATCACACATGATGTCCCTACTCCTTGGGAAACAGGCAATGCAGGGTACGCCAGAAAGGCTGCCCCTGAGACAAAGGAGACTGAAGTGGGCACTTCCAAAAACATCAGAACTGACTGCCTGAAGCCAGTGCCACTGATAACAACCCTGCCTCCTGCAGTAGCAGAGCTGTTGTGCACCTGTACATGCCTTCAAGGGGTCTTGGGACTGGCCCTGCTGGATGTCCTTTTGAAACCTGAGGATCTCCTCTGCCTATCACCACCCCTGCTAGTGCCCATCTGTACTATCCATGAGCTAGAAGGTCACCCAGCCCCACCCACTGATGTCAATGCCTGCATACACTATTGCAGGCCTGAGGACAGCATCATCTCACCTGCCACTGCCTGCACTTGTTATACAGGGGGCTGGGAATAGACCTGTCCCACCTGCCACCATTGGCACCTGCACTTGCCTTCCAGGGGCATGAGAATAGACCCCTTTTGCCTGCTGCCACCACGTGCATGTGCCTCCTGAAGGATCTGGGGACTGGCCTGCCCAGCCTGCAACTACCACAGACACCCACCCACATGTGCCACTTGGGGGCCTGGGAACTGGTCCACTCAGCCAGCCTCCACCACCACCAGTGCCTATGTGTGCCCCTCAGGGTTCCAAGAATTGGTTCACTGCCCCTGTTACCACCACTGATACCACACATGCCACCCAGATGCTTGAGGACCCTCTGTCATCCAAGCCTACCTCTGCCACTGTCAGCTATCAGTACCCAAGCACACCACCTGGAGGCCTAAGGAGAAGCTCACTCATACTCACTACCACCAGAGGTGGTATATGCTGCCAGGAACCCGAAGATGCATACCCAGCCTGCTGCCATGATTATAAGTGTTTGAAGACTAGTGCAACTGGGATCCCTGTCTCAAGCAAAGCCTCACCACAGCTTTCACTAACAACTTCAGCCTAAGCCACTGACAGCATAACTTGCAGACACCATTCATTCTAATTAAAACTGAAGAAATCATATAGAGATCACACTACTGCACCTACCCAGAATCAAAGCCAAAGCATCCTACTCAATCAACACTATAGATGCATGTAGAGGAAAAAATCTTTCCCTATGGTAGCCAAGACATAAAATAAGAAAAATCCACTGTTACACCAGATGTGCAGATAACAATGTAAGTTCAAGAAATGTTAAAAAGCAAGAAAACCTGACACCTCCAAAGGAACACAATAATTCACCATACAAGAGCTTAACAAGGTCAGGCGTGGTGGCTCACGCCTGTAATCCCAGCACTTTGGAAGGCTGAGGCGGGTGGATCACGAGGTCAGAAGTTCAAGACCAGCCTGACCAACGTGGTGAAACCCCATCTCTACTAAAAATACAAAAATTAGCCAGGCGTGGTGGTGTGTGCCTATAATCCCAGCTATTCAGGAGGCTGAGGCAGGAGAATTGCTTGAACCCAGGAGGTGGAAGTTGCAGTGAGCCGAGATTGCACCACTGCACTCCAGCCTGGGCAACAGAGTGAGACTCTGTCACCAAAAAAAAAAAAAAAAAAAAAAAAAAAAGAAAGAAAGAAAAAGCTTAACAAAAAAGAAATCTATGAAATGCCCAAAAAAGAATTCAAAATAAAGTCAGTGAGACATGAAAGAAAAAAAAATACAAAGAATTCAGAAAAAATTCATAATCTCAATAAGAAATGTAACATATATTATATATATATATATATATATCAAAATGAATCAACAGAAATCCTGGAGCTGAAGAATTTAATGAATAAAATAAAAATGGAAAGCTTTAACAGTAGACAAAATCAAGCAGAAGAAAGAACTTCTGAACTTGAAGACAGGTTTTTTTTTTTTTTTTTTTTTTTTTTAAATAACCCAGTTAGACAAAAAATAAAAAGAAAACAGTGAAAAAAGTCTGCCTAACATATGGGACACCATGAATATTAGAATTTAGGGAGTTCCCAAAGGAGCTGGACAATGGCATAGAAATCCTATTTAATCATGTAATAGCTAAAAGCTTTTCAATTTTTACAAAAGGTGTAAGCATCAAATAGAAGCTCAAAACCCCCCAAATGGATTCAACCCAACAAGGTCTTCTCTAAGGCTTATTATAGTCAAATTGTCAAAAGACAGAGTGAGAATTCTAAAAAGAAAGAGAAAAGTCACATATGAGGGAATTCCTCATCAAACTAACAGAGATTTCTCCATATAAATCTTACAGGCCAGGAGAGAATGGGATGATACATTCAAAGTTAAGAAAGAAAAATAAAAAACTGCAGCCAAGAATACTCTACCTAGAAAATCTATTATTCCAAAGTAAAAGAGAAATATTTCTCAGAAAAGCAAAAACTGAGGAAATTCATTATCACAAGACCAATCCTCCAAGAAATGCTTAAAGGAGTCTTACATCTGGAAGCCAGAACATGATATCTACCATCATGAAAACACATAAAAGTATAAAACTCACTGCTAGAGCAGATACACAAATCAAAAAGAGAAAGAAGTCCAACATTACCACTACAGAAAACCACCAAACTGCAAAAATAATAAGAGGGGAATAATGGAACAAAGTGTATCCAAAGCCAGAAAGCAACTAATAAAATGACAGGAATGATTTCTATCAATAAAAACCTTGAATGCAAATGGATTGAACTTTCCACTGAAAACATATAGACTGGTTGAATGGATTAAAATTAATAATAACTATATGCTACCTACGAGAAACTCACTTCACCTGGATAGACACATTTAGATTGCAAGTGAAGGAATGGAAAAAGGGATTTCATGCAAATGGAAACCAAAAGAAGCAGGGGTAGCTTTTCTTATATCAGATAAAACACACTTTAAATCAAAAACTGTAAAAAGAGACAAAGATGATCATTATATAATTACAAAAGGATCAATTCAGCAAGAGGATATAATAATTCTAAATATACAAGCACCCAAAACCAGAGTATCTAGGTAATATATATATAAAGCAAATATTATTGGATCTAAAGAGAAAGATAGACTCCTATACAGTAATAGTTGGGGACTTCAACACTGCTCTCAGCGTTGGAAAGATCATTTGCACAGAAAACAAAGGCATCAGATTTAGATAGTATTTCAGACATAATGGACCCAACAGATGTTTACAGAACATTTCATTCAACAACTGGGTAATGCACATTTTTCTCAACTATACATAGAACATTATCCAGGATAGACCATTTGTTAGGTCACAAAACAAGTATCAACAATTGTTTTTTAAAAATCAAACATATCTTGCATCTCCTCAGACTGCAATGAAAAAAATAGAAGTTAACAACAACAGGAACTTTGGAAACTGTGCAAATACATGGAAATTAAACAACATGCTTCTGGATGATCATTAGGTCAATAAAGAAATTAAGAAAATCAAAAACATTTTTGAAACAATGGAAAATGGAAACACAGCATACCTAAACCTATGCGATACAGGAAAAGCAGCACTAAGAGGAAAGTTTATAGCAATAAGCACCTACACCAAAGAAAGTGGAAGGATTTCTAATAAACAACCTAATGATACACAACCTCAAGAAAAGCAGGAATAAACCAATCCCAAAATTAGTAGAAGGAAAACAAATAATAAAGATCACAATAGAACTAAATAAAATAGAAACTAAGAAAAAATACAAAGGATTAATAAAGTAAAAAATCTGATTTTTGGTGAGATAAAATGGATAAAGCACTACCTAGACCAACCAAGAAGAAAAGAGAGAGGACTCAAATAATTAAAATTAGAAACAAAGGAGACATTACAACTGATCCGACACAAATGCAAGGATAAAGACTATTATAAACAACCAAACTCTAACAAATTGGAAAATCTAGCGGAAATGGATAAATTACTGGACACATAAAATGAACAAAGATTGAACCAGGAAGATACAGAAAACACGAACGGAACAAAAATGAGTAATGACATTGAATCAGTAATTAAAAATCTTCTAACAAAGATGAGCCCAGGACGAGATGCCTTTACTGCAGAATTCAACCAAACGTACAAAGAACTAACACTAATTCTTCTTAAACTGCTCCCAAAAATAAAGAGAAAGGAATCCTTTCTAACTCATTTTATGAGGGCAGCATTACCCTGATTTCAAAACCAGACAAGGACACAAGAAAAATAGCAAATGACAGGCCAATATTTCTAATGAACATAGACTCGAAAATCCTCAACAAAATACTAGTAAACCGAATGTAACATATCAAAAAAAAAAAAATACACATAATCAAGTGGAATTTATCCCAGGGATTACAAGGATGGTTCAATATATGCAAATCAATAAATGCAGTACAGTACATCAACAGAATGAAGGACAGAAACTATATAATCCTCTCAAGAAATGCAGGAAAAGTGTTTTATAAAATTCAACGTCCCTTAATGATAAGAACTCCCAATAAATTAGGCATAGAAGGGACGTACCTTGACATACTAAAGGTCATATATGACAAACCCACAGCTATCCTCATGCTGAATAGGGAAAAGCTGAAAGCCTTTCCTGTAAGGACTGAAAAAAGACAAGGATGCCCACTTTCACTGCTCTTATTCAACATAGTACTAGAAGTTCTAGCAAGCGCATTCAGTCAGGAGGAAAAAATTAAAAGTTATCCAAACTGGAAAAGAGGAACTCAAATTGTCCCTTTTCACATAGAATGATCTTATATGTAGAAAAACCTAAATACTCCACCAGAAAACTCTTAGAAATGACAAACGAATTCAGTAAAATTTTTGTACAAAAATTAGAAGTATTTCTAAACACCAATAGAAAACTAGCTGAAAAAGAAATGAAGCAGTCTCATTTATAATTGCTACCAATAAAAAATGAAATAAAATACCCAGGAACAAATTTAACCAAGGAGGTAAAAGAGCTCTGCAAGAAAAACTATAAAACACTGATGAAAGAAATTGAAGAGAACATAAGCAAATGGAAAAACATCCCCTGATCATAGATAGGAAGAATTAATATTGTTAAAATGACCATATTACCCAAACTAATCTATAGATTTAATATAATCCCTATCAAAATACCAATGACACTCTTCACAAAGTACAAAAAACAGTCTCAACATTTGTGTGTAACCACAAAAGACTCTGAATAGCCAAACACTGAGCAAAAAGAACAAAGCTTGAGGCATCACACTACTTGATCTCAAAATGTACTACAAAGCTGTAATAACCCAAATAGCATGACATTCTTATAAAAATGGACACATAGACCAGTGTAGTAGAATAGAGAATCCCAAAATGGATCAGCGTATTTGCAGCCAACAGATTTTCAAAATATTATGTGCACTCCATAAATAAGTACAATCATGTATCAATGAAAATTTTTTAAAAACATAAACATAAATAAAGATAAAGGTAAATCTTTTAAGACTCTTCTAGAAGCATGTAGACTACAAACCTAACTAGAAGCACCCTACTTTAATTTCTAATTGGCTGCAGTAATTGTAAATTCTTACCAAACTATGCCCAACATGTTTTCATTTCATTAAGCAGTTATCTTATTAGTACCTGTGGTAGTCCCATTCCTAGCAAGATCAAGATTACCCTGAGCTCTTTGTAGTTGTGACATAACTCATTTTTATATAGCCACGTTTTCATCTTGAGCCTGGCATCTCATTCTGGGAGGGATCCTAAAAAATTTTTTAACTTGTTGCTTGACAACTCCTGATACTGTTCTATAATTGGGTTTCCCTGTCATCAGAAGTAGAGGTGACTGTCAGTCTGTGACAATGATGGCTATTGTTACCACAAAGCCTAAAAAAAGTCTTATGTCCTCTAAAAAAGAGAGAGAATGATTGCATGTCTTTCAGGAGTGTGTGATGGATATAGAGATTGTGTAACATGTATGAATCCTTTTTGAAAGTTACTTTTAATTCATTGTCATTCTCACTTGCATTTTGATAAACATCTCTTTCTAGAAACTACATCTGGGAATAAACTTCTCTAGTATTTTATTAGTTGGAGTTCTCCAGAGTTACATCATTCATAGAATACATATGTGTATGTGTGTGTATGGATTTTTATCATAAGGAATTGGCTCATGTGGTTAGGGAGGCTGACAAAATCCCACATCTGCAATCTGCAACCTGGAGACTCAGGAGAACTGATGGCATAGTTCCAGTCTAAGTCCAAATGCCTAAGACCCGCAAAAATCAATATTTCGATTCCAGTCTCAAGGCAGGAAAAAATCCTCCCCTACTCAAAGACAGTCAGCTTTATTTACCTATTTTAAATGATAAAATTAAATAGTATAGATATTTACTATGTACAACATGATTTTTTTAAAAATTATTATACTTTAAGTTCTGGGATACATGTGCAGAACATGCAGGTTTGTTACATAGGTATACACGTGCCATGATGGTTTGCTGCACCCATCAACCCGTCATCTACATTAGGTATTTCTCCTAACGCTATATCTATCCTAGCCCCCACCACCCGATAGGCCCTGGTATGTGATGTTCCCCTCCCTGTGTCCATGTGTTCTCATTGTTCAACTCCCACTTATTAGTGAGAACATGTGGTGTTTAGTTTTCTGTTCTTGTGTTAGTTTGCTGAGAAGGATGGTTTCCAGCTTCATCCGTGTCCCTGGAAAGGACATGAACTCATCATTTTCTATGGCTGCATAGTATTCCATGGTGTATATGTGCCACATTTTCTTTATCCAGTCTATCATTGATGGGCATTTGGGTTGATTGCAAGTCTTTGCTATTGTGAACAGTGCCGCAATAAATATACATGTGCACGTGTCTTTATAGTAGAATGATTTATAATCCTTTGGGTATATACCCAGTAATGGGATTGCTGGGTCAAATGGTATTTCTGGTTCTAGATCCTTGAGGAATCACCACACTGTCTTCCACAATGGTTGAAACGACATGATGTTTTGATATATTTATACATTGGAGAATGGCTGAATCAAGCTAATTAACATATCTATTACTTCAGACACTTAGTTTTAAGGGTGAGAACACTTGAAATCTATTAGCAATGTTGACCATACAATAACTTGTTGTTAAATATAGTCATCATGTACAATGCATCTCTTGAATTTACTTTACCTGTCTAACCCAGAATAATGTTTAACCAAATCTCTTGGCACCCCTTTGCCTAATCAACTTGACATGTAAAATGAGCCATCACAGCCACTATCCCAAATAAGGTTTAATAAATCATTATGATTGGGTTCCCTATGGATTTTTAATCTTCACTGTTACCAGGCTATCTGCCCTTCTTGTTGAGGGAATTACCCCAACTCTGGATATCTGAAACTTCTCAGATTATTAATGATTCCCTTTTTAAAGGATGGATTGGCTGGTAGGAAAGCTGTGGGTAATACCTGGCATGGTAGTTAAAAGGGCAAAGGGAGGGAATTAAGTCCTTTTAACCAATTTTGGTCTCTCAGTATTTAATGATTTGTTGATTTCCAGTTAAAATTATTAAACGACTATCTTACCCAGGGAAGAAAGCAGCCTCAATTTTGGCAAATTAAAACAATCACTTCTGCTTTCATTTTCTTCAGTAGGTTGTAATATTGAGTGAGTCCTAATTTTATTCACCTTCTGCTAGGAAATGTCTAAGACAAATTTCTGGCACACTCCCTTTCACATCTTTGTACCTGCCTCTCACGGCCTTCATCCCACATCCTCTTGACACTGGAAGCTCTGCTATGGGTCCTCTTTTCTTTTCCTCTTAGACAAGCCTCTCAGAGCATATCAAATCAAGTAAGTGCTAAATTGGCATGGCGGGGTGTCACTGCCATAGGAAATCAGAGAAGGTAGTTTGAAGATAAAGCAAGATGGGAATAAATGTGGGAGCTGGGGCCTGGAGGATGGATGGGGCCAGCAGTCACTATAGGGCTGCTGTTGAACATATACAGTGTTCCAGGCACCACATGAAGCAAATCAAATGTGCATGCATACACATAGCCTTCCAAGAGAGATACTGTTAGTACCTTTTCACACATGAAGAAAGACCCAGAAAAGATTCTTTGACTAGTAAGTGATGGGACCTGGACTCAAAAAACTCTTTTTTTTAATCCCCTCCTATTTTTTTTTTTTTTTTGAGGACTCTAACACTCACACCTATGGTTTGAACTTTTGGATTCCAAAACCTATGGTCTAAACAATAGTGTCTATGGATTTTGCTAGGCAAAGGAAGGAGGGAATAAATTCCAAAAAAAAATTATTTAAGTTTAACAAAATCACAGGATCTATTATAAGACAGTTCTTTACTAGAAAGTTATTTTTGGAATTTATTCTGAGGCATGAATTCATCAGAGTTTGTTTCCAAACTTTCACAGAAGTCTTAGAATATAAAATGTAAATCAGCTCCCGTCATTGCCCTGCTTAACGTATTCCATTGGTGTCTAGTCACACAAATAATAAAAAATCCAAATTCCTCGTGGTATCTTCTTCAAGATGCTCTATTGATCCTTCTTCCTTCCCACTTTTCTGAATTCATCTCCTATTCCTCCCTACCTTGTGTAGAGGGGGTGTGATTCAACTCTGATCACATTGGCTGATGCCATTCTTGGTGATCCTCAAATGTACCATACTCATTCTCCCTGTACTCAGACCTTCCCAGGCCTGGCTTCCTCACTTCATCTGGGATTCTTAGAGACAACTTATTGGACCTCCAGTCTTAAGTATATCCTACCCTCTCTCTTCCTACTCTGCCTCATTCTTCTTTAGGGCGCTTTATAGCTCTGCCTGTGTGATGCTCTGGGAAAAGTGGGGAGGAGAGAAAGTCATGTCTTTTTTCACTGAGCAATCAGGAGTCTCCACAGGTGCAGTGATTTCCGCATGCGGTATCCACTGTTCTGTTCTGAGAACACATGGATGAAATATGGGAAGGATATTAGAGCTTACAAGTGCAAGCAAGAGAACAGCAATAGATGTCTCCTCTGGACCACTACTGCTTCTCTTTAGTTAAGGCTAAACATAATTGCATAAATTGGTGACACACCTGAAAGACTGGGAGTATGTCTGATGCCATCTTTTGGAAGGCCAATTTGGACATTATAACTTGAGGAGAGGGCCAAATTAATAGGTAAGACAGCGCTAGTGCCAGGTGTACGCATACTAGCTTTCATATTTCTGAACTTATCCCTGGAAACCTTTCTCACAAGTATCAAAACGGCACTGGGCCCTTTGAAGCTGTAACTTGAAATCTCATAAAAGACACTGTCATGTACAACTGACAACTTTTCCAAATGAAAATAGAAGACAGGAGAGGTGGCTCCCTTGGGGTACATACCCCATGAAGGAATCTATTCTGGGAGGGATTTTCACAGTGTGTATTTTTAATATCACTCAGGCCAGCATCTTAATCGGACTTTACTGGTGGGAAGCACTCACCCAGCAGCAGGGATTGTGATGGTAGGAATTTAATCTGAACACTTGGCATAGGCCTAATCATATTTCACTTATTTTCTTTTATGTGGCTTCTTAAGATAAATGAGTCTCCTCCTTTATCAACAATAGCTCAGGATTTATAAGCTCACATTTTTCATCTAGGACAGGGAATGTAGCAACTTGCACTTTATTATCCATCTCTCATTTTCTTCCCGTCAGACAATCGATAAATTCCCCACCAATGTCTCTTTTTAAAGGTTGCTTACAAGTTTCTGTTTCAGAACAATGTGCTGGCATTGGTTTTTATCCCTAAGTCCTTTCTGAATCTGAGTGCTCATTGGGAGTGATTTGCAAGAGTTTTTCCAAGAATTTCTTTAGCAAAACTACAATTCACCCAAGAGGGCCTAAATGTAGCCTGTATGAGTTGTGGGCATCACTTCCTGACAAAAACCTACATGAGTTGTTGTCCAGGTAGCATCTCATTCCTGTGCATCATAGAATAGAATTCTTTTACAAGTACAAATGACCTTAATGTTTCTTCTGTCCAACTACCTATTATGGGTGAGATGAAACAGATTCAAATAGGACAGGTTTGTCTGTGTTTGACCTGACAGCCAGAGGAACTGTTGAGAACAGAAGTGCTATATTCTTCCTGTAATTCCATGGAATGTGCTTATAATTTCTCAGAAACATCCCTTAAGGATGATCTTTAATGTGTAGAAGTATACAGCAATTCCCATGCTGACCTAACTGTTTTCTTGGATGGCCAGCAAGCAGAGTACTGGGCTGCGTAAGTAGTATCTAGGGTTTGTTAACTTTTAAGCCAGACTCGACTGTATGTGGGAGGTGTAATTGTGATTCTTTTTGGCTAATAGAGACTTTTCATCTGTAAGTCAAAATGTACTATCTGTCTTCTCTGAGTCGGGGATTATGACATGAGATTAGGATAAAACAGATAGCTGTAATACTTGCCCCTCCCTGCTGGAAGATTGCTGTGTAGACAAAGAAAAATAATAGGAGAATATAGCCAAATATGCAGTGGTTCTTAAAGCATCAGCTCTGAGTTGACCCTGAATTGCTTGCTTTTCACTAGCCAAACCAATCATATGTAGGGAAATATAGTCCTACACATGCCCAAAGAAATAAAGAGCAGCAAAGTGCTTAAAATGGTGACTGCTTTGTCATCTGTATCCCTGAGTGACTACCCTCTTAACCCTCCATGGGCATGTAGCTTGGGTGAAAAATAAATGTTTGTTCTTCAAAGCCACTGAGATTTGTGTTGTCTGTTACTGTAGTATATCCCAACTTCTTTTGACTGAGCAGCATGGATTGTCTGATTTAATCCTCAATTTAGAAGTTAGAATTGTCTTGACTACGTAAATGTTCATATGAAGAGCATGAGCCTTAGAAAGCGTACCAGGAAGTGGTTGAAGCAGCACTCTAACACTTGCAGTCTGGTTCCAAAGCTTATATTCTTAGCCAGGATATTAAAATGCTCTCCCTCGTTTTCTTTCTCACTCTCCTGCACTCTCTCTCTCTCTCTCTCTCTCTCTCTCTCTCTCTGCGTGTGTTCTTCTGTTATTGAGGAAAGATGGTTTCTAAAGAGAATCAAGGAAGACTCCCAAAGAAATTGATAGCTAAGCTCTAAAGGAAAAGTAGAAACTAGGCAATTCAGTAGTAAAGAAAATTATACTTATTCCCTCTCTGTGTTGAGGCATGGGTAATCCCCATTGTTTGATTTACTCACGCCCAGAGAAAGTGTAGAGCAAAGAATTCCTGTTTATACATTACTGTTGGAAACCATGAAATATGGAAAGCATTCAAATACAATGGCCTTGAATCTGTAAATCATTAAAAGCAACCTTATGAGATTTTATAAAACAGATGAGAAATTACAGTTTTGATCCACTGAGGCAGCAAAGCAATTTGACAGTTACATATGTATAATGCTCTCTAGCTCTCTCACTTGTGCGCGTGCTTTCTCTCTCTCTCTCTCTCTCTCACACACACACACACACACAGAAAATGATCTAACCAATATATGAGCTTTAGCATTATGGTAACTAGAGAGTAAAAAGGAAAAGAAAGGAAACTATATATTAACATCATTGGCCAAAGAAAGAAAATATGAACGAAGTTGAGATTACATGGCAAATGACAAAAAGGATCAGCAGCTGTGACCCAGACACTGATGGGGTCATCTGGTCCTTTCCCTTGCTGTTGGGTTAATCATGCAGGACTGATGATGTCACCGTTTATAATGCTCCCTAGAAAAGAAAGCCAGTAGCTGCCTCAGTAGCCTGTCACATAGTCTAATTGCCTTGATCACAAAACATTCTCTGTGTCTTATTCAGCTCTGGCTTGCTTCACTCTAGACACCCTTCATCAAGTTGGACTTTAATGGAAACAGAACGTTGCCCAGCATGTTCCTTTAGTAAACCCACACAAAGTGTGCACAAATAACAGTCATGTTTTACCCTCTTTAACATACTACCTCTTTCCCCAAGCACTTATCTCTAAATCAGTTCTCTTTATGGATTCAGGGAATTCCAAAGCACGTCATAGCATGTCTCTTGAATTGGATTGCTTTTTTTTCTGTGAACGTCATATTTCTCTTACAAAAAAAAAAAAAAAACACCTCGTTAGGGTTATATTTGTATGCTGTAAGATTGACTCATTTTAAGTATACAACTGAGTGATTTTTAGTAAATTTGCTTTTATGCAGCTACCACCACAATCTGATTTTAGAGTATTTCTGTCACCTCAGTAAAATCCCTCGAATCCATTTATAGTCTTCTCCGCCCTAGACAACCACTAATCTACTTTCTGTCTCTATAGATTTTCATTTCTGGACAATACATGAATGAGATCATGCAATATGTGGTCTTTTATGTCTGTCTGCTTTCAGTTATCATAATTTTTGAGGTTTGTCCATGTTATAGCATGTACCTGTATTTCATTTCTTTTGATTGCTAAATAGTATTCCATTGCATGGATATAGAATATTTTACTTATCCATTCATCAGTTAATAGGCATTTAGGTGGTTTCCACATTTTGGCTCTGATGAATTATGTTGCTGTGAACATTTATGTATAAGTGTTTGTGTGAACATACGTTTTTATTTATATTGGGCAGAGAGCCCAGAGTGGAATTGCTGGATCATATGGTAACTCCGTGTTTAAATTCTTAACAGGCAGGCCCTTTTCCAAAGTGACTGCAACATTTTATGTTCCCCTTAGTGGTATATGAAAGTACATGATATTTCCAGGTTCTTGCCATCATGTGTGCTACGTGTGTGTGTGTGTGTGTGTGTGTGTGTATGTGTATGTGTTTATGTGTTTTGGAAACTCCCAAAAGGAAGGAATGCAATCTGCAACTCTTCTTGCCTTTTCGTCTTAGTGTTTAGCACAGGGCTGGGCACACAGTAGAAGCTTAATAGTGTAGCATGGCATGTGATGGTTAAGGAATTTTGTTTTGGAGTTAGACTGCCAGGTTCTGTAAGCATTGGTTTTCTCTACTGTTAAATGGGGCTAATAGTGCCTACCCTTTTTAGTTACAATGAGGGTTAATGAATACAGTGCAGACCATGTGCTTTGTCTAACGCGTATGGAAATGGTAGCTTTTGTTACTCATGTTTTAAAATTCACATGGATGAGCACTTTCTGAACAATCTCTAGCCGATTTCTTTTTTTCTCTTGCAATTAGATATTTAGGTATAGGCAATGTACTGAGCCCCCAAGATGAAATAATAAGTAGCACCTTATTTCTCATCTCAAGAAATTTGAAGTTTAGTGACTGAGGACATAGATATAAATGGACAATTACAATGTATGTGATATAAGATATGAGCAGAAATATGAGATGAAAGATATGATATGAAAAATCCCATGTGACCCAGAAAAGACATCTAATCATAACCAAAGGACTGCAGAGAGGAGCAGAAGCATTGGGAAGAGTATTGCTGGCCAAGGGAAGGGCATAAAACATTTACAAAGATTCAAAAAGGGGAGGGGTTTGGAAAAATTGCGAGCATGTTCTGTGACAGAGTGAAGGGAGACCGGTAAGAGACTAGGATGGAGAAGTGAGCAGGTGCAGTCATGAAGTGTGCTAAAGATTATATTAAGAAGTTTGTTCTTTTCTTTTGTTGCTATCATTCTGTTAAGTGTTAATGTCTGAGGAGCTACGAAGAAGATGGTTCAGTATTCTAAAGGTAGAAGTGACCATTTATAAAGAGAAGAAAGCTAGAGCAGTCTCAAACTTTATAATAGTCGAATACATTATTTCTCAACTTTAAAAAAAAATTAACCCTCCCTTGCCCCAGAGAATGTTTAGACATTTTTCCCTATTTGTCACCCCATGAAATGTCGATATTAAAGATATGCTGCATATGTACTTTATATGTAAACATATTTAGGCTTTCTAAATTAAAAGAGTAAAAATTTTGTATGCGTCCAACCCCCCAATAATTAATTTTTGTCCACTGGGGGCTGTATCCCCCTGGTTGGGAATACATACTCTAATAAATTGGAATCTCATGTAGGAACAGGTATAGATGTTAACATTTTTGTCATTCCCCACACTACCTTTCAAAATACAACCATTTGGAATGAATAAATTCTGTCACTCTACAGATATTTTCTGAGCGCATAATAATTGCCAAGCCATTTTTTAGGAACTGAGACTACAGCAGTGAATAAAACAGTCAAAAATCCCACCCCTCATGAAGATTACATTCTACTGCAATCTGTATATAATTGTTTTGGATCCAAACCAAGTAATGCCTGCCATTAAAACTGCTCCAGCAAGAGATTATCTTGAGACTTGTTTGTTAAAACAGGTCTTGGCATTACTTTCAAGCCTGAAAATGTGCTGACAGAATTAAAAACCCGTCCAATGCTGATGCAGGGGGAAAATCAAAGGAGCAAGAAAATCGCACTTTTTTTCTGTTAATAGATTTTATTAGTGGGAAAAACTGTTTTACACACCTATCAAAATATCAAAAATTGCACAATAGGTCTGCAACCTACTCATCTAACAACGACCAACGTTTGCCTTTTTCTGAATAAACATATGCACTCTGGGTGTTTTTCATCAGTCTTTAGTATCCCTAGGAGTCCTGGGCATGGGGCGGATCCTGGAACAGATCAGAAATGCCTTTTCAGCAGTGTCCAGTGGAATGTGAAAAATAGCACTTTCTTAAAATCAACATAATAGCAATTTCCATCCCCATCCCACAAGAACCAACAGGAAGTCCACGTCACTCAGAATTTTGCAGACATCCTGGTATCTTACCCTGCACCAGTGGGAAGGCCTCTGGGAGCACTGATCACTGCCCTGCACTGGCCATGCTGAGAGAATGGCCACCTACATGATCCCTGGAGGTCCAAATGTTCTGCCTCTCCTGGAGAAGGGAAACTTTGGCGAGGCTGGAGTGCTACAGCCATTTCCTTTGGAAGCCTTAACCCCTCCTCGGGACACTGGCAGGAAAATGGTCTCTAGAATTCACGGGAGGCACAGATCTTTTGTCTACTGCCCCCCACCCATCCCAGTGGGAGAATATCTCCTCCACTTCTTGCCTCCTTTCCCAGCACATCTAGCACAGTTCATTCAATGAGATTCAATGAGATTATAAAAGACAGGAAACCCCACTGCAGTTAGGCTACTGCTGCTTCATTCTCAAAATCTCTAAGCCAAGTAATGACAAAGCCCAAGAACCTGTCTGAAATGGTGACAAAGGGAGTCAGGGGAAGGAGACAAGAGGAAGAAAACAAGTTATGTGGAAAGAACCAATATTTCAGTCTATTGCGCTGCTACTCTGATTCTCTTTATTCTGTACTCATCTTCTATAGAAAACTATTAAAACAACTAACCAATCTGGGCCAGATAAAGAATGAAAAGCAAATGCCATAGTCTTTGCACCAGCCCAGAGGGTAATTCCCCAGATTCCACCTACCTGTGCCCCCTTCCCCTGCCCCTAGCCTCTGCCTTTTCTGAAAGTTCTAACTGAGGGCTTAGGGGAGACTCTAAATTAGACTGAGAAAGTAATAGGATTTGCTCTTGTGTTTTTGAAAACTCCTATTCTGAGTTGAGTACCGCACCCTGTATGGGAATAGTCACTGGTGATCCTGCGATGAGCAGGGCTTTCAGAATTCTTGTCTTCGCTGGGATTACAATGGGAGCCTGGCCTCCTCCTTCTGTCTTAGATGTACTTTACAGACTTCAGGATCATCACTGGACAGCGCTCATTCAGTCAAGACCTGCTATCCCCCTATTGGGCTACTATAATTTTCATGCTTGCCTTAAGAAAATTAGTTTCACCATTTAAAGAGGAAAATAAGATATTGTCTGTTTTTCTAATTACTGTTTCTAATTGTTCTAGGAATGATATTCTCTCTTTTTTTTTTTTTTTGTTTGGTTTTTGGGACGGAGTCTTGCTCTGTTGCCCAGGCTGGAGTGCAGTGGCACAATATTGGCTCACTGCAAACTCTGCCTCCTGTGTTCACGCCATTCTCCTGCCTCAGCCTCCTGAATAGCTGGGGCTACAGGCACCCACCACCACCCCTGGCTAATTTTTTGTATTTTTAGTAGAGACAGGGTTTCACCATGTTAGCCAGGATGGTCTCGATCTCCTGACCTCGTGATCCGCCCGCCTCGGCCTCCCAAAGTGCTGGGATTACAGGCGTGAGCCACCATGCCCAGCCCTCCCTCTTTAATTTTTTTAGAGAGAGGATTTTGCTCTTTCCCAGGCTGGAGAGCATTGATGTAATCATAGCTCACAATCCTGGGCTCAAGTGATCTTCCTGCCACAGCCTCCTGAGTAGCTGGGACTACAGGTATATGTTACCATACCAACTAATTTTTATTTTTATTTTTTAGGATGGTATCTTGCTATGCTGCCCAGTTTGCTCTTAAACTCCTTGCCTCAAGAAATCTTCCTGCCTCAGCCTCTCAAAGTGCTGTAATTACAAGCATGAACCATCAGTCCTGGTCCAATTCTCAATCTTCTAAATACCTCTTTTACATCTTATTGGGAGAGAAGTTGTAGTTCCTAATTGACCTCAAACTCCAATCTTAATAATACCCAAAACTTCTTATGTAGTAAAAGATGAAATGTTTTTTAATAAAGCTCATATCAAGGTACTTTGATGGGTTTCCAATCCAGCCTCATTGTTCCAAAGCTAGAAAGGAGACTATAAATGTGGGAACATATTATTTAGTTGGTGACTCTAATCAGTTTTGTGTTATATTTTGGAAATAGAGGCCAGTAACAAAAATTCACACTATTTGATAGACCTTTCCCACCAAATACCATTAGGCAGACCGAGAGACAGGGAAGTAGGCTAGAAAAGTGAAACTGATCATAAGCAAGAATAGGAAATCCTGTAAGTGGAAAAATGATGGGGATTTGGCATGTTTGAGGTGAGTTAGCTGCCATAAGATGTATATGAGGAAAGATTAAATTACTTATTGCAAAAGAGTTACTTGGCTTGGATTAGATTTATATTTCTTGAACTGTGGTCGTTTCTGTACCTCCTTCACTGTTTTTATTTGGCTGGGTACCTCCTATGTTATAAACTGTCTTACAGGATGGGATTTAGAGGGGCCTTCTCTTTTTGTAACTCGTCATGGCACACAGCACATGATTATACACACAGTGGGCTCTCCAAAAATAGCAGAAGATTCCTTCTGATTATGTCTGGGGGTGGGTGAATGTTGTGTTGTAGTTAGGATCCCTTCGACTCTGAGAAGGTGTAATAAAAGTATCTATCATAAAAATGAATGGTGTTAGGCTTAGGATTAAGGATGGTTCTATCTATTAATATCACTGACTGCAGTTACCCAGTAAGCTAAAATCAAAGTGACATTAATAAGAAACCCAGCAGGAACCATAAGGGCATTACTTTTGTGTATATTGAGGATTGGGTTACCCTTAGCTATTATCCTAATGACTACGAATGTAAAGTCTGAATTGGAAACAGTTGAGTTCAAATTCCTAGTTCTGTCATTAGCTAGCTATATAATTTTGAGCAAGTAACTTACTAACAAATTTGCTCACTTGTAAAAGAAGGAAAATAATAATTATCTCATAAGAACATTGAAGAGATGACATGAGATAATTTATGTATAGCACTTAGTACATGAGGTATAGTGTACATTCTAGGTAAGTGTTGATTTTTAAAATAAATCACCAAGGAAAACTTTATTTTTTGTTACTTAAGAGTTTTTTTTTAATTACTATTGGTGTTTCTAGAAGATTTTAGAAAATTAGAATGTACAGCCCAGTCATGGTGGCTCATGCCTGTAATTCCAGCACTTTGGGAGGCTGAGGCAGGTGGATCACCTGAGGTCATGAGTTTGAGACCAGCCTGGCCAACATGGTGAAACCCCATCACTACTAAGAATGCAAAAATTAGCCAGGCATAGTGGTGGGCACCTGTAATCTCAGCTACTCAGGAGGCTGAGGTAGGAGAATCACTTGAACCTGGAAGGCGGAGGTTGCAGTGAGCTGAGATCACACTGTTGCACTCCAGCCTGGGTGACAAGAGCAAAAAAGCTCTGTCTCAAAAAAAAAAAAAAATTATAAAGTACAGATAAGCAAAAAGAGGAAAGTAGAAAGCACTCATAACTCAGACATACAAAGTATTAAATATTAACATTTGAGTATAATTCCCCCTAGAATTTTTCTCCAATAAAATTTCCTTGAGAATTTTTGTTATATGTACATGAGTATATGTGGGTGTGTGTGTGTATATATATATATATATATATATATATATATATGTCAATGTGTATATATATTAAACAGTTATTTTTCAGTGGGCTCATTACATATTTCCTCAACTGATTGTTTCAGTCAATAATGCATCATGAATATTTGCCTGCACTCTTACATATTCCTCTGCAAGAACTACATCATATTCCCTATAGTGTGTTCAATTATTGTAACATGCAACTTTACATAGTTTTTATTTTTTCTCTTATTAACTGACATGGTGACGAACAACTCTAAAGCTAAATACTTTCACATTTACACAGTTATTTCCTTACGATGAAATCCAAGAAGTAACATAATAATTTTCAGCAACAATGAAGGAACTGAGGTAAATCGTGAAAAGCACAGAGTATAGTAAGTCAGTCATCAATAAATGTTAAGGAAAGGGGATATATGTAAGTAGTGTAAGAAAAGAAGGAGTTGTTTGGAATAGACTTGCTATAATACCCCAAATATAATCTTTTATTTAAGAATGTTTAGGAGTTCTTGTTTGTTTAGTAATCGTATCATGCATGTAATCATATGCGTGTAAACATATCAATGTCTTCTGACCTCAATGGGAAGAAATGTCAACATAGCATGCAGACAGATGAAGCAGCGCAGTCAGTTTATCGAAGTCAGGTTGAATATGTGTTTCTGTGAAAAGGTTTGCCTCTCCAGCTATCAGAAATGATCACTAATAATGCAAAACAAGAGCTAATCCATCTGTCTATTTTGGGAGGGTTCGAGGTGCCTTTGGACATCCGCATTGCCGTGTTTCCCTTTGTTGCAGGTTCCACCTGCTGCAGGTGAGACACGTGCCATGTCCCCCAGCCTGTTGCCTCTCACACTGGGTTTGATTGCCCAGTTGGGTTCTCTTGGCAGAGCTGTCTCCATGAGTGCCAGAATAGAAATATACAGATGGCATAGAGGAACAATTTTGACCTGCAGGATCTGTTCTGATCCACAGGCTGAAGTGCATTTATGAAGACAGGATGGGGAAAAGTACCCATTTTCCACTTGGTCATTCAACCCCCTGTGTGGCATCCATACTGAACGTGTTGAGGTATACAGCACAATAGCAATGGCAGACAGAAGAAGCTGCAGGAGGCTGAAATAACATAGATAACATAGTGAGGTAGGTTGGGTGGAGACTGTGCAAACTAGAGACTGTATGGTGTGTCCAGGCAGGGGCGGCTGCTGCTCACCTCAGTGGATGCTGGCAACGTAACAGCAGGCCCAGCATGGCCATTCCTGTTTCACTGGAGAAACTAGAAACCTGGATTTTTCATTCATATATTTTGCTTTTTAAATGTTATTAGAAAACAGAGGAATACATAAGAAATAACAAAGCATGTTCATAGTGTGTGTGTATATACACCAAACACACACACACACACACACACACCCCTACCCCTGGGAGGAGAAAAAACACGGTGGAGCAATGAAAATAGAAATTTGACTTCTTTGAATATTTGTTATTTTGTAGATTTGACTTTGGTGCCACATACATAGTTTACATAAAAGAAAATTGGACTTTAAAAAAACAGTCATGAAAAAATGAGAAGAAAAATTGAAACAATTCAGCCTCCCTGGGTATCATGTTAACAGCATAACCCCACAGAAAGGAATTATTTCAAGTGACTTTGAAATTCCACAGTTTGACTGTATTTTCCTAGTAGGATATACTTTAAAGATTTTTAAAAACTAACAAATTTTACATTGATTTTTATTAACCATAATGTTAGTACAATAGTGACATTGGTGTTCTGAAACTATTCTGTGTGTGTTGTGAGTTAAATGAATAATCATGTTGGTATTATTCAGAAAAGGGATTTTTGGTATGAAAGAAAGGTAGTAACATTATAAAATCCAGGAGATAAAATGGAAATCTTCAAGTCCTGAATTTGAGTTAAAGTTTCATGTTAAATCATGTTATTTTTACTAAACACACACTCACACACACACACAGACACACACACACACACCCCTTATTTTCCAGTTCCGTCCGCAGAAACAAAGGCTCATCCAGTAACAATCAGTATTCAAAGCTCCCAGTTGTGGTTTCTAAATACCATTTCCCACTGAAATGAACCAGGGCTTCTTACTAAAAATGGCTGATTGCAGTCCTGGGGAAGGACTGTAGGATCACCCTGTAACATCTCATAGAGAAGCAAAAGGGCCATCAAAGACTACGTGGCTATATTAAAAGGGTGCAGCAGTCAACTGGAAAAAAACCCTTGACTGAAGTAGGGAAATTAGAAAATTATAGGGATAATAATTGGGCTAGAATGAAACAAATGAAAATGTTTATAGTCATAGTTAAAAAGTAAAAACCTCATTGGTTTGGAAGATACTAGGTGGAAGATGTTAGATAGCCAATTCAGTATTTTAAAGATCAACAATAAAGGAGGGAAAATCCAACTCTGTCAATTCCTCTACAAACTAAAATTCAGAGTTAGCAAATAGTTGATGAGATGAACTTTCTCTGGCTAGTATTCCCAGCTAGTAAATTAAGAATAATAGAATTAGGATATAACCAGTTTGAAACCTCTAGTGAAATCATGGGTCCTCTAGGCAAAGACTACATTGGCTGATAACCTCATGGCAAAAATTGTTATGTGCCTACTGATAGAAGAACCTCCCATGAAGTAAGTAAAAAATTGCGCCTCACTCCACCTCAAAGATGTTCATGTATAATCTCAGAACCCATGAATGTATTATATTACATGGAAAAGGGCAATTGAGATTGCAGATAGAATTACAATTACTGATCAGGTGATCTTAAAATGGAGAGGTTATCCTGGGTTATCCAGATGTGCCCAGTGAAATCTCAAGGGTCCTTGAGAATGGAAGAAGGATACAGAAGATTCAGAGTCAAGAGTGGTTTTACATGAGAAAAACTCAATCAGCCACTGCTGACTTTGAAGATGGAAGTGAGGCCATGAGCCCAGGAGCCAGAAAGAGAAAGGAAATTGATTCTCCCTTTAGAGCCTCCAGAAAAGGACATAGCCCTTCTGACACCTTGATTTTAGCCCATTGTGTCCTGGTCAGAATTCTAACACACAGAACTGTAAGATAATAAGGTTGTGGTGTTTTAAACCACTAAGTTTTGTTATTTGTTACTGTGACAATAGAAAACTAATATACCCCATTTCCTAGGATATAGTCTTTCTAGAAAATTGCATCTGAATCTGATCAAGCCTCTTGATGTAACTACCAATTTACAGGAAACATAACGAATAGAGGAACACATTATATGAAATTATGGGAATGTTCAGCAAAATCTAAACTCTGGGAAATTCCATTTTTAAAATGACATTTATCAAATAAAGTATATGTGTATATATTTGTATATGTGTGGATGTATGAGAGAGAAAATGACTGACTGGAAATTTTAGGAACTGGCCTAGTATTTTATGTAGCAAACAATTGCTGTAAGGAACTTAATTCAAATAAGCAAATTATAGAGAGAAAAAAACATATTAGTGAAATTTGAACATGGACAATAGGTGTTTGATATTAAGGAATGATTGTTACTTCTGGATTGTGTGTGTGGTAATGGGATTATTGTTATATTTAAACAAAGAAGGGGAGTGTAGGTGGCAGTAATAGATAATAATAGCCATAAATTGATAATCGCTGAAGATGAGTGATAGGTACATATGTGTTTGCTATCTGTTCTTTCTACTTTTGCATATATTATTTCCGTAACAAAATATTTTTAAAAAATATTAGCAACTAACTTGACTCTTTACATGTTTTGTGACTCAAACACACACGTCCAAAGTCTGGATTTAACCAACAGACTGCCAGCTTGAAATCTCTGTAGAGTTCTGGAAATAGGATCTTTCACTTTTCCTGGAGAATTATCCTTTTCTCTCCTCCTACTTACCTTCTCCCTCCATTCTTTCTGTGCTGCCTAGCAAAATTGCCCCCCACCCCAATCTGTGTGTGTGGATGACTAGGGGGCATTACAAATTGCTTGGAATAGAATTTTCTCAGAAAGAGTGAAAAAGATAATATGCATAACTGCATTAAACAATACCTCCTAATATTTTACATGTTTTTTGAATACCCGTCCTCATTCCACACCTTCAAAAATTAAAAAAAAAAAAGGCTATAACTACGTTTTTTACAGCCTGAGGTGTTTTGAAATTTTGGCTAATCATATCTTCCTTGTTATCTCTGTGTTCTATTTCAGGATGGAATGGGAAACCTGAGGATCACAGAAAAAGGTCTAAAGCTAGAAGGAGACTCTGAATTCTTACAACCTCTCTACGCCAAAGAAATCCAGTCCCGACCAGTAAGTTTCTGCTGAGAGAAGGAGGCATTATTGTTGCTCTAGAATCTAAATCTGGAGGAATTGATCTTGCTATCAGCTGAGTACAGAGAATTGGGGTGGGGAGTAATACTGGTATTAAGATGAATTTGCTTTCTCTTCTGAATCTTTGAGTATCATCACAGCAGTGGTACTGTAAGCAAGTGAGATGACCTCTCTGAGCCTCTTTCCATTCCTGCTCAACCCCTGCTACCCAGCTTTATAGATTGTGCCACAAATAAGGCAAAACAGCAAATGTGGAACAGCCATAAATAATATATGAATGCAGATAATATTGCTGTTTATTTTATTCATCAAGTACTTCAAAGCCATTTTTAGAAACACAGAACTGAAGAACTAGAATTTTGTTTTTCATTAAGACTTTACACTGTGTAGCCAGTGTTGGTTAGGATCAATTCAATATCAAGCTGAGTACAGTGGCTCACACCTGTAATTCCAGCACTTTGGGAGGCCAAGGTGGGCAGATCACCTGAAGTAGGAGTTTGAGACCAGCCTGGACAACATAGTGAAACCCTGTCTCTACTAAAAATGCAAAAATTTGCCAAGTGTAGTGGTGAGCACCTGTAATCTTAGCTACTAGGGAGGCTGATGCAGGAGAATTGCTTGAACCCAGGAGGTGGAGGCTGCAGTGAGCCAAGATCACGCCACTGGACTCCAGCCTGGGCAACAGAGCAAGGCTCCATCTCAAAAAAAAAATTAATTCAATATCAACAGCTACATTCTGAAATGGTATTTAAATAATCACTACAGAGTGTGTACCCTGTTCTAGGCACATTGCTGTTCTGCATGCAGTATCATTATCTAATTTAGTTCACAGATTTGTCCACTGAGGTGGGGACTATTGTTGCCTCTATTTTATAGATTAAAGAATTGAGGCTTGGAGAAGTTTCATGTAAAAAGCTTCATACTTGTAGCAGGACAAAGATTTCAAGCCTTCTCTGTTAACCATTATTTCCTACCTAAGCTTTTCCTTTCATTCCTTCTTTATTGCTGTAGCAGTGATTCCTACATACATACCTTGCCTTTGTTAACCACTGTTATTCCAAGTTGTGTGGGTTTCTTTTAGTGGTTTTATTTTTCGATTGGTTGGTTTCATTTATTTAGTCTTTATTTTTGTTTTTTAGTGGAGTGGTAGAATTTGCTGGTTGAAAAGGATTATTAATGCATTTGCTCTGCCTTGGATTGATCCCCCTTCACCTGTGAGCAAGGCATAATGTGAAAGTTCCCCCAAAGCACTACTTGCATTGTGTGCATTGATTAGCATAATTATTGAAATTCAGCAACTTGGTGCAGTGGCTGATTTTATCTGAATGTTATACAAAATCTTGAATTGTATTAAACTGGTACCACTACTAAATTTCAAATAAGTTTACTTTCTTGTGTGCTTAGTAAAAGAGAGGGAACAAGGATGTTAAAACTATCAAAAATAGCAAATGAATTTAGCCATACAATGATTATTTATAAAATGTAACTGGAACCTATAGCATATTGTCTTGGGTACTTAAAGTACACAGAGTATTGTGAACATATTTACTGTCATTGAGAAACCTATACCCTAGAAGGAGTAATGAGGTGACCCTGTAACGTGGAGAGTCAGATGATAATTCTGCCTTGGACAGAATAGAGACAGTTTAAAGCATTTAAAAAATATCTGTTATATGCATTGCTCTTAATTTATATCTTGTTTTCCCAACCTGGCAATTTGGTTAGTTGTCATTGACCTATTTCTAGTTGAACTTTAGACTAATAGTCTTACCTGTATTAAACTTGTTTAACTCACTAGTTTAGTTTAGTCATTTCCTTCTATGGATGTTGGCATACCTTTTCTGTAAAGGGCCAGAAAGTAAATATTTTAGTTTTATTTTAAACTTTTTTTTTCTTTTTTACAGCTCTCAAAACTTGAATAGCATTCTTAGTTTGGGAGTCATACAAAAATAGGCCACAGGCTGTCATTCACCAACCCTTCTAATCTATATTAGGAATAATTCCATAAATATATAAATGCTCTTATGAGACTGGAAGTGGTAAAAGGTAGATTTTAAGAACATAAGAAGAACAGTTGATATGTGTTGAGTAAAACATCCTGAAATAAGTTTCCTTGGTATAGAATTAGTCATGTCAGGATATTAGGAAATGTGTTTTAGAAGACTTGAAAACAGGGTACTGGGTGCATCTGTTGGGTCTGTATGCAGGAATTGGATGTCTAGCAAATGTGTTAGCAAGCCTCTCTGGAAATTGACAGACAGCTGATCCTAACTGAGAGATATACCTGCTTGTAAGCTTAAAAAGTAACAATACTTACGTTTATATTTAATTACTTACCTTAATACTGAAATACATGAGCTATATGCAGTGCTTTCAAATCACTGTTTAAAGAAAATAAAAAGCCCTCAAATTCACTATTTTCCATTGGTTTTAATAACTTTTTTTCAAAAATAGTAAAGTTTTATAGCCTTACATGTTTCTAACAACAAAAGAAGTATCTTCTAACTGAAGGAGAAAATACACAGATATGCATACATAATAAAATCCGTAAGTCATGTGAGCTCTACCTGAAACCTGTGCCCAAATTCATTCACTCTTCTGCATCACACACCACACCTTAGGTCAAGCCACTGTCTGTTCTCACCTGCACCATTGCAACAGTCTCTTCGCTGTCTGCTGCCTTACCCTTTTAGCTTCATTATACAAATTGTAGCCAAAGTAGTCTTCAAAATGTCAAATCGCTCCACCTCTTCACAAAGGATTTCCCATTGGTTTCCTGTTGCATCTGGAATACAATCTAAAGTCCTCACTAAGTCCTGTAAAATGCATTATTAGGTGTTTTCATTGAGGGCTCCTTCTGTTCATCTTTGTATCAGCTCAGATGTCACCTGTTTAGAAAGACCTCCTTCACCCAATCAGTCCATTTAGCATAATAGTCGTATATAAACAGCACATTGGTTTTTATTCCTTATAACTGTCATTCTTTCACATTCTTATCATGTTTATATGTTTGGAAGAGCAGCAGATTGTCTGGATTTTCCCCACTGTATTCCTCAGACCTCTTGCTGTACCTAGCACATAGTACATGATCAGTAGATGTTTGAGAAACTGAACCAGCGAATCACTGAAAATGAAAGTGTCTCTTAAGTCTATTCTGCAGAGGCAAGCACTGTTAAGAATTTACTGTTTTGGCTGGGTGTGGTGGCTCATGCCTGTAATCCCAACACTTTGGAAGTCTGAGGTAGGTGGATCAAGAGGTCAGGAGTTCGAGACCAGCCTGGCCAAGATGGTGCAACCCTGTCTCTACTAAGAATACAAAAATTAGCCAGACACGGTGGCGGGCAGCTGTAATCCCAGCTATTCCGGAGACTGAGGCAGGAGAATCACTTGAATACAGGAGGTGGAGCTTGCAGTGAGCTGAGATCGTGCCACTGCACTCTAGCCTGGATGACAGTGAGACTCTGTCTCAAAAAAAAAAAAAAAAAAAAAAGGAACAATTGACTGTTTTATCAAACATTTTCCATGCATATGTATTTTTCAACAAAACCATACCTTGAATACTATTCTGTACTGATGCAATGATGGTCTCATAAGATTATAACACCATATGTATTTTTACTGTACTTTTTCTATGTTTAGATAGATACTTCCCGCTGTTCCAGTTGCCTACAATATTCAGTGCAGGAACATGCCATAAAGGTTTGTAGCCTAGGAGGAATAGGCCATGCCATACAGCCTGGGTGTGTAGTAGAGTACACCATCTAGGTTGGTGTAAGGACACTCTATGATGTTCATGCAATGGCAAAATCACCTAATGACATGTTTCTCATAATGTATCCTCATGAAGTAATGCATGCCTATATTGTTTATTTTGTATATCTTATATTTAAAATTTTAATAGCTTTCCTGAAGTACACTTCTGATAAGTTACAATCTGATAAGTTCTAAAATATGTCTGTTCACATGAAACCACCACAATCGAGATAACGAATGTATCCGTCACCCCTGATAATTTCTCCTTGCTCCATTTTAATCCCCCCATCCTGCTGCATCCTTCCTACTTCCACACCCATGTGCATTTCCTAGAACTTTATATAAATGGAATCATATAGTAAGAGTATCTGAATAATGTTAATAATAAGTTGTCAGTTTATAAAGACCTTTTTTAAAACCATCTATTTAATGTCTAACTTAAGAGTACGATTTTTTTTTTTTCCTGCAATGGGGCTATGTCTTGATTTTCTGGGGAGAGATATTAGAAGTGGTCCAGTTCATAAACATTTAATATTTCCCTTCTGGATAACATCAAAGCACAGAGAACAGAATAGAGAATAACATATTAGGCATAGCATTAAAGGAAGAATTAGTCTTTCTTTGATATGTCCACAAAAATTGAAATCAAGTATATTGGCATGAAAAGGTGAAAGAAAAAGATTTCTAAGATGATGATTTAGTCCACAGGGCTTGCCTCTCTTTAAGCACAGAGGTTATTGCCAGCTGAAAGAAACTGGGGTTCTGGTATTAAGGAAGGTGGGAGGGATGAGTGGTTGGCAGGCAACCAATAGGATCTGCCATTTTTACTGAGTCATAACCTCACATGATGCTCATGAACCTCACATGTAGTTTTTAGCACCTTTCCATTCACCACTTTGTTATCTTCAGCTTACTGGTCGTTTTCTGATGTATCTGACTGTTGTCTGTAGACTACCTCTGGGGGCCTCTCATCTGCATGATTATCTGCAGTGTCATTTTTATGTGGATCATAGCTGCTTCCATTTTATGGGGTATCACCTTCTGCTTTTCCTATTGAAAAGAGATCAGTGTCCAGTTGAGCAAGATTAGTCAACTACTCGAAGTGAGGACAACTAATGAAGCAACACTTGACTTCCTTGTGGTTTTGTGTTGCACTGATCTGAGAGGAGCTGACATTAGTTAAGCAATTCACACAGTGTTCAGCACTGTATCTGATTTCATTACTGAAGGTTGCAACCCTAGTAAAGTCACTACAAATTGATTAGTGTGATAACAATCACTTAGGAAGATAAATTAATGAGAAATGTTCATCTTTATAAATATTTGCATCTGGGAGTTGAATGAAAGCCCCAGGACATTCTAGCTTTCAGCCACATGGATGTACAGCTTCTAAGTGGTAAAGTATCATGCTGTCCAGAAAAGAGATTGAGAAGGATACATGCTAAATTAAGCATTCAACCATGACATCCAAAGGCAGAATGTCTTAGAAATACCACTTGAATGCATTAGCACAAAAGGTTGTAAAGTTAAGGGATTTAATGCTATACAACTCTATGTTTGAATGCTATTTCAATGTGATTGGATATCTTTTTAATTGCTAAGTATAACTGCAAGTTTTTGGCAGGAACTACTAGTAGATAGAACGAATGAATGAGTACTAAGGAAACCTTTATTACTACTTTGTGAGTAAAGGTCTCCTTAGGATTCATTCATTCTTAGACAAAGTTGTACATCCCTACTTCTTCAAAGAGGCTTTTTACCTCACATCTTAGGATGCTAGGATTAGATTATGCTTTTGCATAACTTAATGTGAACTAGCAAAGGAAAGGAAAATAGCATTTATTAAGCACCTATTATTGTTCCACACCTACAGCAATAGGAAAGCCGTATCATGAATTTATCTTCATGTTCACCTCAAACTCCATTTGAGGGTGGGTATAGGGCTCCTAGCCCATTGCTGTATTGAATTTAGAAGTTCGGAAGAGGAGAGGGTAGAAAGAAAACTTGAATGGATCAGAAAAATTAACTTACATTAGGAGAATAAAGTGGAAAATTATGCAAATATTGAGAGTATTTATGTCTTTTAAAATATTTTATCCCGTAAAAAATCTTGGCTCTGCCTATCGTAAGATAGTCTCATGTATGAAAACCAGCATATAGAATTATAAAGTCATATATAAATGAGGATTTTAGAAGTGGCTTATACCAAGAGGCAGTGTGACAACATGGATTTGAGCATGTGCTGCCTTGTTGGACTTGGGTGGCAACTAGTGCTACCATTTGTTCAGTGAGTAATCTTTGAACAATTGTTTAACCTTTCAAATGCTTGTTTTCTTACCTGCACAACTGAGATATTAACACCTACATCATGTGTGGTCGTAAATAAGTAAGATAATGTTTTTTAACTGTTAATACAGAACTTGACATAAAGTGAGGTCCAGAAATGGTAGCCGCTACCTTCATCTCCTTCTGACAATGATGATAATGATGATGATTTTCACATCATCATATAGTCCAGATTTCATCCGATGTTTGGACTTCCTCTGAATCAAATGGTCTTGCAACCTCTGCTTGGATATCTTCTTAATGACAGACTTATTACTCTCAAAGAAAACCCGTTTTATATTCAGTAGCTTTTAGTTTAAAATTTTTCCTTTGCTGTGTTACCTTCTTCTAAAATTTGACTTTTCTCTCATTCTTCTTAAACATTTTTGCTGGGTCTAGCATTCTTGGCACAGTCTTTCTGAAAAAAAATAGCTTCATGATATATTTCAAGTACTTTAAAAATGTTTATACACTCTGATTCAGTAATGACGTTTTCACTCATTTTATAACATAGCAAAAGCAAAACAAAATATTTAAAGATTAAAACACACATGGAGGGGTCAAGATGGTTGATTAGAAGCAGCTGTGGATGGCTGCTCCCACTGAGAAGAATGAAGACCGCATGTGAATCCTGCACCTTCAGCTGAGGTATCCAGGTTCTCTCACTGGGACTGATGAGGTGTTGGTGTGACCCACAGAGAGTGAGGATAAGCAGGGTGGAGTGATGGCCCACCTGGGAGCAGCACAGGCAATGGGGAGTTCCCGCCCCCAGCCAAAGGAGCAGAGAGCGATTGTGCTACCCTGCCAAGGAAACCAAGATTTACCCACATATCTGTGCAACCCATGGATCAGAAGATACCCTTGTGAGCCCACGCCACCAGGGTCTTGGGACCCAAGAACAGAGCTGTGCAGACTCTCAGCAGCTGCTCGAGTCGTGGCCAGCAGCAGCATGCTGAAGACTGCCTGAGATGACCAAGTTTCCAGAGGGGAAGGGGAGCTGCCATCACTGTGCCCCAGCCGTTTTCCCCTGCTGGTGCCCTGGAGACTAGGTGGTTTGGATGGGAAAGAAGTCCCCACAGTGCAACACAGCAGCTGTAGCAGATTGTGGCCAGACTGCTTCTTTAGGTGGGACTGGGCTCCATCCCTCCTCACCAGGCAGGGCCTCCCTGTGGGAATTTCAGCAACTGCAGCCAGAGGTTTACAGACCGAACTCTAATCCACCTGGAATGGACCCCCAGGGGGAGAAGCAGCTATGGTCTCCAGGCTCAGTAGTTAGTCTTTCCTGCCTGCTGGCTCTGAGGAGGCCAGGCAGTCCAGACAAGGGGGATTCCCCTGAGCACAAAACACCCGCTCTGCCAAAGGGCAGCCAGAGTGCTTCATTAAGTAAGTGGCTGATCCCATGCCTCCTGACTAGGTGAGACCCCCCACACACACACCCCCAATAGGGGTTGCCAGATATTTTATGCAAGAGCATTCCAGCCAGCATCAAGTCACTACCCTTCTGGGACAGAGCTCCCAGAGGAAGGAGCAGACAGCCGTCCTTGCTGTTCTGCAGACTCCACTGGTGACACCTCCAGGTGCAGGAAAAGACCCAGGAGTGGCCCCCCAGCAAACTGCAGCAGCTGTACAGAAGAGGGGCCTGACTGTTAAAAGTGAACAGAAAGCAACAACAACATCAACAAAAAAATACCCACAAAACCCTATCCAAAGGTCAGCAGCCTCAAATAACAAAGGTAGATAAGCTCACAAAGATGAGGAAGAATCAGTGTAAAAAGCTGAAAACTCAAAAGGCCAGAGTGCCTCATCTCCTCCAAATGATTGCAGCACCTTTCTAGCAAGGACATAGAACTGGGCTGAGGCTGAGATGAATGAACTGACTGACATAAGTAGGCTTCAGAAGGTGGGTAATAATGGGCTGGACGAGGTGGCTCAGGCCTATAATCCCAGCAATTTAGGAGGCCGAGGCACATGGATCACCTGAGGTCAGGAGTTCGAGACCATCCTGGCCAACGTGATGAAACCCTGCCTCTACTAAAAGTACAAAAATTAGCCAGGCTTGGTGGCACATGTCAGTAGTCCCAGCTACTCAGGGAGGCTGAGGCAGGACAATTGCTTGAACCCGGAAGGTGGAGGTTGCAGTCAGCCGAGCTCACACCACTGTACTCTAGCCTGTGTGACAGAGTGAGGCTACATCTCAAAAAACAAAACAAAAAACAAAACAGGTGGGTAATAACGGACTTCTTTGAGCTAAAGAAGCATGTTCTAACCCAGTGCAAGGAAGCTAAGAACCATGATAAAACATTACAGAAGCTGTTAACCAGAATAACCAGTTTAGAGAGGAACATAATTGACCTGATGGAGCTGAAAAACAACACAAGAACTTCACAATGCAGCCACAAGTATCAATAGTGAAATAGACTAAGTGGAGGAAAGAATCTCAGAGCCTGAAGACTATCTTACTGAAATAAGACAGGTACACAAGATTAGAGAAAAAAGAATGAAATGGAATGAACAAAGCTGCCATGAACTATAGGATTATGTAAAAAGAATGAACGTATGAATGATTGAGGTACCTGAAAGAGACAGGGAGAATGGAACCAAGTTGGAAAACGTACTTCAGAATATCATCCAGGAGAACTTCCCCAACCTAGAAAGACAGGCCAACATTCAAATTCAGGAAATCCAGAGAACCCCAGTAAGATATTCCATGAGAAGATCAACCCCAAGACACACAATCATCAGATTTTCCAAAGTCAAAATGAAGAAAAAAAATGTTTAGGGCAACCTGAAAGAAAGGTTCAGGCCACCTAGCAAAAGAAGCCCATCAGACTAACAGCAGACCCCCCTCAGCAGAAACCCTACAAGCTAGAAGAGATTGTGGGCCAATTTTCAACAACTTAAAAAAATTTCCAACCCTGAATTTTATATCTAGCCAAACTAAACTTCCTAAGTGAAGGAGAAATAAAATCATTTTCAGACAAGCAGATGCTGAGGGAATTTGTTACCACTAGGCCTGCCTTGCAAGTGCTCCTGAAGGAAGCACTAACTGTGGAAGGGAAAAACTGTTACCAGCCACTAAAAAAACACATTGAAGTACAAAGACCAATGGCATTATGAAGCAACTACACCAACAAGTCTGCAAAATAACCAGTTAGCATCATGATGACAGGATCAAATTCACACATAGCAATATTAACTCTAAATGTAAATGGGCTAATTGCCCCAATTAAAAGACACAGAATAGCAAGCTGGATAGAGTCAAGACCCATCAGTGTACTGTATTCAAGAGACCCATCTCACGTGCAAAGACACACAAAGGCTAAAAATAAAGTAATGGAGGAAAATTTACCAAGCAAATGGAAAAACAGAAAAAAGCAGGAGTCACAATCCTAGTTTCCGACAAAACGGGCTTTAAACCAACAAAAATTTAAAAAGATGAAGGGCATTACATAATGGTAAATGGTTCAATTCAACAAGAAAAGCTAACTATCCTAAATATATATGCACCCAAATACAGGAGCACCCAGATTCATAAAACAAGTTCTTAGAGACCTACAAAGAGACTTAGACTCCCACACAATAATAGTGTGAGACTTTCACACCCACTGTCAATATTAGACGGATCATCAACACAGAAAATTAACAAAGATATTTAGGACTTGAACTCAGCTCTGGATCAAGTGGGCCTGATAGATATCTCCATAACTCTCCATCCACAAACAACAGAATATACATTCTTCTTGGCACCATATGGCACTTACTGTAAAAGTGACCTAAAATTGATAAAATTCCAATTGTGATTGGAAGTAAAACACTCCTCAGCAAATGCAAAATAACTGAAATCATAACAGTCTCTCAGACCATAGCTCAATTACATTAGAACTCAAGATTAGGAAACTCACTTAAAAACCACACAACTGCATGGAAATTGAGCAACCTGTTCCCAAGTGACTCCTGGATAAATAATGAAATTAAGTCAGAAATCAAATTCTTTGAAACTAATGAGAACAAAGGGACAATGTACCAGAATCTCTGGGATGCAGTTAAAGCAGTGTTAAGAGGGAAATTTATAGCACTAAGTGTCTGCATCAGAAAGCTAGAAAGATCTCAAATGAACATCCTAACATCACAACTAAAAGAACTAGAGAACCAAGAGCAAACAAACCCCTAAGCTAGCAGACAAGAAGTTACCAAAATCAGGGCAGAACTGAAGGAGTTGGAGACACAAAAAAAATTCAAAAAATCAACAAATCTAGGAGCTGGTTTTTTGAAAAAAAAATTAATAAAATAGCTTGCTAGACTAATAAGAGAAGAATCAGATAGACACAATAAAAAATGATAAAGGGGATATTATCACTGATCCCACAGAAATAGAAACAGCCGTCAGAGAATACTATAAACACCTCTATGCATATAAACCAGAAAATCTAAAAGAAATTGATAAATTCCTGGACACATACACCCTTCCCAGACTGAATGAGGAAAAAGTTGATTCCCTGAATAGACCATTCACGAGTTCTGAAATTGAGGCAGTAAAAGCCTACCAACAAAAAAACAAACAAACAAACAAACAAAAATAACAACAACAAAAAAGAAAAAGCCCAGGACTAGATTTACAGCAGAATTCTACCAGAGGTACAAAGAGAAGCTGGTACCATTTCTTTTCAAACTATTCCAAACAATTGAAAAGGAGGGATTCTTCCCTAACGCATTTTATGAAGCCAGCATAATTCTGATACAAAAACCTAGGAGAGATACAACAAAAAAAGAAAACTTCAGGCCAATATTCCTGATGAATATTGCTGCAAAAATCCTCAGTAAAATACTGGCAAAACGAATTCAGCAGCACATCCAAAAGCTTATCCACTACAATCAAGTCTGTTTCATCTCTGGAAAGCAGGGCTGGTTCAACATATGCAAATCAAAAAATATAATTACATAAGCAGAACTAAAGACAAAAACCACATGATTATCTCAATAGACTCAGAAAAGGCCTTCAATAAAATTCAACATTCCTTCCCGTTAAAAAACTCCCAATAAATGAGGTATTGAAGAAACATTCCTCAAAATAACAGGTGCCATCTATAACACATCTTCAGCCAATATTATATTGAATGGGAAAAGCTGGAAGAATTTCCTTTTGAAAACTGGCAGAGGACAAGGATGCCCTCTCTCACCACTCCTATTCAACATAGTATTGGAAGTTCTGGCCAGGGCAGTCCACCAAGAGAAAGAAATAAAGCATATTCAAATAGGAAGAGAGGAAGTCAAACTATCTTTGTTTGCAGATGATATGATCCTATATCTAGAAAACCCTGTCATCTCAGCTCAAAATCTTCTTAAGCTGATAAGCAACTTCAGGAAAGTCTCAAGATACAAAATCAATGTGCAAAAATCACGAGCATTCCTATACACCAACAACAGAAAAGTGGAGAGCCAAATCATGAATGAACTCCCATTTACAATTGCTACAAAGAGAATAAAATACCTAGGAATACAGCTAACAAGAAAATGGAAGGATCTCCTCAGGAGAGTTACAAACTACTGCTTGAAGAAATCAGAGAGGACACAAACAAATGGAAAAACATTCCATGCTTATGAATAGGAAGAATCAATATTGTGAAAAGGTCCACACTGCCCAAAGTAATTTATAGACCAAGTGCTATTCCCATTAAACTACCTTTGATGTTACTCACAGAAGTAGAGAAAACTATTTTAGAAGTAGAGAAAACTATTTTAAAATTCATATGGAACCAAAAAAGAGCCCAAATTACCAAGACAATCCTAAGCAAAAAGAACAAAGCTGGAGGCATCGTGCGACCCAACTTCAAACTATACTACAAGGCTACACTCACCAAAACAGCATTGTACTGGTTCAAGAACAGACACATAGACCAATGGAACAGAATACAGAACTTAGAAATAAGACCACACAGCCAGGCGCGGTGGCTCATGCCTGTAATCCCAGCACTTTGGGAGGACAAGGAGGGTGGATCACGAGGTCAGGAGATAGAGATGGTCCTGGCTAACACAGTGAAACCCCATCTCTACTAAAAATACAAAAAAATAGCTGGGTGTGCTGGTGGGTGCCTGTAGTCCCAGCTATTCAGGAGGCTGAGGCAGGAGAATGGCATGAACCTGGGAGGTGGATATTGCAGTGAGTCGAGATTGTGCCACTGCACACCAGCCTGAGTGACAGAGCGAGACTCCGTCTCAAAAAAAAAAAAAAAAAAAAAAAAAGACCACACATCTACAACCATCTGATCTTCAACAAACCTGACAAAAACAAGCAATGGGGAAAGTATTCCCTATTTAATAAAACGGGAGCTGACAGAACTGGCTAGCCATATGCAGAAAATTGAAATTGGACCCCTTCCTTACACCATATACAAAAATCAACTTAAGGTGGATTAAAGACTTAAATGTAAAACCCCAAACCACAAAAACTCTAGAAGAAAATCTAGGTAATACCATTCAGGACGTAGGCATGGGCACAGATTTTGTAATGAAAATGCCAAAAGCAATTGCAACAAGAGCAAAAAATTGACCAATGGGACCTAATTAAACTAAAGAGCTTCTGCACAGCCAAAGAAACTATCATCAGAGCAAACAGACAACCTACAGAATGGGAGAAAATTTTTGCAATCTATCCATCTGAGAAAGGTCTAATATTCAGAGTCTACAAGAAACTTAAACAAATTTACAAGAAATAAAACACATTATAAAGTGGGCAAAGGACACGAACAGACAGTTCTCAAAAGAAGGATGCATGTCGCCAACAAATGTATAAAAAAAGCTCAGTATCACTGATCATTAGAGAAATCCAAATCAAATCCACAATGAGATACCACCTCACGGCAGTCAAAATGGCTATTACTGAAAGTCAAGAAACAACAGATGCTAGTGAGGCTGTGGGGAAATAGGAATGCTTTTACACTGTTGGTGGGAATATAAATTAGTTTAACCATTGTGAAAGACAGTGTGGTGATTCCTCAAAGACCTGGAACTAAAAATACCATTTGTCCCAGCAATCCCATTACTGGGTATATACCCAAAGGAATATAGATCATTCCATTATAAAGATACATACATGTGTATGTTCACTGCAGCACTATTTACAATAGCAAAGACATGGAATCAACCCAAATGCCCATCAGTGGTAGACTGGATAAAGAAAATGTGGCACATATACGCTATGGAATACTATGCAGCCATAAAAAAGGATGAGTTCATGTCCTTCGAAGGGACATAGATGAAGCTGGAAACCATCATTCTCAGCAAACTATCACAAGGACAGAAAACCAAACACCGCATGTTCTCACTTGTGTGGGAATTGAACAATGAGAACACCTGGACACAGGGCAGGGAACATCACACACCAGGGCCTGTCAGGGGGTGGGGGGCTGAGGGAGGGATAGCATCAGGAGAAATACCTAAAGTCAGTGATGAGTTGATGGGTGCAGCAAATCAACATGGCACATGTATACCTATGTATCAAACCTGCACGTTGTGCACATGTACCCTAGAACTTAAAGTATAATAATAAAAAAGATACTAAAAAAGAAAATGTGGTACATATACACCATGAAGTACTATGCAGCCTTAAAAAGGAATGAAATCATGCCCTTTTCAGGACATAGATGGAGCTGGAAGCCATTATCCTCAGCAAACTAACACAGCAAAGAAAACCAAACGTCGCATGTTCTTACTTACAAGTGGGAGCTGAACAATGAGAACATATGGACACGGGGAGAGGAACAACACACACCGGGGCCTATTGATGGGGAGTCAGAGGGAAGGAGAGCATCAGGAAAAACAGTTAATGCATGCTGGGCTTTAAACCTAGGTGATGGGTTGTTAGGTGCAGCCAACCACCATGGCACACATTTACCTACTTAACAAACCTGTACATTCTGTACATGTACCCCAGCACTTAAAAAAAAAAAAGACAACCCCATCCCCACCCCCCGACACACACATCAGTGCTGTACAAAATCCTGTGTAAATGTTGGTTCTTATTAAAGTCTAAATTCCACATATAAAATGGGGCATGAGGGTATCCAAGTTTGTCAATATTTATCAAAGTTGAGAAATATCTGTACACTTTTTGAAACCCTAAGCCAGTCATCCTCAGCATGAATTGTTATTTTTGATTCTGTCATTTCTTTATTTAATGAAGAGGGAGATTTGTAAAAATCCATTTTGATTTTAGCATGATGTCAATTGAGATTTATTCCATCATCCTAATTACCAAGACATATCTAGGAGGAATGTTAAAAGCACCTAATAATTTAATTAGACCAATTACTTCATTTACTGATTGGGGCACTAAGGCTCAGAAAGAAAGCAGGATTTACCAAATTATACCCAGCTAAATTTAGAACTAAAATCCAGAATGGCAGTATTCTTCCCTGTGACCAAACTGACTGTTAAGTGGTAATTTTTTAATGATATGTTTAGTGTGACAAGTGGTTACACGTGGCAATTTCCCTCTCATGAGGAATAACTTTGACTGAAATGCATGTTGAACTCATGAGAAGATTCATAAGCACTATGAGAAGGAAACTGGAAACAACAGTGGATAATGCAACGGAACTGAAGCTTAATTATGGATGATCTAATCACTGGGATGATATTGTATACTTAATGTATTTCTCGTAAGAGTTAAGCGAAATGATTTTAGTGACCTGCCTTAGAAAGTATTAAGTCAGCTTATGACAGAAGTTACAAACTGAATCCAGGTCACAGATGTAGTCTATTTGCCTCACACAGTATTTTTCTTTTAATATGTGTGCTTCTAATATTTAACAATCTGAGAATCTCACATTTTTTTAAAAATCTACATTTTCTGATTCTTATGAAGGAACAAAAATATGGTAGAGTGTTTCGATATTCTTACACGGTAGAGTTCAGGGGCAGTCTCACATTTTGAAAACTTCATACTTTATATGAGACATTTTTTCTTCAGTTTGGCATAGTCTCACCAGTCACTATTGTGTCATACCCAGTTACTTAACTCATTTATACTGAGGACCTCTGAAGTACCTTGCAGGTGCAGTACCTGGTTTATGGTGTTATGAATGTACAATACGTTTTTACTTAATGTCCTCAGTAGGTTCTTAGAAACTGCAACTTTAAGTAGAACACCATATATTAGGTCCTTGAGAAACATTGTTTTGTCCAGAGTCATTTTGTTATAACATTGGTGAAAAAAAAAATGCTTTTGTTACATGTTATTTCACTTAAAGTGGCAGTTTCCAAGAACCTATGGATGATGATAAGTGAGGTCTTACTATATATATATATATATATATATATATATATATATATATATATATATATATATGGTTTTACATAAAACTACAGTTTTATATAGGTCTTACTATATATATATATATATATATATAGGTCTTTATATATATAAAGAGAGAGTAATATATATAGTTATATATAAAACTATAGTTTATATATAGTAATATATATAGTTATATATATATATATATATCATCATGCAGGAGTTAAGAAACTAGGATGATTTCATAGGATTAATATTCACTCCTCTTTACCATTCCTTACTTCTTGTTTCTCTCTCTTGTGACCCAGTTTCTCCTAGTGGTCTAGCTTGGGGGTTCCCCTACCACTTTATTGAGGTATAATTGACAGGTAAAAATTGTATATATATTTAAGGTGTACAAACTTAATGATGTTTTAATATACATCATGAAATGACTAACATAATAAAACCAATAACGTATTCACCACCTCACATAATTGCCTTATTTTATGCATGTGGTGAGAATACCTAAGGTCTACTTTCTTAACAAATTTCAGGTATATAATACATGCTTATTACCTATAGTCACCATGTTGTATATTAGGTCTCCAGAACTTATTCACGTTATAAATGAAAGTGTGTACTCTTTGATGAACATCTTGTTTCACCTACCCCACTCCCACCCTCACTAACAACCCTTCTACTCAATGTTTCTGAGTTTGACTTTTTAAAATTCTACATAAAAGTGAGACTATGCAGTATTTGCCTTTCTGTGACTTGGTGATTTAGCTTAATGTTCTCCAGGTTCATCCACGTTGTTAAAAATGACAAGATTTCTTCTTTTAAGGCTAAATAGTATTCCATTGTGTATATATACCATATTTTCTTTGCTCATTCATCTGTCAGTTTAGATTTAATTCATATCTTGGCTATTGTGAATAATGCTACAGTGAATATGGGCATGCAGATATCTCTTTAAGATAATGATTTTCTTTCTGTTGGATATGTACCCAGAAGTGGGATGGCTGTATCCTATGGTAGTTCTATTTTACTTTTTTTGAGGACGCTCCATGCAGTTTTCCATAATGGCTGTACCAATTTACATTTCAACCAACAATACAAAAAGGTCCTCTTTTCTCTACATCCTTGCCAACATTTGTTATCTTTCTTCTTTTTGATAACAGCCATTCTAAAAAGGGTGAGGTCATAACTAATTGTGGTTTTGATTTGCATTTCCCTGATGATTAGTGGTGCTGAACACCTTTTCATATACCTGTTGGTCAGTTGTATGTCTTCTTTGGAAAAAGGTTTATTCAGGTTCTTTGCCAAGTTTTAAATTTGGGTTATTTAGTTTTATGCTCTTGAGTTGCATGAGTTCTTTATATAGTTTTATTATTAATCCATTATCAGGAAGGTAGTTTTCAAATATGTTCTCACATTCCATAGATTTCCTTTTCATTTTGTTGATTTTTTTTTTTATTGTATGGAAAAGTTTTAGTTTCATGTAGTCCTACTTGTTTGCTTAATTTTGCTTTTGATTCCTATGCTTTTGGCTCATATAAGAAAAAAGTCATTTCAAAGACCAATGTCATAGAGCTTTGCCCCTATGTTTTCCTCTAGTAGTTTTACTGTTTCTGGTCTTATGCTTAAGCCTTTAACCCATTTTTGAGTTGATTTTTGTGTACAGTATAAAATAAGGATTCAATTTCATTTTTGTGCATGTGGCTATCCTGTTTTCTCAGCACCATTTATTGAAGAGACTATTTTTTTACCCATCACATATTTTGGTAATTTTGTTGAAAATTACTTAACCATATCTGTGGGTTTATTGCTCAGCTTTCTATTCTGTTCCATTTATCTATGTGTCTGTTTTTTGTTTGTTTTTGTTAGTACCATACTGCTTTGATTTCAATAACTTTTTAATATAATTTGTAATCAGGACATATGATACCTCCAGTTTTGTTCTTCTTGGTTTTGAAATTGTATGCAAGTTCAATGGCAGGCAGTAGTTGTCTTAGAATTTCTGGAGTCTGAAGTATGGCCCTTTACAGCCATTCTCTACTCTGAGTCTTCTAAAATGTGCTTCCTTTTTGTTCGTCTAAGCACTAAAGAACTTAAGCTGGGGAAGGAGGGAGATAAAGATGAGAAAGTGTTAAGATTTGGATTCTGAGTGCTGTTTATGAGGGAAAAAAAAAGTGAGAACTATCATGGGATGGCAGACACGCACACAGTCTGAATAGGTTCCATTGATAAATTAGTTGCAAGGAGCAAAGTCATGTCTCTGGTTAGTTTAGAAACAAAATGAAGGCTATGATGGCTTCTCCTCAGTAAGCAAAGCAGCTCCAACTCCCAAGTGAACACACTGCACACAAAACAGTATTTTCCATGCCACTTGCATGGAACACGAGCATCTTGCTGTCTTAAATTAAGAAGTTAACTGGACCATGAAGTATTGCCTGAGTAAATAAAAGTGATTTGTACTAAGTCAGAAGGGTGCATTAGGCCTCTTTGCGTTTCTTTGCTCACACATAAATTATGGATATTATTAAAAATTGGAAGGGTCATCTATAAGCCCATCTGTACTATGAAGCCAATTGCCATTCCCCAAATGTATCTGTTTTCCTCTTATAACTTATTGTGGACGATAATGTGAACCAGCTGCTTACATTTTTTTTAAACAGACACATAAACTTTGAATAGTTCAACACGTAATACTATTGTCAGTTTATTCGGGAAAACAGAGATACGTATTCAAAGGCTTTTGGCTGCCATACAATTAACATGGCTGATGGGGATAAATTGACTGTGCGTGCTTTTCTTAAATGAAGCTTATACTAGAAATGTAAGAGTTACTGAGGGCTTTGGTCGATCTCAGTTATAACAATGTCAGCCAGAGTTCTGGTAGGAGAAGTGTGTTCAAACTTCAAAGGAGCCTGAGAATGTCTAATTGTATGAGTTGAGGGCCACTGGGCAGGTAAGATTCCTCAAATTCTTCCTCATTGCCTATCATGGTACAGAAGGGTCCATCATTAGAATCTCTTTTATTTGAAGGCTTCTGGATCTCTCAGTAATTTTTATTCAGCCAGACTCATACTATAAACACTCCTTTCACTGATGTACAAACACATTTCCACAAAGGTTTGGAAATAACTTATAAGAAGTACATACAGTAACATAGTCACAAAAGATATAATGGGTTAAGATCAGAAAAAAAACATAAACTATAATTGGAGGCAAAGATGAGGGCAAGCTATAGAATATAAGGGGAGTCCATAGCATCCCAGGAGTTTGCTCTTACTAAACCTGGAGTTTGGCTATGAATTTTTGAAAGAGAGAGACAGTGTGTTGGATGTAACCTTCTATCTGTACTTTCTAGAGATTTGGTTAAAATGTCCTGGATGATGTGGGGAGTTAAAACTAGCAGCCTAGTGTTAGAGAAAGTACACTAGATTCAAAGTCAGGGAATCTGGCTTCTCTTCTCACTGTCCAAGTGAGCCCTTGAGCAAGTTACTTCTCTTCATGTCTCAGTTTCTTTATCTGTGAACCATCTATCTGTGAAAGAAGCTGGATCTGGATATAATCAATGGTTTTCTGTAGCTTTTTTTTAAGTCATGAAATATTTTTAAGCCTAATTTTACTTTGAACCCCCAAATCCAAACCAGCTGGAAGCTGAGCTGCTGTGGTTGACCAGGAGATGGTCCTGCACCTGTTGTCCTACCCAACCAATCTTCCTGTCACCAGCCACAGGGGGCCGAGGCCCTTGCTGGGATTCCACAGACCACAGTTTGAAAATGACCAGACTGGATCAAAAAATAGCCTCATTTTTTCCAGGTCTCTGTTCCAATGCCATTTTCTCGTGAAGACCTTCCCTGACTGCCTTATCTAAAATATATCTCTGACCCAGTAGATTTATCTTGTTATATCATATCATATCAGATTACATATGTATCATATAATTATATATTTTTACATTTACCTGTTTGTTTGTTTCCACTATTACTTTATAAACTCCATGACAGCAGAGATGGAGAAAGGCAGTACTACATGGTATTTGGGAGCAGGATCTGGAATACCAACTTCCTGAATTTGAATCTTTGCTCCACCATTTACTAGCCTTGTAACTTTAAGCAAGTTACTTGACCTTTTCTGTGCCTCACTTTACTCCTCTGAAAAATGGGCATAATAATAGCACTATCTCATAAGATTATTATGGGATTATAAGAGTTAATTTATGTAAAGCTTATGGAATAGTGCATTGGATGTAGAACACTGTATAATATTTGAAAATAATACTATATATTATTAGCATTTATTAATACTATTATCTTTTTTTGCCACCGTCTCCTTAGTTTCTAGACTAGTTCCTGTCACATGATAGGAAAACAAATTGTTTGAATGAATGGATGTTCTCTTAGGATCTTTCTGACTCAAAGATTCTCTAAGAAGCTTTTGGAGAGACAAACATCTCTTCAAAAGGATCTTATACATTTATTAATTATCTGTATTAGCTACATACTAAGTATTCAACTATGTAGACAGTGGCACGAGCAGCTATGTGGTGTGAGGCCATGAGGGAGTAAGAATAGACTTTAGGTGGAAGAGCTAAGAGAGGGCTAAAGGTAATAAGTTTCATCTTTACGTACTCTGCAGCTTTGACCTCCTATATGCCTTGATTCATGCCATTCATAAGCTTCTGAGAGCTCCTAAGTGTTGAGCTGTGTGTTATAGATAGGACATTTTAATAGAACAAAATTAGCATTTCCAGTCCTTCAAAGCTTTGGGTTTCTCATCATCATCACTATGGCATTTCAACATCATCTAATACTTTTGATTTCAAGAACATCCCAGCTGTCTAGAATGACTAGTTGCTGCTGAGACTGCTTCTTGCTTATTTCATAAATTGCATTTATGAGAAAGAAATGCATACCAGAGTCCACTGCAGCTTGGTTTGTTCCTTTAGTAGTAAGAAGATTCCTACCTAGGTTAGGAGGCATTCCCACAGACCGTAGTAACTGCTGAGTACATTTGAGGAGAATAATAGAGGGAAGGTAGCCTTAAGAAAGGCACATGGGCCGGTGCGCCAGCTCACGTCTGTAATCCCAGCACTTTGGAAGGCTGAGGAGGGTGGATAACGAGGTCAAGAGATCAAGACCATCCTGGCCAACATGGTCAAACCCCGTCTCTACTAAAAATACAAAAATTAGCTGGGCGTGGTGGTGTGTGCCGGTAGTCCCAGCTACTCGGGAGGCTGAGGCAGGAGAATTGCATGAACCTGGGAGGCAGAGGTTGCAGTGAGCTGAGATTGGGCCATTGCACTCCAGCCTGACAACAGGGTGTGACTCTGTCTCAAAAAAAAAAAAAAAAAAAAAGGCACATGTTTTAATATGGTCATGTGGTCTTAAAATCTTTGTTTTTCTTCACTCCTATGTTGTTGGCAAAAAAAAAAATGTTGCTGTAAAAAAAAAATGCTTTTTTTCTTAATGCTTCCATCAAAACAGATTCATCTTCTGGCAACTCTGGCTGTACCCAGTGCTCTGTCATTGCTATGGATATGTTACGCCGTTAGTCTTAATTTTAAAAAACTTGTTCCTTGTCAAAAACACTGATAATTTTTCAGGAGACACAGTTTCAGAAGCTGAAAAAACTTTTTTGCCATATGAAATTATAATCATATACTGTTACTTTGATTTTGTGATCTCTATCAGCAGCTAAGTGTAACCTTTTGATGCAGCACTCTATAAATTATTAACCATGATGTTTTAAATGGCAGTGGCCTAAATTATGACTGTGGGACTTTGCATTTCCATGAATGATTGTTTTTATTAGCAATGATTCTTCCTCTAGGCAAATACCAAATGGTCTGCAAAGTAAATGAGGCTTTTAAGATTGATAAATATTTCACAGATGCACTTGTTGCATATTGGAGGGGGAGAAGGAAGAAGAGAGAGAGTGACACAAACCACCATGTTGAAAGAATGAGTTAAGCAGACTGCCATGTTTTCTTCCTTGCTTGGTGCAATAAATAAGGTGGATTTCTCAACCTCGTAAGCCACAGCTTCCATTTTGCAACATCAGAGTCCTGAAAATAAAAAATAGCAACACTCTCCAGTAAAAGACAAGTACAGATGTTACAATAATTGAAGTTTTCCACCACCAAGCTGTGTAGATAGGTTTTAGCCCTCAGTTAAAGCTCAGCAGTTATGTTTAAAAATAAGAGAGGAATATTTATGGAAAGATTAATTATCCTTAGGTGGTAGCTCATTAAGAGATGTGAAATGAAGTTGAGTTTATTTTTAAATCATTAATGCATAGGTATTTATATTATTGAATGACTGTATAGTTCCCGTATTTATGGCTGACTTCAGTTGCTAACAAGCCAAAGTCTTTCACTTATTTCTTAGCATTCTCAATAGTTTTTTGTATTGTCTTGCCATGTGAATTTTCTGAAATGTGAAGTTCACCGCCATGCTTTATTTCTTTTCTTTTCTTTTCCTTTTTTTTTTCTTTTTCTTTTTTTTTCCTCAGATGGAGTGTTGCTCTGTTGCCCAGGCTGGAATGCAGTGGTGCAATCTCGGCTCACTGCAACCTCCACCTCCCTGGTTCAAGCAACTCTTCTGCCTCAGCCTCTTGAGTAACTAGGATTACAGGCATGCACCACCGTGCCCAGCTAATTTTTGTGTTTTCTAGTAGAGATGGGTTTCCCCATGTTGGCCAGACTGGTCTCGAACTCCTGACCTCGTGATCCACCCATCTCGGCCTCCCAAAGTGCTGGGATTACAGGCGTGAGCCACCGTGTCTGGCCGCCATGCTTTATTTCTATTGCTGCTACAAAGAGCCTACTAAATAACAAAGAGTTTCTTTCTTCCTCATCATATCTTAGCAAAACTCGGGTTAGGGAGTGTTGTGGTTTAAATGTGTCCCCTCCAAAACTCATGTGTTAAAACTTAATGACCTATGTGATAGTATTAAGAGGCGGGGCCTTTAGGAATTGATGAGGTCATGAGGACTCCTCCCTCATGAATGGGATTAATGCCCTTATGACAGAGGTTTCGTGCAGTGTTTGGCATTTTTAGCCTCTCCTGTCTCCTCTTCTGCCATGTGAGGACATAGTATTCCTCCCTTGGAGGATGCAGCAACAAGGCAACATCTTGGTAGCAAAGAGCAGCCCTCACCAGACAACTGAACCTGCTGGAACCATGATCTTAGACTTTGTAGCCTCCAGGACTATAAGAAAGTTAATTTCTATTGTCTGTAAATTACCCAGGCTGGGGTTCTTTTGGTTGTTGTTATAACAAGAAACAGATGGACTAAAACAGAAATGTACAGGAAGTATAATGAAAACAGGATTTGACAGCATTATGATAGATGTTACACAAAGTATAAGAAGATGACTAACCCCAATGCAATGGTGGAAGGTAAAGGAAAATTGCCTTCTTTCTGTGGGTAAAGACACTGGAAAGTCTTTTTGTCAGGGTTCTCTCCACACAACACATCACAGGGTCGGTGGTCCTGTTCGATCCAGCAACATTGATTATATGGTAAAGCTGCACATGACAGTTTTTAAAATTGGCCCATATGGCAAAAAGTCAATTCTTAAAATTTCCCTTGAAAAAACCTTAAATCGCCCACAAAATATAGTAGCCATAGTCTTATATGCATAGCCTTATGCATAAATCTAATGTCCAGGAGAACCACTGAGGCTAAACTAAGTAATGGGAAAAAAAAAGACTCTACGTAAATGTATGGACATGGGCTAGGCACGGTGGCTCATGCCTGTAATCCCAGCACTTTGGGAGGCTGAGGTGGGCAGATCACCTGAGGTTAAGAGTTCGAGACCAGCCTGGCCAACATGGTGAAACCCCATCTCTACTAAAAATACAAAAAATTAGCCGGACATGGTGACAAGCGCCTGTAATCCCAGCTACTCGGGAGGCTGAGGCAGGAGAATCGCTTGAACCCAGGAGGCAGAGGTTGCAGGGAGCCGAGACTGAGCCATTGCACTCCAGCCTGAGTGATAAGAGCAAAACTTTGTCTCAAAAAATAAAAATAAAAAAAGGTATGGACACTAAAACTGTTCTGTTCTTGAGATACTAGCAAATTGCTATCAGGAAATGAGGAATGCTTGGGAAGTTTTAAGGTGTTCCTAAGTGTCTGCAGGGTTTTGCTGTTCTAATATTGAATATCTGTAACTTTAATACATATTAAAATATCTGCTGTTGCAGAGATTGAATGAACTACTAGATGTGAAAGTACTTTGCAGAGGGCCCAACCTATTGTGATTGCTCATAAATGTTTGCTGAATTTGAATCCAAATACCATGTGATTAGAGTCTTACATTGTAATAGCTAACAGATACAGTGCTAATGTAAAATTATCTTGTTTATTTTATTTATTTATTTATTTGAGATGGAGTTTTGCTGTGTCACCCAGGCTGGAGTGCAGTGGCATGATCTTGGCTCACTGCAAGCTCTGCCTCCTAGGTTCATGCCATTCTCCTGCCTCAGCCTCCCGAGTAGCTAGAACCACAGGCACCCACCACCATGTCCGGCTAATTTTTTTATTTTTTTAGTTGAGACAGGGTTTTACCACGTTAGCCAGGATGGTCTCCATCTCCTGACCTCATGATCTGCCCACCTCGGCCTCCCAAAGTGCTGGGATTATAGGCGTGAGCCACCAAGTCTGCCTATCTTGCTTATTTCTTATAGTGACCTTATAAAGGCTCTATCACTTTGATCTTCTATTTAGAGATGAACAGTCAAAGGATTATAGGCGTGAGCCACCAAGTCTGCCTATCTTGTTTATTTCTTATAGTGACCTTATGAAGGCTCTATCACTTTGATCTTCTATTTAGAGATGAACAGTCAAAGGCTTAGAAAGGCACAGAAAGAACATACATCTAATACTCCAACCCAGGTTGATTCTCACACCCTGTCCTTAACTGAAATGCCATCTTATCTTGGAGAAGTAAACAGTAGTTACAGGTTGATCTGTGCTGCTTACCCAGCTGGCTTTCTCGGTAGCCATGCAGGACGCTTGCCAGTTTCATGAAGAGGAGACCATGTTATTTCCTTTCTCTACCCATTGTGGTTTCTCTGGTCATTCCTCACACCCCCTCTGATGGCTTCTGTACTGTAGTTTCTCTTCACGTAGTCACAGTTTCCTATGGAGTCCATTTTTTCTCCACTCAAACTGCAGATCTCCTAAATTGTACCATCTCCTACTATCCTGTTACTTCTCTCTGTCCGTACCTTTTGTTAGAATTGCATTACAGTATCTACTTGGAAATAATCAAGGACCCATGTGTGAATTTAGTCCCTGACTCAGGAAAAAATGCCATGATATTCTAAGGATAATATGCTCTATAGATATGTTTTCATCCAGAACCCCAGACTATACATTTTTGTACTACAAATTTTTTAATGTGTAAGTGTTCTACTGGTTTCTCAGAGTTCAGCAAAATGAAATAAATGGAAGATTATAAAAACTTACACAAATTCTAAATTTCCAAAGACATGGACTTTCTTATCTCTGATTCCTTATCTAACTACAGAACATAGAAAATAAGAGTGACTCTTTTCTTAGGTTTTCCAATTGTCCAAATACCTGTGCCACTCTAGATGCCTAACAGAGATGTTAATTTATTATATATAAGGATGCCTTAGGGCTTAATTACCTGTGGGACCTCCATCGGAGAAAGGATTGTCTTCATTCTATATTCAATTTGCCTTATAAAATTCTTCTTATAAATAATAAGTGCAAGAACCCATAATGATTCTCATTCCTTGAACTGTTCCTTCATTTCTTATTGAACTGATGTACTCAGAGTATACTTAAAAGCCCACTGTCCCCACGTAGACAATAAATATTCTTGGACAAAGTTTTTTTTTCCTCTTTTAGGTTGAAGACTTTTCTTTTATCTCCTTCAAATGTTGCAGTAGGTGTTCATGTCAATCAATGTAACACTATAAATTTGCGTGGTTTTTTCGGTCAGTATTCATTAGTGGCAGCCTAGGGAATAACTAAGAGTTTTCCAGGTTATTTGTATGAATTTTAATTAAATACAGACAGTATATTTGGATACCATCTGTATGGACATCATTCTTTTTTTTTTTTGGCATGAAGATTTACATGAAGAAATTGTCTGGTCCTACTCAGCTCCATGGAGCTGCCAGACACGCCCCCACATTATGCAGTCAGCAATGTACAAAAGTGGAAACCTAGACTTTCCATGTGTTCACAGTCTTAGGCCTCTACGGCTTGCCCTAGCCAAGATTTTTTGCCATTTCCTAATCTACCCTCAGCCTTTCTCCCTTCCAAATCATCCTTTTGTTCATGGCCTTGCCATATCCTGATTCTTTATACTCTATTCTGCTTCTCTAACTTTGATGGATACTTCATCTCTTGATTGTGGTATGAGTTCTGTCTGTTTAACTCCATAGCCTTCAGCCATGCAGGAAGGTCCTCCCTAGTTCCCATATGGAAATGCTTTCCGTGGATATCTTCCTTCCCATGGGAAGACTTGCATCAAGGTGCTTGTGAGGGCAATATAGCATAGTAGCAAAGTACATGTAATTTAAAGTCAGACAAAACTGTGTGTGAAGCTTGGTTTTGCTTCTTACTAGCTTCTTACTAGCTTTGTAACTGGAGGCATATTACCTGACATCTTAGTACTTCAGTCTCTCTATCCGTAATATGGGTAACTAATAGTATCATAGAGTTGTTTTGAAAATTAAACATATACAGGGTGCCTACAACAGTGTCCGCCACTTAACTCACTATAAATGACCACTATTATTACTAGAGGCTTCGTGATAGAAGAAAGCCCTGAGAAAAGTATCAATGGATTGGTAGTTTGGTTACTCCTATGTTGTTAAAAATATAAATAAGATTCCTTATATTCATCTCCATTTATTAATTCCAGTTGCAATGCTCAGTTGACTCATTTTGAATCCTGCCAAAATTGTACCTTCTGAGCTGAAGCCAATTAAAATAAAAATCTCTTTTTTCCAGAAGCCAAAAGCCATTTCCCAAGAGGTTCTTGTTCAACCCACACATGCAAATGCAGCTGTGATGGTTTTGTCAGAGATTTTTTTTCAGAATATCACACACCAATGTTAGCCTTAAAGAATGATACCGGGGCTCTCTGCTTCTTGGTTCATGGGGTATACCCACAAGCAAAATAGAAACAAAGCAAAGGTAGGTAGCCCCAGTTGGCACAGTTGATTGACTTTAATAGGTCCTGATTATGCTGCTCATATTCCATGAAATTAAAAAGCTTACAAATGTTATGAGCCATTACCCTTCCATTTAAGGGAGCTTATGACATGTTAGCAACGTTTAATGAAATTCTTTTCAAAATGCCATTGGCAGACTCAATGAGATTCCATGTTGAAACTCAACTTGAAGAATTGTCTGAGGAAGTTTGTTCTCTACCTGCCTGTCTTTGTAATGTGTGGGACCCATTTCAAGGCCAAAGGAAGTTCTTTATCAGTTAGGGGATAATTTTCATGTATCCAGAAGTATTTCTGCTTTAATCATGAGAGTGCTTTCCAGTTGAAGACAACATCATAGAGACTGCCATGTTAATGTTTGTGTTTAGAGAGCACAAGAATAGTCTATTTTTACACAATGATGAATTTTAAAATTTAAGTCATTTCTGTTCAATTCTGTCTATATTTGGTGACAGTCTAAAACATTCTAGTAAATATTCCAAAATGTTATTGCCTGTCCTGTCTTTGATGAGCCATCACAGTATAATTTGGGAAATAAGCCTTTGTGCAATAAGGTAATTAAAGCATAAGAAATGAGGTAATTAAATACTATATTATATGGTACTTATTATTTACACAGTAAAAGTTCAAGAAATAAAAAATACTGCAGTGAGTTGACGGATAATTTTTTTAAAGAATAAGAAAGATGCGTATGAGACATAAGTAATTTAGGGATCATTGGTTCTTTCTGTTAAATAGTCTTTCATTATCACTTTGATAATGGGGATATTTAATGGCAATATTCATTTGTCAGGGTACTAGCCATATCAACATCTTGTTGCTGATGTTCTACCACTACTTTTTGAGATCTTATGGGTCAAGAAGGATACTATGTGATTTAGATGCATTTTAAAAATCCTCCTGACATTCTTATAAGGTCGTTTATATTATCTCCTTTTACAGGTGAAAACTGAGATGCTAAGTACTTAGGCATTGGTCTCTAGTTAGTGTGTGGAGCAGCTGGAATTCAAAGCCAGGTGTGAACTACCCCACAGCATATATTTTCTTGATATGAATCTGCTTTGAAAAACAGATTATGCCAGGGCAGCCCCCATTGTGAACTCTTTGCAGGCAAAATTCCTGTTATAGGACTTAGTCATCATCGCATTTATTTGACCATGTCATTGCTTGGCACTCAATAAATGTACGATTAATGTATAATTAATATGTTAAGGAATCACAACTCATAACACAAGTAAAATGCAGCTTTATTTTTGTCATCACTGATCCTTTAAGCTTTGAGGTGTTTGTTTGTTTGTTTGTTTGTTTGTTTTTTGGCAGAGGTTATGATCTGGAGGGAATCTTTTCTTCTTCCTCCCACACAAAAATGTGGACAGTTCCTAGGGTATTTTCTTTCCACTGAAAGTTAGTAAAAATTCTGGTGGCTCATTAAGAGACAAAACGCAGTCTCAGTTCCAACATTTTAAACATTTCATCTAAAACACTTACCAATGTTTCAAACCTCATTCAAAGTTAAGTATTTATTTCTTTTCCTCAGATACAGCCTTGACTTGGTGGCTCTCTGCCTTTGGTTGTCTGGGCCCTCATCATCTTCTGATGTGCGAGCTGCTTTCCATAGTCCTAGACCCTACCAGGATAGTAGTAATGGAGGATGAGGCAGTTCTTTCTTGGCTTTGTGACTTTGTGCCGCTGGGACTGATAAATATTTAAGCTGACTTCCTCCCTCGTGAAGCATTTTCTGGGTTCTTTGGAGATTTCCGGTCCTGAAACTGCAAAACATCTACAGCACCTATGGCAAAAGCCAGTGAAGCATTCTGTTTGTGAACAGGCTGTTTTCCCCATTATTCTACTCCATGGGGAAACTTCTTGTCTCCCAGTAGTCCCCTTGGGGAGGATTTCAGATGTCTCCAGGACAGTGCTCTCTCCCCCTTGGCACATCTGTGTTTTGTGAAAAATGATCATCCATCTTTTACCTGACAAACTTTGGGAGTCTAGTCTCTCTCTGAAGCAGGGGCCCTATCCTGCCTCTAGTACCTTCTGCATTCCTGGTGGGAAGTCTATGGTGACTTTGTGGATAGAGAACACATTTCAAGATATCAGATTGGATTCACTGAAGCCTGTTCTCACTGGGCTTGAGGTTAGAAGGTAGCAGCCACACACACACACACACACACACACACACACACACACACACACACACAGGTATATATATATTTTCACAGGTCCCCTTTCCTCCATTCCCTTGACCCTTATATCTTGAAACTAGCGAGGGTGTTCTTTGATACTTCCTCTATCAAATCTTCATATTTTATCTGGTGCCTTACGTTGGAGTTCTATATCAATTTTATCTTCATGCCCAGTTGAAACCACATTTTTAACATCCTCCTAAATGTGCCCTGTGATTCTCTGACTTTCATAGTAAAGCTGTTAGATGGGCTGCCTTAGCTAGTCCCATCCCATCCTGTATACAAGGTCTTGACACATGATGGAAGGAAGAAAATGTTGGTATTCACCCAGGATACACAAGTGAATGGAAAGAAAAAAAAAAAAGATGCTAGTGGCTAGATACTTCTGCTTTCCCTTCTTCTGCCTTCTCATGGTTCTGGGCCTGGAAAGACATACCGTCTTTTCTTCCTGTGAGGGTTAACTAAACCAAAGATTATATATCTTTTCCTTGCAGCCAGATTTCTATGGGCCCGTTCTGGTGGTTCGGGTAGAGCTTTCAGAAGCCATCTTGGTTAGTGATAAATCCTTCTTGGCTTTCTCAGAGCCCCAGAGTCTCTAGAATAATATATTTGGAAAAAAAAAAATACCATTGACTAAGGATAGGCTTAGTGGTTGACTGAAAGTGCTTCCACTGGAGGTTATGGTAATGTCATTTGGAGCAATTCACTTTAGATTTTTAAGGAGGCAAAGCATGTATTTGAAGAATAGATAAGAAAACTGCAATGAAAGGATGTTGTTTCTAATGGAACTAACCCAGAATTTAGAGTTAAATGTTTTCTGATTTTCTGTTTGTTGCTTGTTTTTGATACCTTTCTTTGTTGACTCTGCTATCCTTAAGAATTTGAAAATGTAGGTCAAGAATGATTTTTTTTCTCTCCCTGTGCCTGGCGACTTCTCATTGACTAGAGATACAGCCTGTAAGTTTGCAGCCATCACAACCCCATTGTCTCTGCTCCCAGAGCTCTATGATTGCTCTGCTCTCAGTGTCTTATACAGAGCAGGTATTTAGCAAGTTTGTAGACTTAATTTTTTTGGACTTAATGCAAATTAAGACACCTTCATTTCTTCTCACCTGTTTTGCTTGGTATATAACACTTAAAAAAAAGCCTCTCTGAGCTCTTTCTGCTTATCTAGGATTGTATTAAGTGTTTGAATACATTTTACGGCCCAGAGTAGATGCTAAATAAATGATTATTGCATAAATAGAAAGAGTTAAGGAAGAGAAGAGGAACTGGAGAACAGAGGCACACCCTCTCCTGTGATATCTTGCCCTACCTCAATATTGCAAGTTTCACACTGTCCCTTCATCTTTTCAAAATTTCTTTGTTCCAGTATTAATTCCTTCTCAGGCAATTCCTAGTTAGAATTTAATTTAAATCAGGGGTGTAGATAACAACTAACAGTTTTATATATTATACTGAAGGGATGTGTGCATTGTGGCTAAGCACAAAAGGGATTCAAAAATCAAAATAATATTTTGGGCATTTTGGCAGAGCCTTTGGGGAGATTCTGACAGAAGGTGCCCTGGGGTCCTTCTAAAATCAGGACAAAAAAACACCACTTACTTTGCTGATATCTATGTCTAAGGTTCGTGTATTGAGTGGTCCTTCTCAGTGCACAAAGGGAAGGAAGGGGTGTGTCTGGACTAGGCACACTTGGGTCTCCCTCTTTACATGAGTTGCAACTCTGATACACACACACACATACACACAAAATTTTATATATATATAATTTTTATTATTTCAATAGTTTTGGGAGTACAGGTGGTTTGGGGTTACATGAATAAGTTTTTTAGTGGTGGTTTCTGAGATTTTGGTGCACCTGTCCCCTGAGAAGTATACACAGTACCCAATATGTAGTCTTCTATCCCTCACCCCCTTCCATCCTTTCCCCCAAGTCCCAAAAGGCCATTATATCATTCTCATGCCTTTGTATCCTCATAGCTTAGCTCCCACTTATAAGTGAGGACATAGGATATTTTGTTTTCCATTCCTAAATTACTTCACTTAGAATAATGGCCTCCAGCTTCATCCAAGTTGTAGCAAAAGACATTATTTCATTCATTTTTATGGCTGAGTAGCATTCCATGGTGTATATATATCATATTTTCTTTATCCACTTGTTGATTGATGGGCACTGAGGTTGGTTCCATATTTTTTCCAATTGTGAATTGTGTTGCTATAAACATGGTTGTGCGTCTATCTTTTTCATATAATGATTTCTTTTCCTTTGAGAGGATACCCAGTAGTGGGATTGCTGTATCTATTTTTATCAATCCTGATAGGTTTCAAAGTATATTCTTTATCTGAATGGCAACAGGATATGTTGGAAAAACCATGGTCTTTGGAACCAGATAGGCATGGAACAAATTGTTGAACCTGTCTAAGCTTCATTTTACTCAGTTATAATATGTGAATACGAGTTCATGGAGTCAAAAACCTTCTGAGCACCATACAGAACACTAAGTGAATACACTTTCTCTTTTACATATGCCACACCTTGAAAACATAAACAATTGTCAATTTCATCTTTAGTGAAAGAAACAGGTTCTGAGAGGTCTTTGATTTATCCAAAGTTGAAATAGTAGTTAGGACTTCTAACTGTAAAGGCCTTGACTCTAAAGTCTGTATTTTTGAGCATGATGTTGTATTGTCTAATTGTTTCAAACTCAATATGGCTCTAATAAGATAGAAATATTGTATGTAAAGCACTTTCTATGGTTCCTAGCTCCCCTACGTACCAAAGTGGTATGAAGCTATTATTATTTGTCACTTATTTTTTTTAGGATTTTTCTGTGTGTTTAATAGCTAGTCATTTAGAGGGGAAGTAAAATTACTCTCTGGGGCAAGGAATTGGCATTAAGTTTTTGTTTTCTTTTCTTTTCTCCATATTTATATCTGTGGCAATGCTGGGAACTAACAAGGCTAGAGAGAAGAGAAGAAATGTCTTCCCTTTTATATGTTCCCCTTTAAATTAGCTAAGCTGCATAATTTAAATAGACATTTAACACCTGTTCCTCCCTGAATATTTACATGAAAATCCTGGGCCTTAAATGCTTCTGAGCCTTGATAGACCTTAAACTTGTCATTAATTTAACAAGTATGTATTGATTCTTATTTCGCATAGTTTGCTGCTTTGTCTTAGTACATACCAAAGTGTTGATGAAATCCTAATGAGCCACGTTCCCCATGATAGAAGCAGTAATGCAGAAGTGTGCTTTTTACCCAATTGCCTTGCCATCAACACAGTCGTCCTGATTGATTTTGATGGCAGGCAATTGACCACTTTTCCCACAAAGATGTATTGGGCATCCCCTGAGTGCTGGCCAGGGGGCTGAGGGCTAGGGATATAATTTTTTAAAAGATAAACATTTTCCCGCTTCCATGGAGTTAATAATCTAGTGGAGAAGATAAACAAGAAACAAGTAGGTATCCATTTTGTTAAGAACTATGAAGAAGACAAAGTGTGACGTAAGGAGAAACTAATCCATTGTTCTTATGAAAGGTATCTCTGAGACCCACAGAAGCTAGCCATGGCAAGAGTAATGAGGATAATTTCAGGCCAAAGGAATGTGAATGCAAAGATTCTAAAGCAAAGCACTTGCTGTCTATGCTCAAAGAGTAGGAAAAAAAGCTGATGCTATTAGATGAGTAGTAACACAATGGAAGAGCTGTACAAGTTAAGCAAGGCCATGTTGGTTATGTTGGAGGGCTGGGGTTTTGCCCTAAGTCAGCTAAAAAGTCTGAGGAATTTTAAGCTGGCAGAGGATGAATATAGATCTTACAAAGTTGATTGTGGCTGATGTGTAAAACAAATGTACCTTAGAGTAGCAAGAGTAGGAACAAAGAGATCAGGGAGGGAGCTCCTCGGTGGTTCAGGTGAGAGATAATGGTAATTCCCAATGGGATGGTGGCAGAAAAGGTGGAGAGTTGAGAAATATTTTAGAGGTACAGTTGACAGGAGCTGCTGACAGAACCACTGGGAACAAGGAAACCAAGGGAAGAATAAAGGATGATTCTTTTTGGAATTATTTTTAAACAAATGTGTGTTAGTCTTGCCTAGGTCATAAACTAAGTTTTTAACATGGATGGATGGTGATGAAGGGGCGCATCATAAGAAGAAAAGGGAAAGGAGACCTAACATTTATGGAGACCTTAAAGTGTGTCAGGAATTGTGCTAACTTTGCATGTGCTATTTAATCTTCCACTTTATAGAAACCCTATAAAGTAAAAATCATGACTTGCACATTTTATGTATGCTGCAATGAATCTTTAGAGATGCTAAATAACTCAACAAAGGTCGTAGCATTGGCAAATACAGGAACCAGACATTGAGACTGATCTCCAAAGTCTCTTTTTCTTCCCCACAACATTATACTATTTCCCAGGGCTAAAATAATGCCATACAACTTGGCATTTTATTCCTTGAAAAGTGACTAGCATTGTGCTAGGCATCTGTTGAATGTTCATTATATACTGGTTAAATTTAAAATCACTGCAAACATTTGACTTTCTTGAAATGCCAAATGTTTTTAAGGCTAGTGAACCTAAAAAAATAAAGTGTGTTTCAAGATGAATTGATCAAAACAGTAGACAGGCAAAGTTAGGGGAAAAAGGAAGATAAGTTATTGAAACAGTGGAGAGGGGTTTAGAAAGAGTAAGACAACAGGTGCAATTGGGAAGATGGATCTGTGGGTTTTTGTGGAGGAAGAATAGAGTATTAACTTTAAAAAAAATTATTTGGACAAAGCACACTATTTTCCAGATTTATAAAACCCCACCACTCTTTTTGGTCTTAATCCAACCACTTCCGCTATTTATGATAACTGTTGTGCCCTTCAAGGTAGTTTAGTTTGCATTGGATATATTAAACATAGTCACCTTTGAATTCTACATCTAAATGCAAGAATTTATCAGAATGATTTATCTACATTGTATGAGTGCAATCTGACATTCTGGAGCCAGAAGTGCAACCAGCTTTCTGGAAAAAAATAAGTTAAGCCCTCTTTCATATACTGCTAGGCAATATGCATTATACATATTCATGTAATGCTCCTAGTAACTCAGTGAAGTAGGTACTACTATTATTCCTATATTATAGGTAAGAAAACAGGAAAGTGAACCTCAGAGACATGGAGTAATTTGTCTTAAGGCTTATGAGCTGCACGACCAGCATTCCTACTTATGCAGTGTGACTTCAGAGAAAGCCTCAATCTCTATTCTTTGCTGCCTCCCCTTAGCAATAACCACATCCTTAGGTTCTGCTGTGCTGCCTTGCAACACGCTGGCTCAGAATAAAGAATTGTCTAGAGTATCACAGCAAATCAGGGGTAACTGCAGAGCAATTCCAAATCAGAAGAGCCAGGCACCCCTTCATAGTCTTTTGAGATCAGAACCTGCAGACTATGTAATCTATGTATGTGAATTCAGGTAAACAGAGGCAGGCATCTAAGATATAACAAAAACACAGAAATCTGCATGAGGGCAAGATCAGGTCTAGAAACCAAAGAAGATCATGATTCTAAGAAACTTCTCAAGGCAGAAGCTGCTTTATGATCTGTAGATGTAATAGCTTGGCTGGTTTCATCTAAACCAGTGTTTCTCAACCTCAGCACTTTGGACATTTTGGGCTGAAAGTTTCTTTATTGCGGGAGCTGTCCTGTGCACTGTAGGATCAGTGGTTTCTACTCAGTATGTGCCAGTAGTACCCCCCATATACACTAGTCATGACAGTTAAAATAAAGTCTGCCTGATATGCCTCCCTCATTTATAACCACTGATCTAGATAAAGAAAGGGTTCAAGGAATCTGTTTGTTCATCTAACAGGTGCTTGCTAAGTGCTGCTCAGTTTTCAGCATCATGTGACTTCAGGTCCCTTTCCTGGTAGTAAGGCAGGACTCTCGAAGTATAATACTAGTCTGGAGACCTCAGGCAGTATGTTGCTGTTAGGGAGGGCATGTGCTCTGAACTTGACTGTTGTGGGTCTAATCTACTTTGAGCATCTTTCCCTTGGGCAAGTCACTAATTCTCATTAAGCCACAGCGTCTGCTCTGCAAAAGAGGTAGCAACAATGCTGGACACATGGGTTTGCTGTGAGGATTTCATGGGAAAACAAATGTAAGGGGCTGGGCTAAGTGCCAGACACAAAGTGCTCAGGGGATCCTTATGATGACGATATCTTCACCTCTTCATCCAAAGGGACTGAGAAATAGCCTTTGATCCTCCAAGACTGCAGTTTCAGAAACCACATTTATGGCTCTCCTTTTAGGATAAAGGTTAAATAAGTGGCCAGTGAAGAGGTTATTCTCCTGTGATTGTAGGGAAACTTTTTCATAAACTCTGGTAGACCCTATGGAATTAGTCCAAAGACTGGACTGGCTCAGCTTCCACTGCAGTTTTGTGATTAAAGGATTTAGGAGATTAACAGCATCTCTTCAGGAAGTAGCTCAGAGAGCTCAGTTGGGTGTATTCCAGTGAAGAGGCATTCTCTGAATTAAATCTCTTCTCTGAAAAGCGAGATATGTTTATACACAGAAGTGAGGATGAGGACCACAATTTCAAGTTAACAAGGAGTCGGATACCCAGTGTGAGCAATATCCCTTAGTCTAGGTGATATTAGCAAGCATATCAAAGATAGGCAAAAAATGAGTTGCATCATTATTCTTCCTTTCCCTAGTTGGGAAAATTTTGAATAGCATACGATAAAGAGCTAGCTAAATAGCTTGCCTTCTAATGCTCAGTTCTGTGAGTAATTTCCTATGGGAACTTTGGTGGATCACTCAACCTACCTGGTAATAAGGTTACCTCTCAATTGAATAAGAGGATTATTTGAGAACTGCCAGATTGTGAAATTTGAAAACGGCCAAGTCAGAAAATCTGAAATGTGTAACTTTGCCAAATTATGTGAGAATTGCCACTCAGCCATAAGCTCCAACTCCTAGCCCACTCCACCAAATTTGAAATAAATACAGTGTTAATGTGTTGGCAGCAGCAAACAGACTAGTGGAACAAAAGTAGAAGTCAGGGTGGTATTACCTTTGGCCAAGAAGTTTGAAGGAAGGTAGGGTTTTTTTAGAAGGCCAATTAAAAAAAAAAAAAACTCACACTAGACAAGGACAATATTTTTCCCATAAATATGGGTATCGAGTTGTTTCGGCAAGAGGTAACAGTGATGTTGATGATTTTGCATCATAAGCTTTAACATACACTCAAAGGTATGTACACAAATAGTAGCAATAATAGTCATTACTATTATTATCATTGACCATGTTAACTTGCTCATATATTGTCACCCTTATCTTAACGAGCACTTGGAACTGGATGTTAATAACATCATTTATGAGGAAAGGAAACATCGTCTTAGCAAGATGAATTGACTTGCCTAAGGTTCCATAGCTAGTTTGTGGAGGAGTCCAAGCATTCTTCTGACTGGGTGACCTCTTCAAATGTTGGCTAATCCTCTGAGTTGGGTGTTTTGTTTCCTTTCAGCATGTCAGTTTCTTTGACTGTTCAGTGAAGAGGTTGTTCCAGACAGTTCTTCAAATCTCTTCTTGCTTTAATATATCTTTATTCTTCTAGGTAGTGACTTTTTTTGTTTGTTTGTTTGTGTTTGTCCCATGAAATTAGAAACCTTGTAATAAGACTTGTATGTGTTTTCACTTAATATGGAGGGGCAGTAGTTATACCACCCCACAACCAAACTTGTCAAAAAGTACCTTTTTTTCAATACAGTGAAAGGAAAGAGAAGTTTATCAAGAGTAGTGGATTGGCATGAAGTCTGGAGCCTCAGATTTCTAATCCCAGCACTGCCACTGTTTCCATGGTTGTGAACAAGATGCTAAGCCTCGTAAGGGCTCAGTTTTGTCATCTAGCACAGCAGACCCTAACGTTTTTGGCACCAGGGAGCAGTTTTGTGGAAGACAATTTTTTCATGGACGGGAGTCGGGGTTGGGGGATGAGGGGGTAGTTGGGGATGGTTTCAGAATGAAACTTTTCTACCTCAGACCATCAGGCACTAGACTCTCATAAGGAGCGCCCGACCTAGATCCCTTGCATGCCCAGTTCACAGTAGGGTTCCTACCCCTATGAGAAGCTAATACCACTGCAGATCTGACAGGAGGTAGAGCTCAGGCAGTAATGCTCACTCGCCTGCCACTCACCTCCTGCTGTGCAGCCTGGTTCCCTGTACCCGTCTTCGGCCTGGGGGTTGGGAACCCCTGATCTAGCAAATGGGAACCACGGGTGCCCAGCTTATCACATGCGATTTGGAAATGGAAGTATGGATATGTCTGCGGGAAGCCCAATACTGGGGACATTCAAAGAATGTTGAGGACACAAAATAAATGGAGTAGAGAAGGATTCCACAGCAAAATCTGGCTTTAGCTCCAAGTTTTATGACAAATTACCCAGTGTGTCAAGTGGGTGTCAGTTTCTTCTTTTGAAAAACGGCAGCATTAGACTGGATCAGGATTTCTAAAACTATCAAGAATAAATGTCCCTCAAAAATGTCTGAGGGACACACATTTGGAAAACACAGCACACTCTATCTCCCCCTTGGATGTTAATATGACTGTATTCTGAGATGCTCTGCAATAAAAAACACACCTACTTTTATTTAACTCATTTGCCAAATTAAGTTGACCATGGAACACTGTATTCTGGAATATGTGTTAATATCCCATGAGACACTTTTGGAAAATTCAGGATTAGATGGTATCATTCTCTGAAAAATTATAAAGAGATATTATCTGTTGGATGTTATATCTACAAATGTTGGGGGTCACTTTCTTTCTTCTACTCTTCTGACTTGTTTCTCTATGTCTCTCATGAAGTTAAATTTGCCTTCTTAGTGTGAGGACCAGCAGGTATGTAGATGTGTGCACATTGTGTGTATTTTATTAGCAAGTATTTTGAACACCAATGAACTACTACCATGGTAGATTCTATGGAAAATGGAAGAACAATAGAGAATATACTTATTTAACCTCCATTGTGTACCCAAGAAAGAAATTGTAGTGCTGGATAACTTTCAGATTATTTTATCTCATTGAATTCTGTGACCCTCATGCTATAGAAGGAAAAAAAAAATGAGATTACAATGGGTCAAGATAATTAGAGAAAGCTTTATGGAATAAATGAAATTTTGTGTAGACCTTGAAAATGTGTGAAATATGATCTTGTCAGGTAGGAATTACATGGATTAGACCAGAATGGAGCTAAAATTTGAGGCACAGGAAAAGTTATATCTTGACTTGTTACAGTGAACCCTGGCAGCTATCATAAGTATTTAAGCAAAGAAATAGCATGGGATAAGTAAAAGTTTTGGTGGAGAGGGAGCTTAGAGGTAAAATCAGGAGGAGGTCCTTGATGTAATTTCAGGAAAGGTAACTAGATATAGTAAGGCATTGTCAGGAAGTAATACACTGGATTTCAAGTAAGAAAAATTGAACTGTTACAATTCTTTTATTGAAAATAATTTCCATCTGTACAAATATTTCATGATTAATCTGTTTACCTATTTTGAAGTAGTTGTATTTGTTTGTGGCACCTCTTTGCTTCAGATGCCCATTTACCCACTACAGAGGCAATTGCCAGTGTCTTGTTCATCCTTCCAGAATAAGTTTCTCAGCCTCAGAACTATGATAATACATTTGGGGCCAGATTTCTCACTTTTGTGGGGACTGTCCTTTGTATTGTGGGGTGTTTAGCAGCATTCATAGCCTGTTACCCACTAGATTTCCATAGCACCCCTGCCCCCTCTGTTGTGACAACCAAAAATTTCTCCTGACCTTGCCACATATCCATCGGGGGACAAAATCACCCTGGTTCCCTGGTTGAGAATAACTATTCCAGAGATGTTCTGTAAAGAGGAATTTGTTGTACCAAAAGATAGAAGAAATGATAATATGACTTTTTTTTTTTTTTCTTTTGAGATGGAGTCTCACTCTGTCACCCAGGCTGGAGTGCAGTGGTGCGATCCCTGCTCACTGCGAGCTCCGCCTCCCGGGTTCACGCCATTCTCCTGCCTTAGCCTCTCAAGTAGCTGGGACTACAGGTGCCCATCACAATGCCCGGCTAATTTTTTGTATTTTTGGTAGAGACAGGGTTTCACCATGTTAGCCAGGATGGTCTCAATCTCCTGACCTGGTGATCCGCCCACCTCGGCCTCCCAAAGTGCTGGGATTACAGGCACGAGCCGATAATATCATTTTTATATAAATAAAAGATTGGGAAGGCTGAAAGTTGGTCTCGAGGACTGAGGCTTGTGTAACTAGAAGACAGCTAGAATCTGTATTAGTTACTATATTTTTGGCTGCAGGAATCAAATCTGTGGACTTAAACTGGCTTGAATAAGAAGGAAATACATTAGGTCACTTGACAGGTGATCTTGAGGCAAGTCAAACTCCAGGTTTCATTGATTTGGTAGCACACAGGGTCATCATGGACTCAGATCCTTTCTGGGCTTTGGGCCTGTCACCCATAGCATTGGGCTGGTTCCCTGCAGTATTATAAGATGCTATCAGCATCAGCTGTTTCTAACTGCTTCTTTATTTATGTCCAATAGTAGGCACATAGCCTGAGTCACTAAAGAGTGAGAATGTTTCTCTCCCAGAAACCACCAGGAATCCTCTTTTTAGGTGTTAATGGCCCAAATGGACTTAGCAATCCACCCCACCCCAATACCTGACAATTTCACTGGCAAGATGAATATGCTCAGCTTTGGAGGATAGAAGTCGAATGTCCCCTTACCAACTTTGGAAGGAGAAGAGTTAATTGGAAAAGTATGAAATATGGTGAGTTCAGTATGGTACCTCATGCTTTTTGAGCTGGTTGCCATTTAGATAGATTTTGTTTGGATCAGTAAAAGTACCAAATTGAATACAAATTGGTTCATGCAAATTGAAAACATCCAAAAGGAAAATTTGCTGAGAGACAAGAGCATATAGGGTTAAAGACCATAATCTTGGAGGAAATTGGATATAGATAATTAAGTCATAGTTTAAGAGCTTTGGTCTTGATTCTAAACACAGCTGACTCAGCTACCTGCTGGGCATGTGATCTTCACCAAGTCACTTTTCCTTTCCGTGTATTTTTTTTTTATTTGTCAAATTCAGAAGATAGGACTTTCCTTATAACAGTGATATGGGTGGATTAAGTGAGGCAATGTGTGCAGAGTGCTGAATCAAGTGACAGGCACTGGAGCACACTAATGCACAGTCACTGGTGATGGTGAGTGAGGCCATTGCCTTTGAGCTGGGAGGAATAATAGGAGTCCACAAAAGGAAAAGGAGAGCTCTGGAAGCACAGGGCCGGTCTCTGATCCTGCGGGAAGAGATGACTGCACAGAGCATCCTTGAGAACATTAAATAATGTTCTAAAATACCCTGTCTCCAGGTAAACATCACAGCACTTTCAAATTTGATTCAGCCTTGAGCTCCTTAAGGTTCTGTCAACCTAGAATACTTGCCAGTTCAGACAACACACTGCTTAGATTATGTCTCCCCTCCCACCACCTTATTCCCTTCCCTACATCAAAATGCAAGATTCAGTTATGCAGTCTAAAAATGAAAAAAAAATCCACCTAAATCTGAGAATTATATTCAATATTTTAGGACTATTTAACATTCTATAAACATTTAAATATGATATTACCTTGCCCAAGGTATGACATCATCTTTGATCACAGATTGGTACTGAGGGAAAACATCTGTTCCATGGGATTTTTCCGTAAAATAAGATGTAGAGTATTTCTATCAGCAAAGCAGGATGAGCTCACGTTGTCAGCCTAGATGTGAACATGGTGGTGTTTTATAGCCCTGGATTGTATAAATCTGTTTAAAATATTATTCTACTGTTGAACATACTTGGCTGCAAATATCCATGTCTTCCATCAAACACACATTTGTCAAGCACCTGCTAGATGCAGGGCATGGACTTAGCTTGGCACCAGTGCAAAGTGAGGATGGAGAACTAGAAGGAATTAATGTTCATTAGGTGTGTACTCCAGTAAATGGGCTAGAAATAAAACATGCTGGGTAGAAATGTGTGTTATTTAGTCTAATGCATTTCACTACCTTGTTGCACTAGGCCACATTCATGGCATTTGCTATTAATTGTGGCATTAGTTTTTCTTTGGTTACATGATCCTCAGCATTCAACTGCTGAATGTGTATTAGTAGCTTCTCAGACTCTTGGCATTCTATGCCATTGCCTAAACTCACAGAGTCAATAAGCAGTCGAACTGAAATTCTACTTTATGGCTGTCTAACCATGGTACCCAAACCCTTTCTACTAAATAAATCTGCTTCAACTATGGATCAAGAAGTAGTCACTGCCATCAGGAAATTTACCATTTCATAGAAAAGTGGAAACTGAATGCAAATAACCCTTATCAACATAAAAATAATAACTGAGAGTACTGAACTATTATGTATGGCTTTGCATACATAAACCCACCCTGTTTTCATGTAAAGTGCCATGAGGTTTCTACCATTATTATACCAGTTTCACAAATGGAAAAACTGATGTGCAGAAAACTGACATGAAAGCTGACACACAGAGGGGGAAAGAAGTAGATCCAGGATTTAAAACCAGGAAACTCTTTTATAGCTCCCAATCACACTGCTACCTCTGATAAACATTTCACAAGGTTACAAGTGACACGGAGGTTACAGGAATTGTAGATAAGTTGTATTTCTTATATGAGTAAATGGTCAGGGCATTGGGGTAGGAAATGAGATTTGGTCTGATCCTTAAGGAACATTGGTTGTGCAGAAGTGGAGGAAATGGACATTCTATAAGAAGGGCTTTCTTTTCATGAGCAGAAAGGGAAGAGATGCTGCTGTCTAGATAAGCTAAGTGCTTCACGACACTTCTGCGATAAGCTGTAGGATGGTCTTGTGCCCCTGCTTACCCATTCTCACTGCAGACATTGCTGCCTGTGTGAGCCTGGGGCCTGCTGGTGCAGCCAGTAAGAGCTAACTTTATGACCATTGATTTACACTCAGATCCCTTGGTCCACAGATACATCACCAAGCACTCCAGCTTCTGAAGTCAGCGAAGGGAGGTTTATGACTCAATTTTATTCGTTTGCTTCTGCAGACAAGTGGCTTCAGTTGTGGAGGAGTTGTTTGAGATAAAACATCATTATTAGATTCCCGCTCTCTGAGCCCACTCTCTAGTCCCATAGTTACCTTTGAGCTAAGGCTCAAACAAAGGACCTGGTTGAGAACTGTTCCTCTGTGCACAAAAGAAAGTCATTTATTAGCTACTAGAAATTTAAGAATTTGGGACATAATGCTTTTTAAAGGAGATAGTGAAGGGCTTAGGAATAAGCATCCTTCATGAAGACGGCATGGGAATTGTCACTTTGTTTTTCTGCCTTCGTAGGTCATCTTGTTGGCTTTCATTTTTCAAGACAGACATCTTATTTAGTGTACATGTTTCTTTACCACTTGGCTGTCTCAGTCTTCCAATATTCCTACATATACTCATTCCTCATACTCAACAGGATCCTCCCCTGTATCTTTTCTGACCTTGTTGCCACACTCGCCCTGTCAGCTCTTTAGCCCTTGCCCCTCTAACACAGTCATCTCTTACCTCAAGACCTTTGCACTTCTTGTTCTTGCTACCTGTGGTATTTTAGTTGAGATATCCACCTGTCTCATCCTTCACTTTATCCAGATCTCTGCCAAAATTACCACAATTTCAGAACATCTTTTCTATGAAAACTATGCCATTCCCAACAAATGCCATTTTATTTTTTTCCTAGGACTTATTCCCACTGAACATATTATTTGCCTTTTTAGCTTTTGTCTATCTCATCACAACCCTTCCCTACACACTCAAATATGCACACTCTTTCTCCCAGAATCTTCTCCTATGATCATCCATATTCTCACTCTCACAATCACGATCCAGTACATTATTCCTTGCCTCTCTCCTTGGATGTGTGTGTTCACGGGAACAGGGCAGGGTTTTGCGGGGGCAGGGGAGTGTATCTTTAATGCCTAGAACAGTACTTGGCACATGGTGAAAATTCGACAGTCACTGAATGAAAGAACAAAAGAAAGAAAAAAAGGAAGTGGGGGAGGAAAGGAAAAGGGAGGGATAAAGGCAAAGGAAGAAAGAAACCATGCATGATCTTGGTTTTTTTCACATATGTTAGCTAAACCTGGTTAAGGTGACTTCCGGTTCTAAGAGCTACCTCCCATGGTCTAGCGATCCTGCTGTCAATACTTGCTGATATATTCCATGCCATCCCTGACACAGAAGTTACTATTTCCTGACATTCCCATGCTGTGCATTCTCTCATTTTGCTTTTACTGTGACTTCTACCAGTTTTCTCCTGTTCTTCTAAGGTCTTACAAAAAGGTCATCTCCTCCAGAAAGCCTTTTCTAACCGACCTGAAAAAATGGGGTTCTTGTTTATTTTCCTATTCATTTGACTTGATCACTCATACCAAGGCATTTGATTTGGCTTGTTTAACCTTAAGGAAGGGTAGCATCTGTTATGTACTGCCCAGGCCTTTGTCCATAGCATGGACATCTGTAAGCAGGTCTTCCCCTCTAAGGATTTGCTATTCAAATTTGGAGCATCAGCGAGAACTCCCATCCCCACTGCTCATGCCACAGACACACAGCACATGTTTCTCTCTAGCACTGTATTTCCCTCTTTATTTCCCCTGATAACATCAAGGTGAGAGCCTATAAGGCAAATGTGTAAGTGGGTTTCTTCTTGGTGACCAATTCAGATAAATTGGTCCTATTTGCCTGTAGTGCTGTGTTGAGAAGATGTGAAACGGAGTCTGAACACAGTGAGAAAGTGAGCAGTTACCAGTTGGCAGTGCCTGACCTAGGTACAACAGTGGGGATGTGGAGATACCATGGTTCATGTTTGCCATCCCTTCCCTAGTGGGATCTAACATTCTGTATGTTTGTTTGTAAATAAGTCACAGCAATCATGCTTATATTACTCATTTATCTTTTATTAGAGGCGAGTCCAAACAGAAGACTTTTCTTTGCCTACCACCTTGTACAAACAAGTACCAATGGATGTGGAGCCCCTGTGAATGGAGGAACATCCTACCAAGAATAAGGGTCAGCTCATTTGAAAATAAGAACATCCTCCTGCAGTCATTGTAGGATACCACATCTGTTATTTCTCCCTGAGATAGCAATAATATTATTAATGATAATAATACCAATAAAAGTAGTATAGACTGTTATATAGTAGGGCACAGCTGTCCTCTGTTTGTCTTCAGCCCAAAATATTTTTAGATTTGTTTTCAGAATACCTTTTCATCCATTGCTTTAAACCCGTCCCAAATCTAACTTCATCTTTAGCTCCTTCCACCTTAAAGAGTATGGTCTTAGTCCATTTAGTGTTGCTATAAAGAAATACCTAAGGCTGGGTAATTTATGAAGAAAAAAAGGCTTCCTTGGCTCATGATTCTGATGGTTGGCAAGTTCAAGATTGAGCATCTGCCTCAGGTATGAGCCTCAGGCTGCTTCCAAAAGGCGAAGGGCAGCCAGCGTGTGTGGAGATCACATGGTCAGAGATGAAGCAAGAGAGGTGGAGAGATTCCAGGCTCTTTCTAACAACCAGCCCTTGTGGAAAATAGCAGAGTGAGAAGTCACTCACCCCCAATGGAGGGCATTCATCTGTTCATGAGGGATCCAACCCCATGACCCAAACACCTCCCAGTAGGCCCCACCTCCATCAGTAGGGATCACATTTCAACACGAGGTTTAGAGGGAACAAACATTCAAACCATAGCAGGTACTAAGTTTTTCAAAAGTGTTTCTTCTTTAAGATGCTCTCAAATCACTTGTTCCCACACTTGGAATAAGTTTCCCTGATTTGATGTATTTGAGCACCTGCCCAGACCCATCCTATACCTACCTGTTAATTCTTTTTTTTAATTGAGCTATAATTCATATAACATAAAATTCACCTTTGAGAATAATACACTTCAGTGGTTTTTCATATATTTTCTATTTTTTACAATCATCACCACTGCCTAATTCCAGAATATTTTCATCATCCCATAAAGAAACCCCATACTCATCAGCAGTCAGTCTCCATCCTCCCCTTCTTACAACCCCTGGCAACCCTAATCTGCTGTCTATCTCTATGGGTCTAGTCTGGATATTTCATACAAATGGAATTACATAGTACATGACCTTCTGCATGTGACTTCTTTCCCTTAGCATAAGGTCTTCAAGGTTCATTCATATTGGGGCCTATATCTGTACTTCATTGCTTTTTATGGCTGAATTACTATTACGTTTGGGTACACCACATCTTGTCTATCCATTCATCAGTTGATGGACATTTGAGTTGTTCCTGCTTTTTGACTATTATGAGCAATGCTACAATGAAGATTTGTGTACACATTTTTGTGTAAATATATGTTTTCAATTATCTTGGTTATATACAGTCGTCCCCCTTAATCCGTGGTTGTACTTTCCATAATTTCAGTTACTCATGGTCAGCAGAGGTCTGAAAACAAGTGAGTGCAGTGCAATAAGACATTTTGAGACCAGGTGCAGTGGCTCATGCCTGTAATCCCAGCACTTTGGGAAGCCAAGGCAGTCAGATCACTTGAGGCCAGGAGTTTGAGACCAGCCTGGCCAACATGATGAAACCCCATCTCTACTAAAAACACAAAAATTAGCCAGGCATGTGGCGCACGCCTGTAATCTCAGCTACTTGGGAGGCTGAGACACAAGAATTGCTTGAAATCAGGAGGCGAAGGTTGTAATGAGCTGAGATCACGCCACTGCACTCCAGCCTTGGCAACAGAGCGAGAGTCTGTCTCAAAAAAAAAAAAAAAGAATTTTGAAAGAGGGGTACCATGTATACATAATTTTTATTATGATATATTTTTATAATCTATTTTGTCATTATTGCTGTTCATGTGTTACTATGCCTAATTTATAAATTTAGCTTTATTGTAGGTATGCAGGTATAGGAAAAACTGTTTGTGTATATATGTGTGTGTGTTATATAAACATATGTATCTATGTTTAACCAAAAAAAAGTATGCATATGTGTATATATATATGCATATAACATATATGTATATAAACATGTGCATATAATATATATTATATATATATATTATATATCTAAATGATTCAGTACTATGGGTGGTTTCAAGCATCCATTGTGGATCTTTGAATGTATTCCCTGAAGATAAGGGAGGACCACTGTACCTAGGAATGCAATTGCTGGGTCATGTGGAAATTCTGTGTTTAACTTACTGAGGGAAGCAATCCAAGTGTTTTCCACAGTAGCTGCACCCTTTTACATTCCTTTCAACAATATGTGAGGTTTCCAGTTTCTCCATGTCCTCACCAACACTTGTTTTCTGTTTCCATTACAGCCGTCACAGTAGTGTGAAATGATATCTCATTGTGGTTTTCATATGCATTTCCCTAATCACTAATGATGTTACACATCCTTTCATGGACTTATTGGCCATTTGTATATCTTCTTTGAAGAAATGTTGATTCAGATCTTTTGTCCACTTATTAATTGGTTGTCATTTTATTGTTCAGTTGTGATAAGTTTGTATATATTTTGGACACTAGATCTTTAAGATATACATAGTTTGCAGAGTTTATTTCCAAGAAAGTTTTTACTTTCTTGACAGTGTCTTTTGCCCTGAAGTGTTTTTATTTTTGATGAAGTCCAATTTATCTACTTTTTCTTTGAATGATTGTGTTTTTGGTGTCGTATCTAAGAACCTGTTGCCTAATCCAATGGCAAGCACATTTACATCTATGCTTCCTTACAAAGATTTTACAGTTTTAGTTCTTATGTTTAAATCTTCAATCCATTTTGAGTTAATTTTTGTGTATGTTGTTAGGTAGAGGGCCGTATTTATTCTTTTACATATAGCTATTCTGTCGTCCCAGCATCATTTGTTGAAAAGACTATTATTTCTCCCACTGAATGGTTTGGTACCCTTGTTGCAAATCGACTGACCATAGCTGTATCAACTTATTGCTGAATCCTCAATTTTATTCTATTGTCTTTATTGCTACCTTTATGTTAGTAACATAGTGCTTTCATTATTATATCTTTGTAGTTAATTTTGAAGCCAGGAAGTGTAAGGCCTACAAATTTGTTCTTTTTTTTTTTTCAAGGTTGTTTTGACTATTTGGGAATTTTTGCCTTTCCATTTGAATTTTTAAGATCGGCTCTCCAGGATTGCATTTAATCTGTAGATCAGTGAGAGTATTTCCATCTTCATAATATTGTCCACCAATCCATGAACACAAGATACCTTCCCATTTATTTAGCTCTTTAATTTCTTTTAGCAGTGTTTTGTAGTTTTCATTGTACAAGTCTTTTACTTTTTTGTTAAACATATTTCTAAGTATTTTTTGGTGCTATCATCAGTGAAATTGTTTTTCACAATGTTTTAGGGCTTACATAATTTTCCTTCCAAAGATTCATCTTTCTGTCTAAAGAATCCCATTTTTCAACTTGGTCATCTCATATCACATGTTTATTTAATTGTCTTAACAGTGACTTGAACACCTAATATCTAAGAAAATACTTTCTGATACAGATAAGAAAAAAAAAAAAAAACCCAGGTATTAGAGATACGCTCAGAGTCAGTCTTTATGAACTCATTTTCCTTCCTCCAAATAAGCCAAGCCAAGTCACATCTTACTGTGTTCCCTATTAGAGCAGAGAAACCATTAGGAAGATTAAATTGCCCGTGATTATTTGTTGCCTAAAGCCTCTATATCATTTTTGTCACCCTGTGTCTTTTCTGAAGGGTCTTTTTCTAGAAATCTTTTTTGCAATTTCCCAGACTCCTGCTGTCCCAATGTCCAAATTGGGTCTGTCCTTTCTTGCTACTCTTCTATTATTTTCCAGAGTTTTCCTCCCTCCACTCTATCCTTTGTTTACAACAGATCTCTAATGCATGTCTAAAAATCAAGAGATCATTTGTGTTTAGCAATGGCTTAAAATAACTAATGCTAATGCTGAGGTCCTCATGGGTTTAACTTGGTTTTATTAATTTCTACATCTCTACAGCTCCTCTGTTTGCTGGAGTGTGTGCTAAATATATATTTGTGAAATAGACAAGAAAAGAAAAGAACCATTTCTGTAGACTTTTACCAGTTTAAAGCAAGGAGCAATGTAGAGTCAAGTCATGTGCATTTTACTCTCAGATTGCCTGAGAAACAACTTAGGCTTTTCTTAAACATTTTCTTTATTGATGGACAACTATGTAAATCAGCAAATAATGAGAGAATTTTCATAGTCTCAGAAAAAATAGCTGCTTCTTTGTAACTGTGGTTGCAGCTTATGCTCCAGAGAGTGACATTTACAAATAAAGAGTCATATGTTTTACCACATGATAATTTCTACTGTTTGAAAGCAAATTTCACATGTTCTAGAGTTAAAAGGTCAGTGTGAGCTATAAGTGTACCTTGCTGTCTGTTCTTAATATCTTGTGCTTTCTCTAGTTTTAGTAATTTCCTGGCTTTTGAGGACTAGTGACTTTGATTTCCCTTTTTCCTAAGAAGTATTCCTCATTTGAGAAAATCAAGCATGGCTGTGAATTTTCCATCTGCAGAATATTTCTATCTTTCAAATATTTTCCCAGGAAGCCACCAGTCAGTTGATCATTTTCAGCCTGCAACCGGCATAGTTACATCTGCAGCTGAAGATGTTGAAGACTCCATAGCAACACCATCTGTCCCTTCACAGAATGTTTTCTTTCAGATAAAGATGGGAGGTGTTAATCATAATTAGGCAAGTTGCATGCTGGGATCAGAAAATGATTTGATTTCCCAGGATTTGTACAACAACAAGTATTGCTGGCCATGTGGTTATTCATGAATTTGGGGGAAGCCAAAATTAACAGTACTATTATGGAATATCATTTTTCATACTAGAATAGGAGTCAGCAAACTACAGGCTGTGGACCAAATTCAGCCTGTGACCTGTTAATATAAGTAAAGTTTTATTGTAAAATAACCATACCCATTCATTTATGTATTGTCTGTGATTGCTTTTAAAATATAGCAGAATTGAATAGAATTGCCTACACCTATACTGGAAGATTATTAGAAGAAGATTTACTTTCACTAAATCTGTATGACCTTTCAGAGAGGCACATGTCCATTTGAGATTTGAAACTGTTAACTTAAAACAGAGTAGCCCTGCCTCCAGAAAGTCTTCCGTGATATATCCCCTCTGCCTCCTCATCAAGCTGTACATAGTATTTTCCTGTCCTCCTCTTATATTGTGGGCAGGCCTCAATTACTGCATGTATCTTATATAACTTTAATAACTTAATATCTAAAATTACCTCTGTGCCTTTTATTTTCTCTAAACCTGTGAAAATTCTCACGTTATATCCTGATTTGGAGAGTTGTCCATCAAAAATGGAAACATTATTCTTGAGGAAGGACTATGTCTTTTTTGTATTCCCAGTGCCTAATATTAATACCTGGGATGGAAAAATGGGTTCAAAAATGTTGAATGAGTGAATTAATAGACTGAGTGTGTTATTAGTAAATACAAATATATATATATATATATATATATATATATATATATTATTTAACTCTCTTTTAAAGGCAGTTTGAGATATTAATTAAGTGTGGTCTCTAGACTCCAGGGACTTACAATGAAAGCCCATTCCACCACTTACTAGCTCTGAGTCTTTGGCCAAGTTACTTACCCTCTCCCATGTCAGCTTCCTTACCTGGAAATAGCAATATTGCCTCCTTCCTCCATTGGTGGAGAAGACAAAATTATATAATCCATGCAAAGTGATAATATGGCACCAGGCACACACTAGGTATCCAACATTTTATGGCCATTACTGGTGATGATCATTTATTTTAAACAAAATTCAACTCCTTGTCATGTTGCTGTTAGTTTTGCCACACTCCTAAATTACTACTTGCATGTGTACATGACTATATCCTTCATGCAGATAACCAATTTTTAAATTCTGTTCTGTGTCAGACACTGACTATACCACTCACCGGGGGTAGAAAGATGGATCAGATGTTATTATGATCCTTAAGTAATTCATAATCTAGTACACTGAGCCTAAATCTGCCACTTAGGAAAGTATGTGAAGCTGAGTCACAAAAGGGAACAGAGATTGATCATAACTGAGAATTACTGACCTTTAATTTTTATAATGAGAGAGGAAAGCCCTAAGTGAATAAGATGATACTGTGTGTAAGGAATTTTAGACATCAGCCAAGGAGTGTTGTGGGGAGAGAATCATCCAGATCCCCAACGAATGTGAAAACACTGTTTCTGTCTGTACTTGCAGATGGTTCTGAGTAAAAAGACGATCAGGTGTTCTGACCTGAGAAAAGTTCTATACTCATTGATCTTCAGTAACATGTGATTAACAGGACATTAGAAGGCAAAAGCCAGCATTTTGGTGAATGGATTGCCAAAGCCATTCACTTTGCGAAGAATAGGACTAAGAGCTCCTGTTCAGCATCTGAGAGATGTGAGTTGAACGCCAGCTCTACTACTCACTGGCTAAATGACCTTATACAGATCCCTTTCTTTCTAAGATTTCTCATCTGTACAATGAAAATGGTCATTGTATCAACTTTATCAGGTGGTTGATATGGGTTTCAGCCCACAGCCTTAGGAACACAGGCCCAACTTCAAAAGTGCCCCTGGCTCTCTCAGACTGGGAGGTTTTCCATCATGAAGACATCCAACTTGGAATACCCGCATCTGTCATCCCCTCCTTCTCTAGGCTTAGTCTCTGCCTGGCTGCTTCTTCAGACTGTGACCACACCAGTGTAAGAAAGGTATCAGTAGGTCAGACAACAATGCCTTATTGGTACCATGAAACTTGCGAAGTAGAACTTGGGTTTAGAACATCAAAACAAAAAACGTACACTGTCTAGATAGATGTTCAGGGTACTTCTGCATGAAAAATCTATGGTGACCCAGGTAAAGTATTTCCACAAGAGGCAGACTAGAATAATTAAAAACACAAACTAGAGAACAGGAAGTTTCAAATTTTCTACTTTCTAATAGTGAGACTGGGCAAGTTACCAACTTCTCCTCAGCTTCCTCATCTGTAAAATGGGAGTAATGAAGCCTGACTCTCTAAGGATACCTTGAGAATTAAAGGGTGTAGCATAGTCCTCAGTAACAGTGGTTGTTAGGCAAGATACTGAATTTCTAAACTTCTATAGGAGACAGGCTTACTAGTCACTAATCTTTAGTCTGTTAGAAAACTGTGCCTGCGTAAAGGAATTTACCTTCCCACAGACTTTTCAAGAGAATTTTGAGCTTCAGATTCTGAGGGTACTGAGAACACTGCATTTATTCTAAAGCAGTGTCAGTTTCTGTCTAATGATATTTATCAACTCTAAGAAGTAAAGTTATGGGTCTCTTTATATTTTTCCCTCCAATGGAAGAGAAAAAAGGACAATGTCTGAAGTTTCCATAAAAAGCTACCAATGGTAATGGAGGTCAGAGGTTAGAAATGTAAGTATGCATTGCCATGGTGATGGAGTTAGCATTGTTATGAGCTTGTTTTATTTATGGTTAGCTATTTCTGTCAGTTTTGTTTCATCACCTTTGTTTTTTCTCAAATTACAAAACAATTAAAGAATTTGGCAAGGAAAATGAGCCAGATGTAACAGTTTCCTCTTACATCTCTTAATAGAAGCAAACATGCTGTAATGAGATTTCTTTTTCCTTCCATCAGAATTGCACCCTCCCGCAAGTTCTCAGCTGCAGAGCAGTAACAAAGCCCCTTGAAAGCAGAAAAGCCCTTACTTTCGATGGCATGTAATTAAATTTAAGTAATGTTACATCAGCTGGTTGAAGAGGGAAATCTGGAAAGAAAATCTTCTAATTTCTGAAATTTACTCCAAGCAACACCCAGAAATTCGGCTAAGTGTTGACATGAGGTTTCCATATGATGATGGCATTAATGCACCTGTAGGCTATGTTTATGTGGCAATGAAGGAGGCTCAAGAAATTCATAAAACTGGAAGCTATGTAATAGAAAACAGTTTAAAATTCAGATTCAGATGGAATTTACAACCCGTTAGTAAGGTAATATTGGATAATTGTTAGTGTTTAGGATGAGACTTCTTATTTTTCCCTCACCCTCTATGTTCTAGGCAAATGAAATTTACTGAAGATAATTTTAATAAGAAACACTATAGTGTGGTAAAATGGTTACGAACAGTGGCTTTAGAGTTAGACAAACTTCTGTCCATTCAAATCTGTGTCCTGCCTGTGTTTTTTTTGGATCAAATTAGGTAAGTCAGTTTATATATTTGATCTTCAGTTTTCTCACCCAAAAGACAGATGTGGGATGATTAAGTCAGTAACTATTGACGACATTATTAGGTTGAAATGGTCCAATGAATGTAAAGCTCTTACCTTGGCATATATAATATACTCAATAATTGCTACTATTGTAATTATTTATTAGGCATTGACATTCAGTAACCTCATCAATTAGAATTCATTCCAAGGGGAAAAAAATGCACAGATACAATCAGTCTTAATGAAGGATATGATTGAATTCAAAAATATGGAGAGACGTACCTTTCTATAATTCCCACCTCCACACAGAGCATATCACTCTTCCATTAACAGGATTTGATTCTTCTACATTACAGGGCTTTGGAAGTCATTTCCTAACCCTAGCCCTCAGGTTTCCCTATCTGTAATTTATGCAGTCAGAGTAGATGCCCTCTGAGGACCCTTCCAGGTCTGGCTTTCTGTCCTCCCAGCAGATTCTCTGAGCAGATTCCAAGCCATTTTTGAAGCCATGACTAGAAATAATCATCATTGCCTGAATAAATTAAAAATAACGAGTGGCTCTTCATTTGAAAGAATTAACCAGTGAAACCATAGCAAAAGACTGGCTGAAATGTATGCAACTTTGTGTTAGCCCTATAAGCAACGCAGTGAAACTCATAGAGAGGTTTCTCTGATGATTCAGGCTCTGATTATCTGTTTTTGATTAGTTTGAAACATAGATCAGAACTGTTCCTGTTAGGGTGGCGGCCAGTGTCACCTGCTTTTCTGAAGGTAGAAATAATCAACCTAATGGTGTTGAATAGACTTAAGTGGTTTTTCAGTGTCTGAGTGGGTTACTCAGGTCACTCCTTCCAGTAAGAGTATAATCTGCAAATGGACCAATTTTTGTTCTATATCACATAGTTAGGTTTTTTTTATTCTTTTTCATGTTTTAATGTGGTCTTATGGAAAGAAGGCTAAATTTAGAATCAGTAATTTGGGTTTAAATCCCAACTCTCACATTCATGATCTTGGATAAATTACTTTACTATTTCATTAAGTTTAAGCTGCTTTGTCTTTCAAATAAAGGTAGTCTTCCTTATATTAAAGGATCACCGTGAAGATTAAATAAGAGAACTCATGCAGAGCCCTCAGGCACATGTATTGTACAAGGAGGACACTGAATAAATAAACAAATGACTCTTCATATATTCTTTTATTAAACAAATATTTACTGAACACTTATAATGTACCAGGTACTGTTTTAGCTACTTGGGAGACATTAAAGACAAAAATAGACCAAGATTCTGTACCTATGGAGCTTAATTTCTAGTGAGGAAAATGGGCAATAAACAATAACCATAGCAAAGTAAGTAAATTATGTAATATGCAAAGATAGTTACTGTGTGTGGGAAGAAAGAAAAGTGTAGCATATTATACAGGATATGAAGGGCCCGGGTGAGTTTGGGGAAGGTTATAGAATGGAGAGTGGTCATAATGGGTCTCTTGAGCAGTGGCCATTTAAGCAAGCACATGAAGGTGGTAAGGAGATAACAAAATGAGGGTATTTCCTGGAAGACATATCCTGGCCAAAGTGAAAGGCAAGAGCATCTTGTCACATTGAGGCACAGCCTGAAGGCCAATGTGACTGAAGTGGAATGACCCAGGGGACTGCAGCAAGAGATAGTCAGGCAGGTGGCGTGGACCTCCTAGGGTCTCAAACGCAATTGTGAAGGTGTTAGTTTTCACTCTGAGGAAAAGGGAGACATCAAAAAATTTTGAGGAGAGGAAACGCAGTATTTGACTTATATATATATATTTTAAAATGACCATTCAATTTGCTGTTTTAGGGCAACAGTGGGGCTGGGAGCTGAGAGAGGCCATTGCAGAAATCCAGGTAACAGGCGATGGTGGTCTGAGCCATGAGGTGGTAAGGAGTAATCAGATGCTGAATACAGTTTAAAGGTCTTTAACCTTTATGTAGTTAAATATATACATATAATAATTTATATTCTTATACATATTTTATATACTTAAATATAACTTAAATTATATTTAAAGACCTTTAAATTACCTTCCATTTTTTGGATTATAGTAACAATATTTACCTAATTAAATTAAGAAACCAATTAACAAGTATATAGTGATGATAGATTGTTATTATTATTATTATTTTGAGACGGAGTTTTGCTCTTGTTGCCCAGGTTGGAGTGCAAAATCGCATGATCTCAGCTCACTGCATCCTCTGCCTCCCAGGTTCAAGCGATTCTCCTCCCTCAGCCTCCCCATTAGCTGGGATTACAGGCATGCCCACAACCTCACCTGGCAAATTTTTGTATTTTTAGTAGAGATGGGGTTTCACCATGTTGGCCAGGCTGGTCTTGATTTACTGACCTCAGGTGATCCACCCACCTCGGCCTCCCAAAGTGCTGGGATTACAGGCGTGAGACACCATGCCCAGCTGACAGACCATTATTAACACTCTTAAGTAGGCACTGTGCTAAGTACCCATCACCCTCATGAGATAGGTATAATCATTAACACTTTTTAACCGATAATTAGTCTGAGACACAGAGAGACCAAGGGAAATAACCAAGGTCCCATGGTATCTCAGTGGTAGAGCTGGGAGTCAGATCCTATGGGTCTGACGCTGGAGCTTTTCTGCGAGAAGGCAGTCTTCTACAATGTGAATAGCCATGTAAGGCCACACTCTGCCTTTCCCTCTTTTTCCCCCAAAGATAGTTCTTACTGTACACCCTCAAGTTCTTCAGACTAAATTACAGAGAGATTTGCCATACTTAGTCTCTTTCCTACCTGGAATCATTATCAAAGAATGAAGCAGCTACATGCATTGCTTAACGGAAGCTGTTTCCCCTTTGGGGGGATCAGTTGGTCAGTTCTGATCCAAAGAAAGTTCTTCCCTACTCCCTCAAGTTTTTCAATCTAAATTACAGAGAGATTTGCCTTACTCAGTCTCTTTCCTACCTGGAATCATTATCAAAGAATGAAGCAGTTACATACAATGCCTAATGAAAGCTGTTTCCCCTTTTGGGGGGATCAGTTGGTCAGTTCTGATCCAAAGAAAGTTCTTCCCCTACTCCCTCAAGTTCTTCAGACTAAATTACAGAGAGATTTGCCATACTTAATCTCTTTCCTATCTGGAATCATTATCAAAGGATGAAGCAGTGATGCTTAATGGTAGCTGTTTACCCTTTTGGGAAATCAGTCGGTCAGTTGGTTGGTGAATTTACTTATTGGAAAAAAATAAGGAATAAACAATTGTATCAAAACACTATTGTTTTTAGTTCTCCCAAGATCACCATAAATTTCTTAAAAATTTTTAATTGTGGGCCAGGCGCAGTGGCTCATGCCTGTAATCCCAGCACTTTGGGAGGCCGAGGCAGGCTGATCACAAGGTCAGGAGATCAAGACCATCTTGGCTAACATGGTGAAACCTCGTCTCTACTAAAAATACAAAAAAATTAGCCGGGCTTGGTGGCAGGTGCCTGTAGTCTCAGCTACTCGGGAGGCTGAGGCAGGAGAATGGCATGAACCCGGGAGGCGGAGCTTGCAGTGAGCTGAGATCATGCCACTGCACTCCAGCCTGGGCGACAGAGCAAGACTCCATCTCAAAACAAAACAAAACAAAACAATTTAATTTACGTTATGTAAATTATACATAATGTAAAACTGAATCATCTTAACCATTTTTAAGTATGTAGTTGAGTGGCATTAAGTACGCTCAGTGTTCAATGTCACCATCATCTCTCCACAGAACTCTTTTCATCTTGTGAAACAAACTCTGTGCCCATTAAAAAATAACTCCCCATTCCCTATTTCCCCCAGCCCCTAGCAACCCCCATTCTGCTTTCTATTTCTATGAATGTGACCATTTTAGGTGCCTTATGTAAATGGAATCATGTAGTTTTCATCATTTTTTTGGCTGGCCTATTTCAGTTAACATAATGTCCTCAAAGGTTCTTCCATGATGTAGCATGTGTCATAATTTCCTTATTTTTTTAAGACTGAATAATATTCCTTTGTACATATACACCACATGTTGTTTATCCATTCATCTGTTGATAAAACAGATTTTAACAATCTTGTAGCACATTGACTTAACAGCTTGAATTTTAGAAGTCACATCATCTTAGAGATTCAAAGTCAGAAAGTCTCTTATTTGCTCCTAGCCTGTAAACAAGGATAGATCTGAAAGATCAGAGACTTAGCAACTGACTTATTTAAATTAACAGGACAGTCTCACAGTTCCCAGGACATAAATTTCTATTGACTTTTATTTCATAAAATCATAAATGTGGAGCATTTCTCCCTGTACATTATCATCTCATGTATAATGTTTCATTTGTCTTAATCATTTTGTTTGCACAATTTGCTTATTTGGGTTGTATTTAGGTTTTATGAAATGTTAGTTTCCACAGTAAGTAATAGATTTCTTGAAATATTAGCCTTAGGGAAATGTGATTTGACAGTTCTTCAAAGAATGTGTAAAATTAATTATAAGTGAAAGTCATTTCAATTTCAGTAATATTTTTTTAAAAACCTGCCAGCCCTAGATTATTCTCTTTCAACTCATATCATAGACCTGTCCATCATTATGGTCCTACACATGCCTATTGACCAAATTACATAAATCAAAGTAATTGTTCACTACAATTAATCTTTTGGGGGGATTTATTCATATTTTATTTTAAAATAAAATTTGCATAAATTCAGTTTTTTTATTATACTTTAAGTTCTGGGATACATGTACAGAACGTGCAGGTTTGTTACAAAGGTATATACGTGCCATGGTGGTTTGCTGCACCCATCAGCCCGTCATCTACATTAGGTATTTCTCCTAATGCTATCCCTCCCCTAGCCCCCCACCCACCGACAGGACCCCGTGTGTGATGTTCCCCTTCCTGTGTCCATGTGTTCTCATAGTTCAACTCCCACTTATGAGTGAGAACATGCAGTGTTTGGTTTTCTGTTTCTGTGTTAGCTTGCTGAGAATGATGGTTTCCAGCTTCATCAATGTCCCTGCAAATGACATGACCTCATCCTTTTTTATGGCTGCCTTGTATTCCATAGTGTATTATGTGCCACATTTTCTTTATCCAGTCTACCACTGATGGGCATTTGAGTTAGTTCCAAGTCTTTGCTATTGTGAATACTGCTGCAATAAACATACGTGTGCATGTGTCAAAAAGTGGCCAAAGGATATGAACAGACACTTCACAAAAGAAGACATTTATGTGGCCAAGAAACATGAAAAAAAGCTCAGCATCACTGGTCATTAGAGAAATGCAAATCAAAACCACAATGAGATAACATCTCATACCAGTTAAAATGGCGATCATTAAAGCAGGTGCTGGAGAGGATGTGGAGAAATAGGAACATTTTTACACTGTTGGTGAGAGTGTAAATAAATTCAATTTTTTAAAAAAACATGTCTACCAAAATAAAGATATTGCCGGCATTTATTTAACTTCTGAAAGTTACTCATGTGGCTTATTTTACCTGTTTTAGATGGCATGCTATTTTAATATTGCAATAAGATCACACCAGTTTTAAAGGCCCCAGCATGTCATCAAATCCCTGGGTTAGAAGAAACATTAAAACTTAACCCCATGCTAACTTGAGCTGAATCTACTTAGCAGTCTGTGGTCTTCCATCCTTTACTTGAATGCCCTGTCACCTGCTTTCCCAAAAGTTAGTCATCTTTGTACCCCTGGCATGATTTAAGGTATAACTGTGTCCCTTCCTTAATAATATTTATTTAATATGTTCCTGTTAATAAACCCCTGTTTTTCTTTGATAATCTAAAAGAGAAATATAACACTATTCTAAGTGAAAAAATCAACATGACTTTCCATGAATACATGACAGATATAAAAATAAATAATGATATATTAAAATTAAGACTGTTTCTCCCTTTGATAAAAATGTAAATGTGAAGGTGTTACAGAGATATTAATGTCATCATAGACCTAAAATGAGACATTATCTTTAATATAATCAAAAATATTAAAAAGGAAATTGAAAGGAAAATGACCTTCTCGTACATAATGCCAAGCATTATGATACCTGAAACCATCTTACATACTAGTGAGTTCTAATCTTTGGGGAACATAGCTTCTTCTTCTCATTGCATCCTTTGAACAGCTTAGCTGTTAGAAAGTCCTCTTCTCATTAAGTTGACATCTGTCTATATCCATTAAGTATCCACAAATGATCCTATACTTCAGAGCCATTCAGAGCAAGTTTGATCTCTTGAACAAGATCCATGACAGTTTTTTGGATACTTTGAAATATTTTCTCTTGGTTAAACTCCCTCAGTTCTTCCCATTTTTCCTCATATGAAATAATTCTTTAGTAGTACTCACCTACTTTCTGCTTTTCAATATATTTACTACCTTTCTCAGTTAGTATTCTCCAGAGAAAGAGAACCAATAGAGTGTGGAGGGGGTGAATGGATGGATGGATGGATGGATGAATTAATGGGGGAAGGAGAGAGGGAGGGAGTGAGGCAGGGAGGGAGGGAGGGATGGATAGATAAATAGATAGATAGATAGATAGATAGATAGATAGATAGATAGATAGATAGATAGATGGTAGCTCATGTGATTATGGAGGCTGGCAAGTTCAAGATATGCAGGGTGAGCCAGCAGGCTGGAGGCCTTAGGAAGAGCCATTGTCCAGTTCATGTCTAAAGGCCATCTGCTGAGGAGTTTCCTTTTGCCCAGGGAAGGTCAGCCTTCGTCCTGTTTAGGCCTTCAACTGAATCTATGAGGCCTACCCATATTATGGAGAGCAATCTGCTTTACCCAGAGTCCACTACTTTAGATGTAAATCTCACCCAAAAATATGCTCATAATTGACAACGTGAGCTCAGAATAGTTAAGTGATTTGTCTAATGCATACTTTGCAGCTTCTTAGAATGTAGTAGACTCCTGCATATTAAAAATATAATAATCTCCAAAAAAGTTGAACAAAGCAACCCAAAGATTGTGGTCAGTCCGTGATGGATGCGGGATGATGACAGTGATATGATCTTTATTATTGGCCATGTCAACAACAGTGGCTAACATGATATTGAGAGTGTGCTTTCTGCTAGGCACAGTTCTCATTGCTTTTCTGATATTATGTCATCCTCATATTACCCTGTAAGTTAGGTTCTACTTTTATTTATTTTGAATGGATCCAGAACCTGAATGATAGAAGAATTAAGTAACTTGTCCAGGTTTATATGGAGCTTCTAAGAGGTAGGGATAAGACTCAAACTCAGGGGCTGGGTGTGGTGGCTCACTCCTATAATCCCAGCACTTTAGGAGGCTGAGGCAGGCAGATCACTTAAGGTCAGGATCACAGCCTGGCCAACATGGTGAAACCTCTTCTCTACTAAAAATACAGAAATTAGCCGGGCATGGTGATGTGCACCTGTAGTCTCAGCTACTCAGGAGGCTGAGGCAGGAGAATCGCTTGAACCCGGGAGGCAGAGGTAGTGAGCCAATATCGTGCCACTGCACTCCAGCCTGGGCAACAAAGCAAGACTCCATCTCAAATAAATAAATAAATAAAGACTCAGGTAGCTGTAACCACTAAATGGTCCTAATCCCTACTCTTCCCCCCATTGAAAGCACTGGCTGCAGAATGTAACCGACGGCCATAAAGTCTGGAAATGTAGGTGCCTAGTTGACTTATTGGATCATATTAGGTGGCTAATTGATGTCCTAGTGACTGGCTAGCAAGTCACTCAGAGTGGCTACAACAGAATGGCATACTGTCCACACACTGTTGATTGATAATTTCTAAAGCCTGAATTGGGCCATGTGCACTTGTACAGTGGGCTAACATGTGTGCCAGATCCAAACTCTTCTGACATGCTAAAAGTGCAGATTTGCTTAGTGAATGTCAGAGGCAAGAATCACCTGGGACAGTGCATCATAGATATAAGTTCAAGGATAAGGGAAATGCATTAATGAACCACATTTGTTTCAGTTTCTCACAGTTCATTGAACTACGCATTGCTAATGAGGAACAACAGAGTGAACATATTATGTAATATCACTGATCATATCACGTACTGTAATAGAATACCATGAAATCATTATTATGTATGTACACCAATATTACAGAATTCATGGCCATACAGTAGTCACCATCTTGGTTTTCACCTTTTTCAATATCTTTCTTTAAAGTGTAGGGTCTGGATCTGAACATTGTATTCCAGATGTGCTCTTACTGTAGTGGGTAAAGCAGGACCATCCTCCCCTCTTCTAGGTACCACAGTCTAAAAGCTTTCTGGCAGTCAGCGAACTCAGCGAACTCATATTGGCTTTGATATTTATTCATGTGAAAAATATTTTTGTACCCACCATGTACGAGACACTTGTATGCACTGGGGATGCATGGGTAAACAAAAGAAAGTCCCTGCCTCATTGATCTTTTATTATACTAGGAGGAGACAGACAAAAAAAAATAGACAATCAGCCGGGCATGGTAGCACACGCCTGTAATCCCAGCACTTTGGGAGGCCGAGGCAGGCGGATCACCTGAGGTGAGGAGTTCAAGACCAGCCTGGCCAACATGGTGAAACCCTGTCTCTACTAAAAATACAAAAATTAGCCAGGCATGGTGGCATGCACCTGTATTCCCAACTACTCAGGAGACTGAGGCAGGAGAATCGCTTGAACTTCGGAGGCAGAGGTTGCAGTGAGCCAAGATCGCCCCACTGCACTCCAGCCTGGGCGACAGAGTGCATATTGATTTTTTGAGACCCTGTCTCAAAAAAAAAAAAAATAGACAATCAGACTTATAATAAAATTCTAAGCCATGCTAAGTGAAATGTGGAAAGAGAGAGCAAGAGTAAGAGGATGGAGAGTAAAGAGGCTACTGTGTTAGGCAAGGAGGTCAAGGCAACCAGGTGGATATGGAGGACAGAGGGAGGCACTTCCAGGCACAGAGAAAAAGAAGTACAAATTCCTGTAGGCAGGAAGGTATGTGGATTGTTTGAAGAACAGAAAGAGGCCAATCCTGCTGGAGTAGTAATAATATGGAGAAACCCAGTAAGAAAGAAAAATATTGAGGAGGTAGTAGCAGACCGGATCATGTAGGATCTTGTAGTTAGGAGTTTGAATTTAAGCCTAGCTGTGACAAAAAGCCATTGAAGGATTTTTTTCCCCCATGAGAGTGACATAATCTGTGTTGAATTTGAAAAGGATTACCTGACTGCTCTGAGGATAATAGAATTTAGGAGGGCAAGAGTAGAAGCAGGAAAATCAATATGGACTAAAACAGCTATGTTTACATTTCCAAGATATGTTCATTTTTAATTATCTTTTTAATTTGATTTATAATTTAATGGCACTAAAGTCAGAAAATGTATTCTGTGTGGCACTGTTGTTTGGCATTTCTTTGTGAACTAGGACATTATTTTTGCAAATGGTTTAGTATAATTGAAAATAACGTAGATTCTCAATTTCTTGGGTGCAGAGCTCTACACATCCATTAGTTCAAACTAGTTAAATATGAGCATTCAGGGTGTCCACATTCTTGCTATTATTTGGTCAGCAGAATCTATCATTTTCTAATAGATTTTTGTTAAAATTTAATGCTAGCATTTGCTAAATTTCCTTCATACTTCTGACAACTTTTAATTAATGTGTTTTAAGCTACATTGATAGATACATACCTAGTCATGATTTATAGCTTCCAGTCATATTTTGTTGTTTTTATATGCAGTCTCTGTGGAGTACATGAATGCTTTTTGCCTTAAATACTGTTTTGTCTAATACTAATTTTGATACCCAGCTTTCTTTTTAACTTTTAAGTTCAGGGGTACATGCACAGCATGTGCAGATTTGTTACATAGGTAAATGTATGTCATGAGGGTTTATTGTACAGGTTATTTCATCACCCAGGTATTAAACCTATTAATAGTATCCATGAGTTATCTTTCCTGATCCTTTCCTTCCTCCCACCCTCCACCCTCTGATAGGCCCCAGTGGGTGGTGTTCCCCAGCTTTCTCTTAGTAAGACTTTGCCTAGGGTGTCTTTTGCCATATCTTTATTTCTAGCCTTTCTATATTGTTTTGCTTTAAATATCTCTTTTATAAGTAGTATTTACTTGCAATTTTGTACATGTTATGGATATTTTCTATTCCTACTATCTTGGTTTGTATTTCTTCTCTACCATTCTCTTTCTTTTCATCTTTTTTGTTTTTTGTTTCATTTTGTTTTTGTTGAGACAGAGCCTTGCTCTGTCGCCCAGCCTGGAGTGCAGTGGCTCAATCTCAGCTCACTGCCACTCTGCCTCCAGGGTTCAAGTGATTCTCCTGCCACAGCCTCCTGAGTAGCTGGGATTACAGGTGTGTGCTATCGCACCCAGCTAATTATTGTATTTTTAGTAGAGATGGGGTTTCATGATGTTGGCCAGGCTGGTCTTTAACTCCTGACCTCAAGTGATCCGCCTGCCTGGGCCTCCCAAAGTGCTGGGATGACAGGATGTGAGCCACTGTGCCTGGCCCTTCTTTTCTCCTTTTTAAACATATTTTTTTTGGTCTTTCTTTCTGGCAGTTTCTTTTTTATTCCCTCTCTTTATGTTCTACTGGCTTATTAAGTATTTATATTCTCTCTCTTAGATATGATATAGGGATCAGTCTGCTTTAACTGTCCAGTAACCTCTATAGCACCCTTTCCTCTCTCTCCCCCTGAATGTATAAACCTTGCAGCAGTGAGCTTCACTGCTGTCTCATCTCTTTGAGAACTCTTAAGGTCCCCTCTAATTCACTTGAGCTAAGCACACAATCACAGTCTCCGTGGCCTGCTTCTAGATCCTTATGCCAGCAAGCCTTTGGCTACAGCCTTCATGGTAGTTAGTATTTCTGCTTCTGGTCCACAAAGATGATAATCCCCCAAAACTGTTTTACTGTGGTAAAATACACATGATATAAAATTTACCATGTTAACTGAAGTGTATAATTCAGTGGCATCGAGTACATTTATAATGTTGCACAACCATCACCATCATCTAGTTCCATGATGCTTTTTATTACCCCAAACAGAAACGCCATATCCATTCAGCAATCACTTTTATCTCTTTCTCCAGCTCCTGGCAACTGCTAATCTACTTTCTTGTGGAATTGCCTACTCTGGATATTTCAGATAAATAGTATCATATAGTATGTGGCTTTTGTGTATAGTTCCTTTGACTTAGTGTAATGTTTGCAAGGTTCATCCATGCTGTAGCATGTATCATACCTCATTTTTGCAGGGGAATAATATTCCACAGTATGGATATATCACATTTTGCTTATTCATTAATCTATTATTGGGCATTTGTATTGTTTCCGCCCTTTGATTATTATGAATAGTGCTACTATGAGCATTTGTGTACAAGTTTTTGTTTGAATATCTGTTTCCAATTCTTTCTGGTATATACTTAGGAGTAGAGTTGCTGAGTAATATGGGAATTCCACGCTTAACTTATTGAGGAACTGACAAGCTGTTTTTCATAGCAGTCGCACCCTTTTACATTCCCACCAGCAGTGTATGAGGGTTCCAGTTTCTCTACATTCTTGCCAATATATGTTATTTTCTGTTTTTTTTCTATTATAATTATTCTAGTGGGTGTGAAGAATTACCCAATTTTTAGCCTCATTTTAACTTACCGGGTTTCCATTTGTTGTTGTTGTTGTTAGCCTAACATTGCTGTGGGCTTGGAGCAAAAGAGTCAATCAAAACATGACCTGATCTCTCCAACCTGAAGTCTTTTATCAATTCTGGCCATATTTCTTAAGTAGACAATTGAATGAAGCACCCATAAGCCAAAGTATCTGATCATATAGCCATTACTTTTCAAAGAGTGTGAAAGGAGATATTCTCTTTGTGGGACAGATAGACACATACTAATTGAAGCAATCAAAGGTTGCTTCAAAAAATTTCCTCTTTTGACATCACCCCTTTCCAACCAAACTAATATAATGTAGACATTAGCTAGTTAAGTGAGGAGAGTGGAGAATATATGTGCTTTTCCTGTGAGAATTGACCTTCCTCAAAGGATTAGTGACGACTACAAAATCACTCCTCTTGTCTCTCTTTTGACCTGTCCACAAAATTAGAAATTTTGACCAGCCAAGAAAGAAATTTAGGGTACACAAAAATAATTAAGAAATGTACATATTACCTGTATTTTTCAATGCTTCTTCAATAATGGTCATGTTTTTATGAATATTTTTGTATTTTATATTAATGATATTTATGATTATGAACATATTGTTTATTCATGACTTTTTATGATCATAAAAACAATACATGGTCATTTCTTTTCCCAATAAAAAAATTGGAAGCACATACTGTACTTCTTAAGAGCTTTACAGACTCAGCAGTCTTAGAGTATGAAGGTCTCAGCCTTGGATTTGGATAATGAGCCTGGGATCCAGGTCAGGTTCTGCATGACCTGAAGATTACTGCTTAACTTTTCTGTAAATCTGAGAATCACGTGGACACAAAGTTGCAACTACTTTGCCTCCGGTCATGAAATATTTTGTTTGAATACCCTCATTTTTGCCTGCCCTTCATGACTGCCCCACCCAGGTGAACCTGATTTAGGACCCCACATGGACTTAGTGTTTCATGTCCTAACTTTAATCAGCAGTTACTTAGCCTTTCTCCATTCTCCCCAAGCCTAGTTCTCTATGGCAGCTGGTGAAATTCATCCCTCCTCTCAGACTGGAAGGCTCACAGGTAAAGAACAGCATTGACTATGGAACCGTCAGACACCTTTTTGGTCAAGGTGCCTTCTTATGCATCCTGAATCATACCAGAGAGTCAGCTAGATACACATTCTATGAAGGGATCTCTTCTTGTTATTTTTTATTAATTTTTTTAGAGATGGGGGGTCTCACTCTATCACCCAGTCTGGAGTACAGTGGCCTGACCATAGCTCACTGTAACCTCAAACTCCTGGACTCAAGTGATCCTCTCAACTCTGCCTCCCCAGTAGTTAGGACTATAAGCACATGTCACCATGCCCAGCTAATTTTTTCTTTTTTGTAGAGACAGGATCTCACTATGTTGCCCGGGCTGGTCTCAAACTCCTAGCCTCAAGTGATCCTCCCTCCTTGGCCTCCCAGAGCATTGGGATTACAGACATGAGCCACTGCACCCATCCCCATCCTGTTCTTTAATACTAAATACTGTTAGCACATATTGAGTCCTCACCCTTTACTCGGCACTATGCTGCCTGTTTTGCATATATCGTCTTCTCACAGACACCTATGAGGCAATGCTATTCTCTCCCCCATACTTTATAGGTGGGGAAATGGAGATACAGCAATTAAGTTAAACACCTGCTTAGCTGGTGGATGGTCAGGTTCTAGTTCCAGCCTGTCTGCCTAAAGCCATGCTCTTAATCACTACATAGAAAGCAGAAACTGACCATATCCTAACATCACTGTCAGTTTGATGGAGCTGACAGAGCTTAGCAACCATCAGTGCCAAATTAACCCCCTATTTAAAAATATAAGTCCAGAGGTACAAACATGATGCTAAATTCCTTATACATGCTATTTAATCAATTTAGTTCTGTAAGGGAGGTACTGTTACTATCTCCATTTTGTACATTATTATCCCCATTTTCTAGCTAAAGAAACTAAGGCTGTGTAATCTAGGGTTACTGGTTCAGAAATAGCACAGCTAGGATGTTAATTCAGGGCTCTGTGCCTCCAAAGCCCTAATTAACCACAACAGCACACCACAAAGAAAGGCTCGAGTAACCCCAGGGTTAGTAGTCTGGGCTTTGGGTTTTTTTTCCCTGTGTTATTCTGATTTTTTAAGAGGTCATACCTCCTTCAAATCAGTCAGCATTAGACTAGGCATATTTCCTCTACAACAAATCAGATTGTATCTCTCCCATGACATAAGCCAGTCTCTATGTAGTTGTTTTTCTCTCCGTGTTAGTAATTCGAATCTCAACTTGCACTTCTCCCTGAAAGACTCACATTGACTTTATCCAAACTTTTCCTGAAAGAGGGGTTTTGACTCCCCAGAATGCCATGCACCATTCTGTGAAAGGTCAAAATCCAAAGCAACAGGGCCTCACTGATGGAGGGAGGAAAAATATGCAAAGAGAACCAAAGAATGTGTGGGGGCCAGCCACAAAGCCCAGACTTGTGCTCTCAGATCTGCGGGAGCTCTTGGCCACTGCAAGGCCAAGAACACCTTGCATGGAAGAGCCCTGTTTGCAAATGTGGCCAAAAGCCAGAGAAGTTTAGCCCACGGAGTTTCTGCAGCAAAGAGTGGGGTGGAACAGTCTTGTCTGTATTGCTATCTGTGCCATGAAATTAACCTTCCATGTGAAAAGCGTATCTTAATCTTGGTATCAGTCAAGTTTTAATGCTTTAATATTGGAATGTGATTGACTTCATGGGGAAGAGACAGCTGCCTCCTTGAACTGCAGGGTTCTCTCTGCTTACTGGCTTTCTCAGAAACCATGGTCAAGTCTCTCTCCCTATCTATGAAGAATTCCCTAACTGTCCAACCAGTGCTGAAGTCTTTTCTTCATCACAGGTCTTAAACTTACAGCTTAGACTACACATTCCACTGTAGTAGAACAAGCGGAAAGTGCTCAACTCTAGAGTGCTAGTCCTATCTTTGCAATTTACCAGTATGCAAGTCTGGGTAAGTTGTGCTCCACACTCAGCCTCAGTCTCCCCATGTATAAAATGGCAATTATACTTACTCACCAGGACTGTAGACATTAAGCCATCCAACAAGTTCTATTGAGAGTCCACCAGATGTGAGGATAGCTACGAAGCCCTTTCCTGGTTTTAAAGAGATAAACCATAGATAGCTAAGTCATAACTTGTATATATAAAGCAATCATTAAAGTAGCATTCCCTAAAATGGGTCCCATTAACATGTACTTTAAGCAAAAAAAAATATGATTAAATAAATTTTGGAGCGATTGGGTACACAAAGGTACACAAGTTATGTTGACATAGGACTTCTCAGAGCAAATAAAATACTAACATGGACTGTGCAACTAGAAGGTAGGGGAGAGTATATTGAATTGCCTAAACTATTTTACTCATAAAAATTTGGGAGCTCAAATTTTTTTAATACTTTAAGTTCTAGGGTACACGTGCACAACATGCAGGTTTGTTACATAGGTATACCTGTGCCATGTTGGTGTGCTGCACCCATTAACCTGTCATTTACATTAGGTATTTCTCTTAATGCTATTCCTCCCCCTGCCCCCCACCCCACAATAGACCCCGGGGTGTGATGTTCCCCTCCCTGTGTCCAAGTGTTCTCCTTGTTCATTTCCCACCTATGAGTGAGAACATGCGGTGTTTGGTTTTCTGTCCTTCTGATAGTTTGCTCAGAATGATGGTTTCCAGCTGCATCCATGTCCCTGCAAAGGACGTGAACTCATTCTTTTTCATGGCTACATAGTATTCCATGGTGTATATGTGCCACATTTTCTTCATCCAGTCTATCATTGATGGACATTTGGGTTGGTTCCAAGTCTTTGCTATTGTGAATAGTGCCGCAATAAACATACATGTGCGTGTGTCTTTATAGTAGCATGATTTATAATCCTTTCGGTATATACCCAGTAATAAGATCACTGAGTCAAACGGTATTTCTAGTTCTAGATCCTTGAGGAATTGCCACACTGTCTTCCACAATGGTTGAACTAGTTTACACTCCCACCAACAGTGTAAAAGCGTTCCTATTTCTCCACATCCTCTCCAGCACTTGTTGTTTCCCAATTTTATAATGATCGCCATTCTAACTGGTGTGAGATGGTATCTCATTGTGTTTTTTATTTGCATTTCTCTTATGACCAGTGATGATAAGCATTTTTTCATGTGTCTGTTGGCTGCATAAATGTCTTCTTTTGAAAAGTGTCTGTTCATATCCTTTGCCCACTTTTTGATGGGGTTTTTTTTTCTTGTAAATGTAAGTTCTTTGTACATTCTGGATATTAGCCTTTTGTTAGATGGGTAGATTGCAACAATTTTCTCCCATTCTGTAGGTTACCTGTTCACTCTGATGGTACTTTCTTTCGCTGTGCAGAAGCTCTTTAGTTTAATTTTTTTCCCATTTGTCTATTTTGGCTTTTGTTGCCATTGCTTTTGGTGTTTTAGACATGAAGTCCTTGCCCATGCCTATTTCCTGAATCGTATTGCCTAGGTTTTCTTCTAGGGTTTTTATGGTTTTAGGTCTAACATTTAAGTCTTTAATCCATCTTGAATTAATTTTTCTATAAAGTGTAAGGAAGGGATCCAGTTTCAGCTTTCTACATACGGCTAGCCAGTTTTCCCAGCACCATTTATTAAATAGGGAATCCTTTCCCCATTTCTTGTTTTTGTCAGGTTTGTCAAAGATCAGATGGTTGTAGATGTGTGGTGTGATTTCTGAGGGCTCTGTTCTGTTCCATTGGTCTATATCTCTGTTTTGGTACCATTACCATGCTATTTTGGTTGCTGTAGCCTTGTGGAATGGTTTGAAGTCAGGTAAAGTGATTCCTCCAGCTTTGTTCTTTTTGCTTAGGATTGTCTTGGCAATGAGGGCTATTTTATTTCCATATGAACTTTAAAGTAGTTTTTTCCAATTCTGTGAAGAAAGTCATTGGTATCTTGATGGGAATGGCATTGAATCTATAAACTACCTTGGGCAGTATGGCCATTTTCACAATATTTATCCTTCCTATCCATGAGCGTGGAATGTTCTTCCATTTGTTTGCATCCTCTTTTACTTCGTTGAGCAGTGGTTTGTAGTTCTCCTTGAAGAGGTCCTTCACATCCCTTGTAAATTGGATTTCTAGGTATTTTATTCCCTTTGTAGCAATTGTGAATGGGAGTTCACTCATGATTTGGCTCTGTGTTTGTCTATTATTGGTGTATAGGAATGCTTGTGATTTTTGCTCATTAATTTTGTATCCTGAGACTTTGCTGAAGTTGCTTATCAGCTTAAGGAGATTTTGGGCTGAGGCAATGGGGTTTTCTAAATATACAATCATGTCATCTGCAAACAGGGACAAGTTGACTTCCTCTTTTCCTAATTGAATACCCTTTATTTCTTTCTCTTCCTGATTGCCCTGGCCAGAACTTGCAACACTATGTTGAATAGGAGTGGTGAGAGAGGGCATCCCTGTTTTGTGCCAGTTTTCAAAGGATGCTTCCAGTTTTTGCCCATTTAGTATGATATTGGCTGTAGGTTTGTCATAAATAGCTCTTATTATTTTGAGATATGTCCCATCAATACCTAGTTTATTGAGAGTTTTTAGCATGAAGGGCTGTTGAATTTTGTCAAAGGCTTTTCCTGCATCTATTGAGATAATCATGTGGTTTTTGTTGTTGGTTCTGTTTATGTGATGGGTTACATTTATTGATTTGCATATGTTGAACCAGCCTTGCATCCCAGGAATGAAGCCACTTGATCATGGTGGATAAGCTTTTCGATGTGCTGCTGGATTCGATTTGCCAGTATTTTATTGAGGATTTTTGCATCGATGTTCATCAGGGATATTGGTCTAAAATTCTCTTTTTTTTGTAGTGTCTCTGCCAGGCTTTGATATCAGGATGATGCTGGCCTCATCAAATGAGTTAGGGAGGATTCCCTCTTTTTCTATTGATTGGAATAGTTTCAGAAGGAATGGTACCAGCTCCTCTTTGTACCTCTGGAAGAATTCAGCTGTGAATCCATCTGGTCCTGGACTTCTTTTGGTTGGTAGGCTATTAATTATTACCTCAATTTCAGAGCCTGTTATTGGTCTATTCAGAGATTCAACTTCTTCCTGGCTTAGTCTTGGGAGGTTGTATGTGTCTAGGAATTTATCCACTTCTTCTAGATTTTCTGGTTTATTTGTGTAGAAGTGTTTATAGTATTCTCTGATGGTAGTTTGTATTTCTGTGGGATTGGTGGTGATATCCCCATTATCATGTTTTATTGCATCTATTTGAGTCTTCTCTCTTTTCTTCTGTATTAGTCTTGCTAGTGGTCTATCAATTTTGTTGATCTTTTCAAAAAACCAGCTCCTGGATTCATTGATTCTTTTGAAGGGTTTTTTGTGTCTCTATGTCCTTCAGTTCTGCTCTGATCTTAGTTATTTCTTGCCTTCTGCTAACTTTTGAATGTGTTTGCTCTTCTCTAGTTCTTTTCATTGTGGTGTTAGGGTGTCGATTTTAGATCTTTCCTGCTTTTTCTTGTGGGCATTTAGTGCTATAAATTTCCCTCTACACATTGCTTTAAATGTGTCCCAGAGATTCTGGTATGTTGTGTCTTTGTTCTCATTGGTTTCAAAGAACATCCTTATTTCTGCCTTCATTTCGTGATGTACCCAGTAGTCATTCAGGAGCAGGTTGTTCAGTTTCCATGTAGTTGAGTGGTTTTGAGTGTGTTTCTTAATCCTGAGTTCTAATTTGATTGCACTGTGATCTGAGAGATAGTTTGTTGTGATTTCTGCTCTTTTACATTTGCTGAGGAATGCTTTATTTCCAATTATGTGGTCAATTTTGGAAGAAGTGTGATGTGGTCCTGAGAAGAATGTATATTCTGTTGATTTGGGGTGGAGAGTTCTGCAGGTCTCTTTCAGGTCCACTTGGTGCAGAGCTGAGTTCAAGTCCTGGATATCATTGTTAACCTTCTGTCTCGTTGATCTGTCTAATATTGACAGTGGGGTGTTAAAGTATCCCATTATTATTGTGTGGGAGTCTAATTCTCTTTGTAGGTCTCTAAGGACTTGCTTTATGAATCTGGGTGCTCCTGTATTGGGTGCATATATATTTAGGATAGTTAGCTCCTCTTATTGACTTGATCCCTTTACCATTATGTAATGACCTTCTTTGTCTCTTTTATTCTTTGTTGGTTTAAAGTCTGTTTTATCAGAGACTAGGATTGCAACTCCTGCTATTTTTTTGTTTTCCATTTGCTTGGTAGATCTTCCTCCATCCCCTTATTTTGAGCCTATGTGTGTCTGTGCACGTGAGGTGGGTCTCCTGAATACAGCACACTGATGGGTCTTGACTCTTTATCCAATTTGCCAGTCTGTGTCTTTTAACTGGGGAATTTAGCCCATTTACATTTAAGGTTAATATTGTTATGTGTGAATTTGATCCTGTGATTATGATTTTAGCTGGATATTTTGCCCTTTAGTTGATGCAGTTTCTTCCTAGCATTGATGGTCTTTACAATTTGGCATGTTTTTGCAGTGGCTGGTACAGGTTGTTCCTTTCCATGTTTAGTGCTTCCTTCAGGAGCTCTTGTAAGGCAGGCCTGGTGGTGACAAAATCTCTCAGTATTTGCTTGTCTGTAAAGGATTTTATTTCTCCTTCACTTATGAAGCTTATTTCGGCTGAATATGAAATTCTGGGTTGAAAACTCTTTTCTTTAAGAATGCTGAATATTGTCCCCCACTCTCTACTGGCTTGCAGATCTTCTGCTGAGAGATCCTCTGTTAGTCTGTTGGGCTTCCCTTTGTGGGTAACCCAACCGTTCTCTTTGGCTGCCTTTAACATTTTTCCTTCATTTCAACCTTGGTGAGTCTGACAATTATGTGTCTTGGGGTTGTTCTTCTTGAGGAGTATCTTTGTGGTGTTCTCTGTATTTACTGAATTCTAATGTTGGCCTGCTTTGCTAGGTTGGGGAACACTCCGAAGAGTGTTTTCCAACTTGGTTCCATTCTCCCAGTCACTTTCAGGTACACCAATGAAACGTAGATTTGGTCTTTTCACATGGTCTGATATTTCTTGGAGGCTTTGTTCGTTTCTCTTTACTCTTTTTTCTCTAAACTTCTCTTCTTGCTTATTTCATTAATTTGATCTTCAATCACTGATAACCTTTTCTTCTACTTGATTGAATCAGCTATTGAAGCTTGTGCATGCATCACATAGTTCTAGTGCCATGGTTTTCAGCTCCATCAGGTCATTTAAGCTCTTCTCTACACTATTTATTCTAGTTAGCCATTCATCTAATCTTTTTTCAAGGTTTTTAGCTTCCTTGTGATGGGTTCGAACATCCTCCTATAGCTCGGAGATGTTTGTTATTACCAACCTTCTGAAGCCTACTTCTGTCAGCTCTTTAAAGTCATTCTCCATCCCACTTTTTTCCGTTGCTGGTGAGGAGCTGCTATCCTTTGGAGGAGAAGAGGTGCTCTGATTTTTAGAATTTTCAGCTTTTCTCCTCCGGTTTCTCCTCATCTTTGTGGTTTTGTCTATCTTTGGTCTTTGATGTTGGTGACCTTCAGATGGGGTTTTGGTGTGGATGTCCTTTTTGTTGATGTTGATGCTATTCCTTTCTGTTTGTTAGTTTTCCTTCTGTCACGTCCCTCAGCTGCAGGTCTTTTGGAGTTTGCTGGAGGTCCACTCCAGACCCTGTTTGCCTGAGTATCGCCAGCGGAGGCTGCAGAACAGCAAATATTGCAGAACAGCAAATATTGCTGCCTGATCCTTCTTCTGGAAGCTTCATCCCAGAGGGGCACCTGCCTGTATGAGGTGTTAGTTGGCCCCTACTGGGAGGTGTCTCCCAGTTAGGCTACATGGGGTTCAGGGGCCCACTAGAGGAGGCAGTCTGTCCATTCTCCAAGCCCAAACGCTGTGCTGGGAGAACCGCTGCTCTCTTCAGAGCTGTCAGACAGGGACGTTTAAGTCTGCAAAAGTTTCTGCTGCCTTTTTTTCAGCTATACCCTGCCCCCTGAGTTGGAGTCTACAGAGGCAGCAGGCCTGGCTGAGCTGCATTGAGCTCTGTCAGGTTCAAGCTTCCCTGGGCGCTTTGTTTACCTACTCAAGCCTCAGCAATGGTGGATGCCCCACCCCCTGCCAGGCTGCTGCCTCGCAGGTTGATCTCAGACTGCTGCGCTAGCAGTGAGCAAGGCTCTGTGGGTGTGGGACCTGCTGAACTAGGCATGGGATATAACCTCCCGGTGTGCCATTTGCTAAGACCATTGGAAAAGTGCAGTATTTGGATGGGAGGGTCCTGTTTTTCCAGGTACCATCTGAAATGGCTTCCCTTGGCTAGGAAAGAGAAATTCCCCAACCTCCTGTGCTTCCCTGGTGAGGCGATGCCCTGCCCTGCTTCAGCTCACCCTCCATAGGCTGCACCCACTGTCCAACCAGTCCCAGTGAGATTAACCAGGTACCTCAGTTGGAAATGCAGAAATCACCCTCTTCTGCATCAATCATGCTGGGAGATGCAGACCAGAGCTGTTCCTATTCAGCCGTCTTGGAATGGACCTGGGGGCTCAATTTTTTTTTAATTTATTTTTTAAGAATGGCTATTTATATATTATGGGAAAGTTTTTTATAGAGCACTGGAAAATGCTAGCAAGAAGGCTCAGGCTGTTGGAAGAAATGTTGTTTTGTATGTTGTGAAGATGAAATTGTAACCTTGGAAACATAGAAGAGTGCATTGTTCATTGTCAAGTGCCACCTTTCCAGCCTATCTCTGATCTCATACGGGTTTGGGGTTGTTACATGAGTGTTAATTTTGTCTTTCTAAATGCAGAACAAAGATCTAGTACCTTTTGTACTGCTCTTTTATAGTTCCCAGTACTGTGATGGGTGCATAAAAGGGCAACCAATTGAGCTCTAGCATTCCTGTCCACAGCCATGTAAGGATAAAACATCTGCCTCTTTACACACCCAAAAGCAATCTCTGTGACATCTGCACTCCCACAGAGCTGAATCCAGGTTACACTCCGTTGCTTTGGGCTCTTGGGTTGGATATTGAGGAAGTCATTCTTAGCCAAGGCATCCCAGTTAACCCTCTTATCTGACCTCACCCCTAAAGAAAATATATCAGTATTTTTTTTCTCCTATGCAGTTTGCTACATTTCAGGAAGCTTGACTAGCAAATTAGAATTAAAACTTAATTTTATGTCTCCTTCTGATTTCCTTATCCCTAGATCTAAGTATGTAATTCAAGCCCGTCTCCCCACTATCCTTTGGACACACACAGACGCACACAGGTGCATGCATGCACGCATGTGCACGCGCACACACACACACACACACAAACACACACAGTAGGAGAACCACTGATTTTTCACTTCCTGAGAAGCTTCTTTGAATTCTTTGTAACCTTCAAACTATGAGAGATTTGCCTTGAGATATTACCTTTAAGTTAACAATTGTGTTTTAATATGTCTACCCTCTTATAGGATCCCCACTGATGATGTCTAGAGAGCAGAAAGCAAATTTTAAGCTGCCAGAAAGAGTCAACATGGAAATGCACAGAATTTTGTGAGAGTTGACAGCTGAGATAGTGTAATTATGAACATTTTCATAAAGGAGATTTTAGTATACAGTGGAAGGCACAGAGGAACTTAAAAGACATGATGTAGGATTGAAGGCAATGCCAACTGTGCACCCTAATACATCAGACTCCTAGGCATTTCACACTTAACATTTCCAAAGCTGAACCTTCAAGCCCCAAACCTCTCACCTACCAAACTCTGCCTTCAAATATTCACTCCCTTACCTCCTGCCCTGTAGCTCAGTAAATGGCTGTTGCCTCTCCAATTGCCAAGCAACACGAGGATTATCCCTCACTCTGCCTCCTTTCTCATTCCCAAGCCCCATCAGTTACCAACCCCTGCCAGTTCTCAAAATGTAACTTGTCTTGCCCTACCTCCACTCCAGTTCAGGTTGCTATTGTTTCTTAGCTGAATGACTACAATAATCTCCCACCTGGCCACTCATATCATGTACTCCTCTTTCTAGCAGATGCCACAAGGTAACCAGAGTGATCATGTTTAGTTCACACCTTCTCCTGCTTAAAACTCTTCAGTGACTTCTCATTTCTGAAGAAAATTCAAAACCGTTAAAATGGAGTATGAAGGCAAAATGGGTAGATAGACTTACCAGATATCTGGACATACCACAAAGCCACAGAAACAAAGATAATATGACATTGGTACAAGAATAGATAAATAGACAATAAGACAGCCTACAAGTCTGAGTCAGACTCAAATATATTTGGGAATTAATATGTACCAAAGTGATACCACATAATAGTGGGAAAAAATAATGATTGTTTGGTAGATAGTGTTGAGGAAACTGCCTTCCATTTGAATTCCTACATAACTACATACTGAAGTAGACTCCAGAGAGAATAAAGACTTAATATGAAAAGTAAAACTCAAATGTTGATAGAAGAAAATATATAGAATGAACTAGGAAAGGAAAGGATTTCTTTGTGAAATCCCAAGACGCAATCCATTAGTAGAAACAAACGTTTTCTTACATCAAAATTAAACATTTCTGTTCATCAAAGAACAGCATGGGCAATATTAAATTTTTCTATCTCCCTTAAGCATCAAACTCCAAGCACATAGTCTTTCTCTCTGTCCCTTAAGTATATACCAAGCTCTTTTTTGCAGAGGGCCAAATACACTTGTCTATGTTTTTGCTAAAATGTCTCTCCCCTAACAAGGTCTTTCCTGACCACCCGAGTTAGAGGAGGTCTCACTGCATGTGATCTCATTTCACCTTCTACTTTGTGTTCACTGCAAACGTTGAGACTGCAATTATATGATCGCTTACAGAACTCAGTTAAGTGTCTATGCCCCCTGGTAGTTTGTAGACTCCGGCAGACCAGGGGCTACCTGCTCAGCCTTTAGAACAGTGCTTTATGCTTAGAAGACAGATGAAAATGTTAATACAGTGGATTAATAAGGGGCAGTTGAAAGAGGGCACATTCACTACCACATGCCAGATGAGTGCTACATGCCCAGCACAGATTCCAGGCATGTTTTGACCTTTATGTCCACAAGAATTTGAGTAATAATGTGTGCTCCTGCTTCTTTCTGTCACCTATGCTTCTTTCTGTCACCTAGAGACTCAACATCTCAAGTCTAATTTGTATCTTCTACCATTCCTTGCACTGCATTAGGAAGTGAACAAATATTTGCTGGCTATATATCTATATGGCCTCCTCCCACCACACTGCTTTTTATATGTTTAGATTATAACATCACTCATGCTTAATGGCTTGCCTTTTGAAAACTGACAGTTACTGTCAACTTTTATGTAATTATTTCTTTTGTTGACAACTCTCACTCTCTGTTGACTCTTAATTTGATCTGAGCATTCAGTTATTCAGCAAATATTTATTGAAAGCCTAATGGGTGCCAGGAATATGTGGGGCACTAGAAAAGCTGGCAGTCCCCTTGCAGTGGTGACAGATGAACATGACCTCTCAAAGAAATCATTGAGAGAAAACAGCTAAACTTAGTGAAGTATTGAGAGAGACCAAAATGCTCCCAAATTTGGGCACAGTGCAGAGAGTAGCTGAATAGGAATGCTACAATGGGAAAAATGGACTGTTTCCCAGCTTATTTTGAGAAAGAGCTTCACAGTGTAGCTTCATTATTCATGACTGGAAAAAAATTTCAAAACAATAGAAATCTACCCAAGCATATTTATAAAAAGAGACTCCAAGAAAATAGAAATAACTGTACTATAGTATTGTTTTTCAGTAACTTGCTATGCTTTTAAAAGGATCAATTCAGAGACAACTTAAAGCATCCTATTGAAAATAATAATGTTAATAATAGAGATATTTGATGCCTGCTGAAGAAAAACTTACAAACTATCCTTTGAAAATGATTTTAATGACAAATCTCACTTTGTAGAAGCCAGTTTTTTCCAGGTGATATTCAAAGTTAGTGTTATTTTAGTAAACATAGAGCACTGCGACCAATGCATTGTGATGACTGTGGAGAAGTCACTATGTTCTGACTACCCAGTGTTGAGAGCCTTCCAGAAGAGTGCTTGTGCAGAGAGAGCCCTGGGTGAAGAATTTGCTGTGAGAGGACCCATGGACTATTCCTTTAGTATTTCCAAAGGCAAAATCTCATGGAAATATATTTTGTCTCAGTATAAGGGAGAATTTTCTAATGTGATCAAAAGTGAAATCATGTGTTCACAGTGTATCAGACTCCCTGCCAACTCAAAGATGGGGGCCTTTCCAAGGTCTCTTTCTGAAACTCAAGATCTTAGAATTTTGCAGCCTAATACAGCTTTCAATTATATAATAAAAAAACTTTGTATTTTATCATAGTTTTATATGTACCATAAAACTGTGAAGCAAGTACAAGGGTATTTCTATACATCCCAAACTCAGGCTTTCCTATTAACATCTAATATTAGTAGGTAAATTTTGTCACAATTAATGAACCAATAATGATACATTATTATTAACTAAAGTCCACCCTTTATTTTGATTACTTTGGTGTTTTTTTTTTTTAAAGTAATATCCTTTTTCTGTCCAAGGATTGTATCCCGGAAACCACCTTATGTATAGCTCTCATATCTCCCTACGCTCTTGGCTGTGATAGTGTCTCAGATTTTCTTTGGTTTTGATGACCTCGACAGTTTTGAAGGGTACTGATAAGGTATTTTGTAAAATGGCTGTCAATTGATATTTGCTATTTCCTCGTGTTTAGATGGGGATTATGGATGTTGAGGAGGAAGACCACAGAGGCAAAGTGCCATTGTCTTTTTATCATATCAAGGGTGCATGCTATCAACATGATATACCAGTCTTGATGTTGCTTTTGGTTAGCTGGCTGAGGTAGTGTTGGTCAGATATCTCAAATGTAAAATTACTCTTTTATTTCCCCTTTCTATACGGTGCTCTTTGAAATGAAGATACTAGGCACAGATCACCATTAAGGAGTGAGGATTTAATCTATGTAGATTTTTTGGAATTCCTCTGTCTGGGTAGATTTGACTATTCAACCTCATTTATCTGTTCATTTATATTTGTATAGACTCATGGATATTTATTTTATGCTCTGGGTTATAATACAATACTGCATTATTTGTTTTGTTCCTCAAATGCTTTCAGCTTTAGCTGTTGAAAGCTCTTTCAGTTGTCTTCTGTGTCACTTTGACATATCCCTATGATTGTAAGATTTTGGTTTTTTTGTTTTTTAAACACTTCCTTTCTGGCATTAAAAGATGCTGCAGCCTCCTGTTGAGGATTTCTTGTGCCAGCCATTTCTCTAAGGAGCTCTCCTCATGTAGCTTTTGTTTGTTTGTTTATAGTTTTAAAGTGGTTCTAGAGTCATTTCAGGTACTTTACACATATTTTTCTTTATTTTGGGGGGTCTTTTTTTCAACATCATTATGTAGCCTTTAACTTCATTTCACAGATGCAGAAACTAAACAGAAACTAAAAGAGAAATGATTTACCCAAGGCCATACAATTACCATAGAAGTGGAGTTGTTATAAAGCCTAAATTGTTTGCCTCCAGAGCTCACACTCTGAACCTTTACTTTACAAGGTCAGTCTCACTTGTTACCTAAGTTAGTGTTAGATAGAAACAGTGCTGCTGTGACCAGCCTGCCCTTTTGTTAGGAGGAAAGGTGAAAATAAGCCAAGTTTTCCTCTGGCAAGTCTCCCCTCAGGATTCCAGCCACGCTAAGAGTTCAAAGCCCTTCCTGAATGTGGGAGTTGTTGTGTGCTGTCTCGTGGTTTTCACTATTTATCTGAATTCCCAGATCAGATTGTTAGCTCTTCAGAGAGCAAGGAAAATATACTACACTGTAGGATTATTAAGGTAAGTAACTTCTGTCAGCCACATCACATCAAAACAGGCTGTGATGATATGGTTGCTATCAAATACAAATATGAAAATCTGCACCTTTCATACCAGGAGAGCATAAATCTTGATTGAAGTGATATCATATTCCCTCCCCTTTCCTCCACTTTTGAAAGCCACCTGGGGATGGGTGTTGGCTGCCATTCTGCCATGTGCAGGTGACTGGACTGGGCTGGCCAATCCAGTCTGCATCCCCACCAGTTTTAGAAGGAAAAAGACATTAGACAGCCCACAATTTTCTTACCTCTATGACTTTCTTTTTTCATTTCAACTTGATAAAATTGTGTCTATTCTTTTCAAGGCTTAGCCCAAGTGTTCATTCCTTCAGGAATTCTTCTTTGCTTCCTGCTCCACAGCCCCAAACTGAGAATAATCTCACCCTTCAGGGAAGTCCCCCAAACATCTCATAGCTCCGAAATCACTCTTGCTATTCTCTGGCTAGCATATTTGTGACCATCTCCTGGTCTCCATTAGAATATAAGACTTAGAAGGTAAAGACTGAACTTTGCCTGTCTTCTGCTTGCTCACAACTTGTAGGACAATGATTTTTATGTATTTGGGGCTCAAAGCATTGAGCTATTATTGAATTTTCAGGCAGTAATATACCAGATAGTGACAAAGGTTCCAAAAGCCAGGAATGGCTACCAGATTCCTTTTTCCATGTTCTGTGTCAGAGATTCATCCTTTAATTTATGGCTTTAGTTTCCTCTAAGAAAATGACAACTTCTAAACCAAGTGTTAGCACGCAGTGGCCTTTGAGCTACATTCAACCCTCTGCCTCTTCTTGTATCACCAGTGATCTAAGAATGGTTTTCATGTTTTTAAGTGGTGGGAGGGGGAGACAAAACACAAAAAGAATATCTCATGTCATATTCAGATTATATTAAATTTTAAATATAAAATTAAAATTTTATGAAATTTAGATGTCATTTTCCATGAATAATATTTAATGAAATACAGTCATACCCTCTTTGTTTACATATGGCCTAAGGCAAGTTTTACACCAAAACAGCAGAGTTGAGTAGTTACAACAGGGACATACATCCCATGAAGCCTGAAATATTCAGTCTCAAGACTTTCAATAAAAAGTGTGCCAAGCCCTATTCTGAGTCATGCCCAGAAATGTGTACCACTGTGTGAAAAAGTTGGGGAGCCCTTTAGATAAAGGGCAGAGTAGATACAGGCACAGACGGCCTAGAGGAAAAGGAATCTGGAGACAAGAAAAGGAAGAAAACGGAGGCAGAAGCATACTTGGGGACATCAGATCTCCTGGGTTTTGTATACATGCATTGCAAACATCTCTACAAAGGATTCTTATAGTTGGTGGGTATGCCCGAGGGGCAGATCTTGGGTATTTTACAGAACCTTCCTGCTCTTCTATAAGGACTCTGCATGGGTCTTTTGAAGAAAGGATGACATTAGGAGATTATCATTCATTTCTGATCATTCTGTATACCAAGACTAATATTTTCAGTAAGATCTAATGGGCTTTGTGTCTTAATTTTCTCTGATTCAACCATAATAATGTGTGTGTGTTCTGGGGGAATCTATATTGTGTGTGTGTGTGTGTGTGTGTGTGTGTGTGTGTGCATTTCTTTGGAAGAAATCTGTTTTAGATAGATGCTAGTTAATTATCATGTACATAGGGATCTTTAAACATTTGGAGTTTTTGAGTAAAGACACATTGATTGGAACTTGGCTAAAGCCATTTCAGCCCCTTGGAGAGTTGTAATGACAGTTCTTTTTGTTTAGAAATCTATCATTTTCATGTCTTTCTCTTATTTTCTTATTGCAGGGTAATGCCCTGTACTTCAAGTCTGCCAGAAATGTTACAGTGAACATTCTCAATGACCAGACTAAAGTGCTAACTCAGCTTATAACAGGTAAGAAAAGGGAGAACTTAACAGTGCCTAGCCCATGCGAGGCACTCAGAATACAGAATTAATGGTCAAAGGAAACACCATATGAACCTGAAAATAAAGTGTGCTAACACATTGTTGAGAAAGAGAATGTAGCATGTGTTCCATGATTCTACTAGAGGGTAGAATCCCATCCGTACACATATTAAACTTATGAAATCTAATGATACCTACTTAGTGGGGTAAGAAAAAAAATTTTTCTAAGCAGATTTTCATAGAACATGGCCCCTAAATATAAACCAGCTGCTTCATCAGGTGCTCAGCCAAAGAAAAGCTTCTTGCTCCAATGCTGGAGGAAAAACAGGCTGTGTTGGATTGGTTGAGAGAAGAATGCAGTATCTATAAAGCCAGGGACCATACTTTATGGGCTGTGAAAGGGATTTTTAACTATAGTTTGAACCCATGCCATATTTGCTGTACGTGCTGACTTTGAACCTAACTCAATTGCAGGATGTGGATGTATCTTTACTGAATATGTTTGTGTGTAATTTCTTTTAATACAGCAGATCTGTGCCTAACGGCTGTGGAAAGCACCCACTGTGTTTTAAACTACAAATTCCTGAAATCTAAACAAGGACTGGTTATTCACAATAATGATTATAATGATAAACATGGACCTCGTGATTTGGTAACGTGTTGAGCAGCACAATCAATGCCCACTCTGTAAGCAGTGAACAGGGAGGCATTATGCACCCCCACAGTGGAAGGGAAAAGGAATGTATGTATGAATGGCATTGTTATACTTACAGACAGAAAATGCCATTTGTTTGGCTTCAGGGCTAAAAGTAAAGTATACGGATGGACATTTTGAGAAGCCAGTTACCCAAATGCCTCGAAACATTACTGTTATTGTGAATAAAATATCTGGAACCCACTAATAAGCCATGGGGAAACAGGTACCTTTGTGACCATAGTCTTCACTCCTGGGGAGGGAGCCTCACTCCCACTCTTCCCCTGGAGTGCTGCATGTAGATGTCTAGAGATTCATAGCCAGTGGGTGACTTGGACCATCTGCCAATCAAGAAACTCAGGGATTGAAGGAACTGCTGCCCGGCAGAGCCCATAATCCATAAACATGTTGTTTCAGCGTGTGACTGGATCTTCCACCTTGCTTATATAACATCTGGCCCACAGTCACAATGCTAAATAATTAAATAAACAGCTTCAGTAAGCAATGATTTAAGCAGCGTGTGTGAAAATTGCCTCCAGGAGGGTAATAAATCCAACCTCCAGCTCCCAGATTTTCACATTCAAAAGGAACTTATTTAGCCTGTTGATCATTTCCCATTTATTTGTAGTGGGAGATTTGGTTTATTTGAGATTTTGTTTTGATAAATCTGGAACTGCCCAAATGACTATTATTCAGCAAAAGAGTGAGTCAGTCTCTTTTTTTCCCCCCACTCTTCCTCTCCCTTCTCTCCCTACCCTTCTGACACCCCTTTTCCCCTCCCCTTCAGTGCTTCTCTCCCTATTCCTTCCCCTCTCTCCTACCACCCCTTTATCCCTTTCCTTCCCCTTCTCTCTTCTCGTCTCTCTTCTTCTTCCTCTCTTCCCTTGTTTCTTCCTCCTTCTCCCTCCTCCTGTGTCACTATTCTTGACTCTATCCCTCCAGTGGTATTTGGTATTTGTTTTCTGTCTCCCTATGATGAATTCTAGAGAAGACATTAGATATGTTTAAAACATCATTCTAAACACACACACACACATACACACATGCAACAATACACCCTTAAAAGTTTTCCTTCAATACTCTCCTTTTACATTACATTAATGCACACAGTGGAAAAGCACCCAGCCATCCCAGCAGACAATACCTTCTAATGCCTGTTGTGCTGGGTGCTGTACTTGTTGGAAAACAAATCACTCCTGTCTTCTAAGCAATGAGGTCTACAAAGGCTATCCTGAGGAATAAAGAATTCTGTTTACCTAAAGAATGTCTCAAAAACCCATTAGAAATTCTAATGTTAGATGTCCAGGAAGTCTTTTCACAGGAAACAATACTTCACATGATAGTTAAGTTCTCAAATTAGATCACGAATGCCTATTTGACCATAAGGCAGGCTGCTGATTTAGTATCTCAGTAGTGGGTCTGAATGGGGAACCCTCCCACCTACATGGAGGAAAGCAGTGGAGATGCTTTGGACAGCATCATGAGGGAGTGGGGAAGGGTTCTAGTGTTAAGAGAGTTGGGAAGAGAAATTAGGCTTGAAGGCCACCAGGCCTTTGCACCTCCCAGACTCATGGAGACTGTTGATGCATTTTGATGGGGCTCCAGTTCTCCTCCCTGTTTAGGAGATTAATTAAGGAGGCACTCCACACATAGACTACACAGAGGGGGATTAATTCAAGATTAGTTTCACATTAGGAATAGTGGTTTTTTTCTTCCCAGAGAGGAACAATGAGTTCAACATGTGACCTCCTGAGCTGTCTCCAGCTCCATTTGCATTTTTCTCTAGAGTCATTTTTAAGGATTCCAGCCATGTCCAGGGAATTTTGCAGCCTCAGGTGAAATCAACAAAGGACAAGCCATCTGCACCACTGAGCCAGCAGTTGCTCTGTGGGGTTTTGGCTAAAACTACCAATTACTGAGCTTCAGATACCCAAAGGGTTGTGGCTCTTGGTGAATTCCACTTTATGTTCTGTGAAGCCCTGAAAAGCAAGATAGCTTAATTGTACTTTGTGTTCTCTGATTGCTGAAGCATACTTTCTATACTGCTATAGTCCTTTAGTATATGCTTCTGTATGTCTCACAGCTGTTCATGAATTCAAAGTAACACAGGAAGGTGTCCTTAACTCCTCAGGGACCAGGATGATGATATTGCCCAGGTCCACAGAGAAGTCCAAGCATGTGTGTCCCCAAGTTATACAACTGCTTTTTTATATGAATGGAACAAAAATGGGCAAACTGCTCGCCCTGTGCCCATCCTGAGGTCATTCATTCATTCGTTAGTACTTCATTACCTTCCCATTCTCAATCTCCCTCCTCACAAAAATAAAGTAATAACCCTAAAGCACTGACAATATAATATAGATTTTATTCAAGGTTTTGATGCCATCAAGAAGATAGCTACATCTTAGCCTTTGCAGAAAAACTGAAGCCAAATCCCTCATTGGACATCTCAGCTCTTTCAAGATTTCCTTCTGGCCCTTGTCTCCAGTTTTCTATTTCTCCTTCTCCTCACAGATCTTATTTCCTGGCTCTTCCAGATGTGCTGGCCCCAGCTCCCTTCTCCTTCCTAGACAAATAAATGCCCCTTTCCTTCTGTGGAATAATTCTCAGAGCTCCATTCCAGACTGAGACCTGCCATTGTCTCTAACCTTGCGAGAGCCCTCCGCCTTGCCCCCATTTGTTCTCCTCATCTGCAGCATCAAAGTGGTCAGATAAGATGACTTCCGGGTTCCATCATGCTTGGAAGTGCTGTCCTATCTCTGCTGTTTCAATCTCCTACTCATTAGGGAGCCTTTCCAATGTCCTTCTTTGTGTTGGAGGGCTGGTGTGGACACACTGGCAAGGGATGAGGTCTGCTTAATAGATGTGATTATGTGAGTAAGGAGAGTGCACTAATAAGTACTCATCATGCATTCTTTTCCACGTGTTGTCCCATTGCAGTAGAATGGCGACATCCACAAGAGTGGTGATGTCCACAGGAGTGGTTTCCTACACTCACAGCACTTTACCACCCATAGATTTCTTTTTATAAACACAATGTCATTTGATTCTTTCAAACTTTCTATAACATAGATAGATACAGTAGGCAGTGATAGTCCAATGTTATAGATGCAGAAACTGAGGTTCAGAAAGATCAAATGATTTGCCCCAAATCATGTTATCACAGAATAAGAATGAGTTGGGAAATAATTCATGTCTTCTGATTCCTAGTCCGACAGTCTTGACAAAGAGAAAAGCCACCCCAGATGCCCAGTGGCTGGTTGGCACTATCAGCCCAGCCTTAGCATTCTCCTGCTTCAATGTAATTTTTCAGAACACGCGCACCAGACAAGGCTGTTCAGTGGCCATGATGGATCAAGACAAAACAACACAAACACACAAACACAACTCTGGTCATGTGTGTACATAGCAAAACTATCAACATTGTCCAGACCACAAAAAAGACCAAACATCCCCCTATCCTGGCTAATAAGAGTGACTCTGTTTCTTTATTCACCACATTTTTTGCATTTCCCTGGTCTGTCTTTGTTCTAGATAAGATTTACTCCCATTTTCTGATAGTATTTAATCCAGGGTAGAGCCTTATTTCCTTAAACGTTCCCCAAAATAAGCTAATATAAGGTCACATTCTCTGATAAGTCCTTTCTCATGACTTCTTTCTGAGATGCCCTATGGTTTTCCTTATGGTGTGTGTTGTCCCTCACTGCAATGAGTAATAAACCCAATTTGTTCAACAACAGGTGTGTTCCTAGTGGTCTTTGGCTGGAAGGCACTGGGGACTCTCTCATTGCTATTTATTATTAAGTGACACTCTTTTGAAAAATACCAGAAAGAAAACAATTCCATGTCAGAATCTTCTGAACAATTTTGGAAAAAGTATAAGATTTCTAGACTCTACCCTCAAATTTTTTTCTGTAGGAACTTCTAGTTGAAAAGATGAATTTCTTTTGATCTGAGCTAGGTTCAGTGAGAATGATTATACTCCTGGATTATTCCTGTGTGTTTCTGTAGACCAGCTTTTGAGAACCCCATGAAATTTAGGTATTCAGGTAGATCCAGTAGATCCAGCTCAGATAGATTGGAATGCTTTCTTCTTTTAGAAATTCTAGCTCATCAACCTGGTTTACTTTTTCCATGGTACCTAAATCTTTCTGCAGTTTTCTGGTTTAATAATAAAATTTTAAATGTATATTGGTGTGTCTCCATCAGAATATAGATGCTATGGAATCGGGCTTGATTTCCTTGTGCAGTATTACAGCTCCACATTCAAGAACAGCATCTGTTGTCATCTGATAAACTATCTAAATTTAGTTTTCACTGAACAAAATCCTAATATAAAAGATTGAACAACTTCTAAGGCAATTAATTACAGTAACCATTTCTGCTATGAAATGATCTGTATACTAAGGAAATAAATTTCTCTTGGTGTCAAATGCAGCCAGTGGGTTAAGGGTACAAAGTTAAACACATTTCAGCTGAATTTTAAAAAGCTCTTTCTGATAATTAGGGAGGGCCAAAGATATGTGATTGTCTCGAGAAGTGTTGAGCCTCTGGTGCCTTGAGAAATGCAAGCAAAAATCCACAACTATTTGACAGCAATTTGGTGGTTAGCTGAGGGAAATCACAGTCAAGGATTAGTTTGGAGGAAGGGCTTGCTGGTCTTCAAAATTATAGCCCAAGAATATATTACTAAAAGTAATTGACAAGACCTGGCTAAAGTCATGAGACTGATTTTCATGGTCAGCTTTTGAAAACCAGTCCACTGAACATTGAAGTCTCATACAATCTTGTTAGATATGTGTGTTCTATGAAAAGCTTTTTGTAGTCAAAGCGATGAGACTAATGGTGTTTTCTCTCTCTCTCTCTCCTCTCTCCTCTCTATCTCTCTATCTCTCTATATCTCTCAGGTCCAAAAGCCGTAGAAGCTTATGGTAAAAAATTTGAGGTAAAAACTGTTTCTGGAAAATTGCTCTTCTCTGCAGACAATAATGAAGTGGTAGTAGGAGCTGAAAGATTACGAGTTTTAGGTAAGGAAACTTGAATCATTTAACTTGTTTGATGCTACTGTGTACATTTTAGAGGAGAAGCAAAATGGTGTTATGAACAGGATATGTCCTCCCAAAATTCATATATCGAAATCCTAACTCCCAAGATAATGGTATTAGGAGGTGGAGCCTTGAGGGGTAATTAAGTCATGAGGGTTGAGCCCTCATGAATGGGATTAGTGTCCTTCCAAGGGGATGAGAAGACCAGAGATCCCTCTCTGACATGAGAGGGTACAAGAAGTCAGCAGTCTGCAACCTGGAATAGGAGCCTCACCAGAACCTGACCAGGCTCGTATCTGATCTCAGACTTTAAGCCTCCAGAACTGTGAGAAATCAATTTCTGTTGTTTATAAGCCACCCAGGCTATGGTACTTTGTTACAGCAGCCTGAACTGACTAAGACAAATGGTGTCTAGAAGAGTGATTTAGGCCAGTTTCCTGGATTCTTTTAAAGCAAGGCAGTTGAACCTCCCTGAGTCTGGTCCCCTAGTGGAAATTTCTCAAGCTGTCAAGTCTTTTTGGCACATCTTTCAACACTGAGCTTTGTGTGAAAATGAGTGCTCATCCAAAGAAGTCTCATTTAGAACATCCTGTACTCACAGACTGGCAGGCGTGCTTGACGCATTCCAGACTTGCATACATGATGCAGTGATTCCTAAACCTGGTTGCAACTGAAGAATCATCTAGGAAACTTTGGAAGGGTTTAGGTTCATAGTTCCAACTCTGATTTACTGAATTAGAAGCTATGGTGAAAACACTGAGAATTCGTTATTAAAAATATTTGCAGAAATTTCTATGATCCCACTGTTGGAATTATTGAATTTGAGCACATAGCAAATGAATCTTTTATGGCTGTATGCTGAAATGATCTAGCATGGTGATTTAAGGATCCTAGAACTCCAGCTGACCGGGTTTTTAATTCCTGCTGTCACCCACTAGTTTTGTGACTTTGGGCAAGTTGCTGGCATCACTGAGCCAGTTTCCTTTTCTGCTCAATAAGGCTAAGAACATCTCCCATCTTGAGTTGTCCCTAAGGTTAAATGAGACTCTGTTACATCCACTTATCAGAGCCCCTAGCACAAAATAGTGCTCAGTCAACAGTAGGTGCTGCTGCTGCTGTTACTACTTATACTACTATTACTATTAATGCTAATTCTACTTTTCCTTCTTTAGCTCCCTGAGATTCACTGTAGCATAGTGATTAAAATCTCAGGCTCTAGAATTAGCCTGTTTTTAACCCAATTTCTATCCTTTGCTAGCTGTGTAACCTTAAGCAAAGTATCTAATCTCTCTGTGCCTGCTTGCTTACCTGTTTATAAAATTGGTATAATAGAAGTATCTATCTTCTGAGACTGCTAAAAAGATTGAATGAAATCATCTATGTAAAGTACTGAGTTGGCTAAAATACTAAGTGTCCAATAAGTGCTAGGTGTTATCATCTTAAATTATTAGTATTATTATAAGGTACGTTTACCTGAAATTATATTTATCTCTGCATTATTATTTGCACTTTGCATCTTCTTTATCTTCCATTACTCCTGTATTTTTTCTTGGTCTTTACCTCCTCCCACAGTCAGCTTGTCTGGTCTATTTCTCTCTTCCTCTCTCAGTACACATACATGTCTAATTTCCTTTCTGGATGACTCTTAGAGCTTCATCTCCAGTCTGGTATCTTCCTTGAATTCTGGATCTTCTTTATCTGGATATTCTGCCAGCCTCTCAAATTCAGTGGATCTTGAATGCCTATCATGGTCAAATGCACGCATATGTACATGTGTGCATATATATTCCATCACCTCACCCCCGACTCTCCCACTTGTATTTGCCCCTGACTTCCTTAACACTCTTACTGTCCCCATTATACTGTCCTGTCCCAGTCTCATCCTGGCCATCATGAGCTCAGCATAGTCAAAAGATGGAAGTGACCATCCTTATGGGGCTTAATGGAGGCAAAAATGCAGGGTGCAGAGATGATAAAGCCAGGTGCAGTCTAATCCCTGGTCAGTGGTTTATGTGTGGCATGATCTGAAACAACTCCCTTTTTCTTTCAGGGCCTTGCTTTTTTATATCTGTAAAATTAGAGTTACCTAGAGAAGATATTTTTATACAATGTTTTCCAGTGACCAAAGCTTTTAAAAATAAAATTTCATACATAGTCCCAATAAATAAAATAGATGAAAGACCAAGATTTCTCTGGGTTGTAGGCGAGTATATTAGTCTGTTCTCACCCTGCTAATAAAGACATACCCTAGACTGGGTAATTTATAAAGAAAAAGAGGTTTAATGGACTGACAGTTCCAAATGGCTGGAGAGGCCTCACAATCATGACAGAAAGCAAAGGAAGAACAAAGACACATTTTACATGGAGGCAGGCAAGAGAGCACATGCAGGAAAACTGCCCTTTATGCAACCATCAGATCTCATGAGACTTATTCACGATCATAAGAACAGCCTAGGAAAAAACCCACCCCTATGATTCAATTATCTCCAACTGGGTTCATGGGACTATGGTTGCTACAATTCAAGATCAGATTTGAGCGGAGACACAGCCAAACCATGTCGGTGAGGATTTGAAAGGGGAGACTTGAGACATTGGAGTCTTAGTATAGTTTGATTCTTTTCCCCCTCTGTGTCCTCTGGGGACTGCTTATAACTTATTTTTTAAAACCCCTTATGTGGATACTCTTTTTATAAAAGGTCTATTGATTACTTGCTATGATTTAGGTACTATGCTTGATATGCAGTATTATATTTACACCTCAGAAACACCTTGTGGGGTAGACACCATTTTTATCACCCCTGTTTTACAGTTGACACAATTGAGCTGAGCCATAGGGAAAGGTGAACCAAAGCATGGCTGACAGCTAGAATTCACAACCTGGCATGTTGGACATAGAGGGCTTTACCTTAAAGCCCTATACTTGCTGTGGCCTCTATCTGGTCTCATTTTCAGAAGGGGAACATTGCCCAAGATCAAGTGCCAGTAAGTGGAAGGGCCCATGTTCAAATCCCTGCCTATAGACTCCAGCCTCGGTGCACTTCACTACATGTAAATATGTTCCTAAGACTTTTCCTATTTTCACAATTTATGCTTTCCTCTTTTTGTAGAAATGGCATTTTCTATTTTAATTCTTGGCTGGTGTGGAGGGAAACCCAGAGACTTCGAGCTATCCTCATGTTTAAGAGCACTTTGGGCCAGGCGCAGTGGCTCACATCTGTAATCCCAGCACTTTGGGAGCCCAGTGCAGGTGGATCATGAGGTCAGGATTTCAAGACCAGCCTGACCAACATGGTGAAACCCCGTCTCTACTAAAAATATAAAAATTATCCAGGTGTGGTGGCACACAGCTGTAATCCCAGCTACTGGGGAGGCTGAGGCAGGAGAATTGCTTGAACCCAGGTGGTGGAGGTTGCAGAGAGCCAAGATCGTGCCACTGTACTCCAGCCTGGGCAATATAGTGAGACTCTGTCTCAAAAAACAAAAACAAAAACAAAAAACTTTGCTGTACCAGCTGTAAAACAAAAATGCCTAGGGGAAAAAGTGGTGTTATCTCACACCCAGATCATTCTATGCAAGTGAATTTGGCACTTCCTGTTAATTCCTTGGTGCATCATGAGTCACTTCACCACTTTAAAATCTGACTTTGCAATGGCATAGGATAATTTTAAACGTCCAGACACTTTGGCTTAATCTTAACATCCAAAACTCTGTGATGGTATCACTTCAGAACTTAACCTCTACCCTACCCCACCCCCACATTCACTTAGACTGAAGACTGGGAAATGATTATAGGTTTTGGTCACTTCAAAGCAGGTGGGTATTTTCGTTGTTGTTTGCAGCTATGTTTGTGATATTTCATTTAGAGCATAATGTAGGATAAAATCTGTCTCTCTTCATCATTAGGAACATTTGCTTTTTTATGTGAAATGTAGAAAGGAAGCATCAAAATAAATATCACTGCTGCTGTCAATGCTAAAAAGACTTGGAAATGACCACCCCACAAATCTTGCATCAACCTACTCAGTGAAATGAGCCCAGTGGGTTGCAGAAATGAGCTTCTTATCAGCTGGGATTCAGCCATATGGTGTGGAATGACAAGTCTAGGCAGTTTCATTTTCAGCATAATGAGAAGTTTGTCTTTTTGAGTCGTCAGACTGTATAAACTCTTGGGAGGTTTGAATCTGGTTGCACATTTCATGGTAGCATCTAACATAGCTGGGTTTTATCCTTATCAGGACCACTTAGGACCTGAGTGACCGTATTCAAGTATGTTTTCTCTCTAAGCTTTAGTTTCCATTTGTATAGAAAAAGAAAAAAAAATGGAAGGAAGAATGAATGACTATAATAAGAAATATAAGTAAATGCTATGTAAAAAGTCAATTATTTAAGTTGATAGCAAGTTGAGTAGAAATAAGCAGTAGAGACCTAAAAACATAATGTCTCTTACATGTAGTAGCTTTACTTGTGGATTCAGAACAATTTTAAAAATTTTTCTCTGGATAACCACACCCACCTATTCAGTTTTTAGGACAATGACAACCTTGAGCACATTCAAGGGATCTTGAATAGTATGGTAAAAAGACTAGAAGCTCAATTATTTGGAAACTTTTATTCTGGAAAAGATATAGGAGGAATAAATGTAGGTAGGCTGTAGTCACTGAGCTCTCATACATGCATGACTTTCCTGGGGAAAGCAGAGCAACCAAGAGCCATGCAGTTGAGTAATTAAAAACACAGGTTTTGTAGCTAACTATATATCCTGGTTTCTGTTGTAAGCTAGTGCTTTGGGTATGTTGCTTCATCGTTCTAGGGATCCTCTTATAACTCTGTGACATAGGGTAATAATGTTGGGTGCTCTGTGCTGTTGGGAGTACTGAACTACACAGTGTGTGTAGAGTTAATAGTACAGTGTGTGGAACACAGTAAGCATTCAGTACATGCTAACTGGTGTTGGTGATGGATTTTTTTTTCAATTGACACATTACAGGCAAACATACAATTTGATTTTTTGATACATCTCCATCATATAATGATGAAACTAAGGTAGTTAGCATATTCAACACCTTGTGCGTTTATCATTTCTTTTTGATGACAACATTCAAAAACCAGTCTTGTAGCTATTTTATAACATACAGTAACTTACTGTTAACTGTAGTCACCCTCCTGCACAATAGAACACCAGAACTTATTTCTCCTATCTAAATGCAACTTTTATCCATTAACCAAACTCCCCAACCTTCTCTCCTCCATCCCCTCCCAATTTATGGTAACCACCTTTCTATTCTCAACTTCTATTTAATATGAAATCAACTTTTTTAAAATTCCACATATGAATGAGATCCTGTGGTATTTTTCTTTGTATGTCTGGTTATTTTACTTAGCAAAATGTCCTCTGGTTTGCCCATTTTGTCCCAAATGACAGAATATTATTCTTTTTATGGCTGAACAGTATTCCATTGTGTACACATAACACATTTTCTTTATGTATTCTTTTTTATGTATTTCTTGTTGGCCATGTAGGTTGATTCCAAGTCTTGGCTATTGTGACTAGTACTGCAGTAAACGTGGAACTTAAGACATCTCTTTGATGTATTGATTTCATTTACTTTGGGTATATATCCTGTAGTGGGATTGCTGGATCATATGGTAGTTCTATTTTAATTATTTGTAGAGCCTCCTTACTGTTTTCTGTAATAGTTATACTTATTTATATTCCCACTAACCATGTTAAGGATTCCCTTTTTTTACATCCTCATCAATATTTGTTATCTTTTGTCTATTTGATAATACTCCTAACTGGAGAGAGATGGTATCTCATTTGCATTTCATTTATATTTAAATGGTTAATGATGTTGAGCATATTTTCATATACCTGTTGAACATTGGTATGTTTTTGAGAAATATCTATTAAGATCTTTTGCCTATTTAAAATTGGATTATTTTGCTTTTTTGCTGTTCCTTTTGTATTCTAGATATTAACTCCTGTCAGATGTATAGTTTGTCAACATTTTCTTCCATGTAGTTGGTTGTCTCTTCTTTCTCTTGTTTCCTTGGCTGTGAAAAAGCTTTTTAGTTTTATGTAATCCCATATTTTTAACTTTGTTGCCTGTACTTTTGAGATCTCACCTAAAAAATCCTTCCTTAGCCCAATATCATGAAGTATTTTCTCTACGCTTTCTTCTAGTATTGTAGTTTTGGGTTTTACATTTACATCTTTAAATCCATTTTGATGTGATTTTTATATATAGTGAGAGGTAGAGGTCTAATCTCATTCTTCTACATGTGGATATCCAATTTTCTGGCACCATTTATTGAAGAGACTATTTTTCCCCAATATGTGTTTTTATCAACTTTATGAAAAGGCAATTGGCTGTAGGTGAGTGAATTTATTTCTGGGATCTCTATTCTCTTCCATCGGTGTATGTGTCTACTTTTATGCCAAGTACCATGTTGTTTTGGTTATTATAGCTTTGTAGTATGTTTAGAAGTGCAATGCCTGCAGTTTAATTCTTCTTGCTCACAATTGTTTTGGCTATTTGGAGTCTTCTGTGGTTCGAGATGAATTTTAGAATTTTTTTCCTATTTCTGTGAATAATGTCATTGGGTTTTTTTGTTTGGTTGTTTTTGTTTTTGAGATGGAGTCTGGCTCTGTCGCCCATGCTGGAGTGCAGTGGCGCGATCTTGGCTCACTGCAAGCTCCACCTCCCGGGTTCCGGACATTCTCCTGCCTCAGCCTCCCGAGTAGCTGGGCCTACAGGCGCCTGCCACCACGCCCGGCTAATTTTTCTATTTTTAGTAGAGACGGGTTTCACCGTGTTAGCCAGGATGATCTCGATCTCCTGACCTTGTGATCTGCCTGCCTTGGCCTCCCAAAGTGCTGGGATTGCAGGTGTGAGCCACTGAGCCTGGCCGTGTCATTGGTATTTTTGATAGGGATTGCATTAAATCGGTAGAATGTTTTGGGTAGTATGGACATTTTAACAATTTAAGAATTAATCTAATCTGTGAACATGGAGTCTCTCTTCACTTATTTGTGTCCTCTTCAATTTATTTCATCAATGTTGTATAGTTTTCAGTATAGAGATCTTTTCACCTCCTTGCTTAAGTTTATTCATAGGTATCTTATTTTTCGTAGCTATTGTAAATGGGATTGCTTTCTTGATATTTTTTCAAATAGTTCACTGTTAGCATATAGAAATGCTACTGATTTGTATACGTCCATTTGATGTCCCACAACTGATTAGAATTGACTGTTAGATTTCTTAATTCTAATAATTTTTTTTTTGGTGGAATCTTTAGGGTTTTCCATATGTTATATATAAAATCTTATCATCTGCAAACAGGGACAATTTGATTTCCTCCTTTCCATTTTGTTTGTTTCTTTCTTTCTCTTAATTTCTCTGGCTACAACTTCCTGTACTTCGTTGAATACAAGTGGTGAGAGTGGGCATTCTTGTCCTATTCCTGATATTAGAGGGAACTTCCCATTCAGTATGATGTTAACTGGTGATTTCTTGTATATGGCCTTTATTGTGTTGAGGTACCTACCTTTTATACCTAATTTGATGAATTTCTTGCAATTGGATTTTGAGTTCTGTCAAATGCTTCTTCTGAATGTATTAAAATGATCATATGGTTTTTGTCTTTCTTTCCATTAACGTAGTATATCACACTTATGGATTTGCTGATGGTAAACCATCCTTGCATTCCTGGTATGAATCCTACTTGGTCATAGTGAATAATCTTTTTAATTTGCTGTTAAATTCAGTCAGTTAATATTTTGTTGAGAAATTTTGTATCTATGTTCGTCAGAGGTATTAGGCTATAGTTTCTTTTTTTGTTGTATTCTTGTCTGGTTTTGATATCAAGGTGATGCTGGCCTTGTAACATCAGTTTGGAAGTGTTTCCTCTTCTCTGATGTTATGGAATAGTTTGAAAAGAATTAGTAATACTTCTTCTTTAAGTGTTTGGCAAGAAGTCAGCATGAAGCCATTATGTCCTGGGCTTTTCTTTGATGGAAGACTTTTATTACTGATTAAATTTCTTTGCTCATTATTGGTCTGTTCCCATTGTCTATTTCCTCATAATCCAATCTTGTTAGGTTCTATGGGGTCCAAGAATTTATCCATTTCATCTAGATCGTCAAGTTTGTTGGTAGATAGATATTCATATAGATACATAATAATCCATTTTATTTCTGTGGTATGAGTTGTAACGTTTACTTTTTTATTTTAGATTTTATTTGAGTCTTCTCTTTTTGTATTAATCTAGCTAAATATTTGTCAATTTTGTTTATATTTTCAAAAAAACAACTTTGTTTCATTGATCTTTTTAACTATAATCTCTTTTTTAATTCTACTCGATCTTTATTATTTACTTTCTTCTACCAACTTTGGGTTTTGTTCTTACATTTCTAGTTCCTTGAAGTGTATCTTTAGATTGCTTAATATAAATCATTTTACTTTTTCGATATAGGCATTCATTGCTATGAAATTCCTTCTTATGACTGCTTTTGCAATGTCTCAGGCTTTGGCATGATGTGTTTTTATTCTTATTTCTCTCAAAAATATTTAAATTTCCTTTTTAATTTCATTGTTAACTTATTGAGGAGACTGTTGTTTACATGTATTTGTAAAGTTCTGAAGTTTTTCTTCTAGTTGATTTCTAGTTTTATACCATTGTCAGAAAAAAAATGCTTGATATAATCTTTATCTTCTTTGTTAAGACTTGTTTTGTGGTATAACATGTGATCTATTTTGGAGAATGTTAAACGTGTAATTGAAAAGAATATATATTCTACAGCTCTTAAATGGAATGTTCTGTAAATGTCTATTAGGTCCATTTGGTCTATGGTACAGTTTAAGTCTAATATTTCTTTGTTAATTTTCTGTATAAGTGATCTTTCCATTGTTGAAAGTGAGGTGCTGAAGTCTTCTACTATTACTGTTTTGGAGTCAATCTCTCCCTTTAGATCTAGTAATATTTGCTTTATATATTTAAGTGCTTTGGAATTGGGTTTCTTTATTTACAATTGTTATATCTTCTTGTTGAATTGATTCTTTTATCACTATACAATGACCTTCTCCTTTCTTTTTACAGTTTTTGACTTAAAGTCTACTTTATTTTATATAAGTATGGCTACTCCTGCTTGCTTTTCATTTCCATTTGAATGGACTGTCTTTTTTCATTTCTCCACTTTCATCTATGTGTTTAATAATGAGGTGAGTCTCTTGTAGGCAGAATATAATGGGGTCTTGTTCTTTAATCCATTCAGTCACTGTATATATTTTAATTAAAGAATTTTATCCATTTACATTCAAAGTTATTTATGATAGGTGAGAACTTACTCCTCCTCTTTTTTACCTCTGTGGTGTGGTGGTTTTCTGTGGTGCTAAGATTTGTTTTCTTTCTCTTTCTTGTTTATGTATCTGCTGTAATTTATTTGTGATTCCTGTGGGGCTAACGTGAAGTCTTATAGTTACAATAGGTTATTTTAAGCTAATAACAATTTAATTCCAGTCACATGAGAAATACTCTAGACTTTTTTCCTCCCTGCCAACAATTTATATTTTTGATATTTTCTTGCCTGAAAACATATATTTAAATTAGTATATATAGTATATCCATTATACATATACATGAAATATATGCACATTATATATGTATATATACATATATACACATTTTATATGTATATATACATATATACACATTTTATATGTATAATATATATAAATTATACACTATACATATATACACAATATTCACACATATATACATATATAATGTGTATAATATATACTTTATATATATATTATGTGTATGTTTCTTAACCACTAATTTTAGTTGTTATTGTTTTTGACTGTGTTGACTTTTAGCCTTCATATTAAGGGATTGAAAGATTTACATAGTACCATTGTAGCAATGGGGTATTTTGAGTTTGATTATGAATTTACTTCTTTTTTTTTCTCTTGTGTGTGTGTGTGTTTTATTATTATACTTTAAGTTTTAGGGTACATGTGCACAACGTGCAGGTTTGTTACCTATGTATACATGTGCCATGTTGGTGTGCTGCACCCATTAACTCGTCATTTAACATGAGGTATATCTCATAATGCTATCCCTCCCCTCTCCCCCCACCCAACAACAGGCCTCGGTGTGTGATGTTCCCCTTCCTGTGTCCATGTGTTCTCATTCTTCAATTCCCACCTATGAGTGAGAACATGCAGTGTTTGGTTTTTTGTCCTTGCAATAGTTTGCTGAGAATGATGGTTTCCAGCTTCATCCATGTCCCTACAAAGGACATGAACTCATCATTTTTTATGGCTGCATAGTATTCTATGGTATATGTGCCACATTTTCTTAATCCAGTCTATTATTGTTGGACATTTGGCTTGGTTCCAAGGCTTTGCTAGTGTGAATAGTGCTGCAATAAAAATACGTCTGCATGTGTCTTTATAGCAGCATGTTTTATAATCCTTTGGGTATATACCCAGTAATGGGATGGCTGGGTCAAATGATATTTCTAATTCTAGATCCCTGAGGAATCGCCACACTGACTTCCACAATGGTTGAACTAGTTTACAGTCCCACCAACAGTGTAAAAGTGTTCCTATTTCTCCACATCCTCTCCAGCACTTGTTGTTTCCTGACTTTTTAATGACCACCATTCTAACTTGTGTGAGAGGGTATCTCATTGTGGTTTTGATTTGCATTTCTCTGATGGCCAGTGATGATGAACATTTTTTCATGTGTCTTTTGACTGCATAAATGTCTTCTTTTGAGAAGTGTCTGTTCATATCCTTCACCCACTTTTTGATGGGGTTGTTTTTTTCTCGTAAATTTGTTGGAGTTCATTGCAGATTCTGGATATTAGCCCTTTGTCAGATGAGTAGATTGCAAATATTTTCACCCATTCTGTGGGTTGCCCGTTCACTCTGATGGTAGTTTCCTTTGCTGTGCAGAAGCTCTTTAGCTTAATTAGATCCCATTTGTCAATTTTGGCTTTTGTTGCCATTGCTTTTGGTGTTTTAGACATGAAGTCCTTGCCCATGCCTATGTCCTGAATGGTATTGCCTAGGTTTTCTTCTAGGGTTCTTATGGTTTTAGGTCTAACATTTAAGTCTTTAATCCATCTTGAATTAATTTTTGTATAAGGTCTAAGGAAGGGATCCAGTTTCAGCTTTCTACACATGGCTAGCCAGTTTTCCCAGCACCATTTATTAAATAGGGAATCCTTTCCCCATTTCTTCTTTTTGTCAGGTATGTCAAAGATCAGATAGTTGTAGATATGTGGCATTATTTCTGAGGGCTCTGTTCTGTTCCATTGGTCTATATCTCTGTTTTGGTACCAGTACCATGCTGTTTTGGTTACTGTAGCCTTGTAGTATAGTTTGATGTCAGGTAGCATGATGCCTCCAGCTTTGTTCTTTTAGCTTAGGATTGACTTGGCAATGTAGGTTCTTTTTTGGTTCCATATGAACTTTAAAGTAGTTTTTTTCCAATTCTGTGAAGAAAGTCATTGGTAGCATGATGGGAATGGCACTGAATCTATAAATTCCCTTGGACAGTATGGCCATTTCCATGATACTGATTCTTCCTACCCATGAACATGAAATGTTCTTCCATTTCTTTGTATCCTCTTTTATTTCATTGAGCAGTGGTTTGTAGTTCTCCTTGAAGAGGTCCTTCACATCCCTTGTAAGTTGGATTCCTAGGTATTTTATTCTCTTTGAAGCAATTGTGATTGGAAGTTCACTCATGATTTGGCTCTCTGTTTGTCTGTTATTGGTGTATAAGAATGCTTGTGATTTTTGCACATTGACTTTGTATCCTGAGACTGCTGAATTTGCCTATCAGCTTAAGGAGATTTTGGGCTGAGACGATGGGGTTTTCTGGATATACAATCATGTCGTCTGCAAACAGGGACAATTTGACTTCCTCTTTTCCTAATTGAATACTCTTTGCTTCCTTCTCCTGCCTAATTGCCCTGGCCAGAACTTCCAACACTATGTTGAATAGGAGTGGTGAGAGAGGGCATCCCTGTCTTGTGCCAGTTTTCAAAGGGAATGCTTCCAGTTTTTGCCCATTCAGTATGATATTGGCTGTGGGTTTGTCATAGATAGCTCTTATTATTTTGAGATACATCCCATCAATACCTAGTTTATTGAGAGTTTTTAGCATGAAGCATTGTTGAATTTTGTCAAAGGCTTTTTCTGCATCTATTGAGATAGTCATGTGGTTTTTGTCATTGGTTGTGTTTATATGCTGGATTATATTTACTGGTTTGTGTATGTTGAACCAGCCTTGCATCCCAGGGATGAAGCCCACTTGATCATGGTGGATAAGCTTTTTGATGTGCTGCTGGAATTGCTTTGCCAGTATTTTATTGAGGATTTTTGCATCGATGTTCATCAGGGATATTGGTCTAAAATTCTCTTTTTTGGTTGTGTCTCTGCCAGGCTTTGGTATCAGGATGATGCTGGACTCATCAAATGAGTTAGGGAGGATTCCCTCTTTTTCTGTTGATTGGAATAGTTTCAGAAGGAATGGTACCAGCTCCTCTTTGTACCTCTGGTAGAATTGGGCTGTGAATCCATCTGGTCCTGGACTTCTTTTGTTTGGTAGGCTATTAATTTTTCCCTCATTTCAGAGCCTGTTATTGGTCTATTCAGAGATTCAACTTCTTCCTGGTTTAGTCTTGGGAGGGTGTATGTGTCCAGGAATTTATCCATTTCTTCTAGATTTTCTAGTTTATTTGTGTAGAGGTGTTTATATTATTCTCTGATGGTAGTTTGTATTTCTGTTGGATCGGTGGTGATATCCCCTTTATCATTTTTTATTGCGTCTATTTGATTCTTCTCTTTTCTTCTTGGTTAGTCTTGCTAGTGGTCTATCAATTTTGTTGATCTTTTCAAAAAAACAGCTCCTGGATTCATTGAGCTTTTGAAGGGTTTTTGGTGTCTCTATTTCCTTCAGTTCTGCTCTGATCTTAGTTATTTCTTGCCTTCTGCTAGTTTTTGAATGTGTTTGCTCTTGCTTCTCTGGTCCTTTTAATTGTGATGTTAGTGTGTCAATTTTAGATCTTTCCTGCTTTCTCTTGTGGGCATGTAGTGCTATAAATTTCCCTCTACACACTGCTTTGAATGCATCCCAGAGATTCTGGTATGTTGTGTCTTTGTTCTCTTTGGTTTCAAAGAAGATCTTTATTTCTGCCTTCATTTCGTTATGTACCCAGTAGTCATTCAGGAGCAGGTTGTTCAGTTTCCATGTAGTTGAGCGGTTTTGAGTGCGTTTCTTAATCCTGAGTTCTAGTTTGATTGCACTGTGGTCTGAGAGACAGTTTGTTATAATTTCTGTTCTTTTACATTTGCTGAGGAGAGCTTTACTTCCAACTATGTGGTCAATTTTGGAACAGGTGTGGTGTGGTTCTGAGAAGAATGTATATTCTGTTGATTTGGGGTGGAGAGTTCTGTAGATGTCTATCAGGTCTGCTTGGTGCAGAGCTGAGTTCAATTCCTGGATATCCTTGTTAACTTTCTGTCTCATTGATCTGTCTAATGTTGACAGTGGGGTGTTAAAGTCTCCCCTTATTATTGTGTGGGATTCTAATTCTCTTTGTAGGTCTCTAAGGACTTGCTTTATGAATCTGGGTGCTCCTGTATTGGGTGCCTATATATTTAGGATAGTTAGATCTTCTTGTTGAATTGATCCCTTTACCATTATGTAATGGCCTTCTTTGTCTCTTTTGATCTTTGTTGGTTTAAAGTCTGTTTTATCCGAGACTAGGATTGCAACCCCTGCCTTTTTTTGTTTTCCATTTGCTTGGTAGATCTTCCTCCATCCCTTTATTTTGAGCCTATGTGTGTCTCTGCACATGAGATGGGTTTCCTGAATACAGCACACTGATGGGTCTTGACTCTTTATCCAATTTGCCAGTCTGTGTCTTTTAATTGGAGCATTTAGCCCATTTACATTTAAGGTTAATATTGTTATGTGTGAATTTGATCCTGTCATGATGATGTTAGCTGGTTATTTTGCTCATTAGTTGATGCAGTTTCTTCCTAGTCTCGATGGTCCTTACAATTTGGTATGTTTTTGCAGTGGCTGGTACCGGTTGTTCCTTTCCATGTTGAGTGCTTCCTTCCGGAGCTGTTTTAGGGCAGGCCTGGTGGTGACAAAATCTCTCAGCATTTGCTTGTCTGTAAAGTATTTTATTTCTCCTTCACTTATGAAGCTTAGTTTGGCTGGATATGAGATGCTGGGTTGAAAATTCTTTACTTTAAGAATGTTGAATATTGGCCCCCACTCTCTTCTGGCTTGTAGAGTTTCTGCCGAGAGATCGGCTGTTAGTCTGATGGGCTTCCCTTTGTGGGTAACCCGACCTTTCTCTCTGGCTGCCCTTAACATTTTTTCCTTCATTTCCACTTTGGTGAATCTGACAATTATGTGTCTTGGAGTTGCTCCTCTCGAGGAGTATCTTTATGGCATTCTCTGTATTTCCTGAATTTGAATGTTGGCCTGCCTTGCTAGATTGGGGAAGTTCTCCTGGATAATATCCTGCAGAGTGTTTTCCAACTTGGTTCCATTCTCCCCGTCACTTTCAGGTACACCAATCAGACATAGATTTGGTCTTTTCACATAGTCCCAAATTTCTTGGAGGCTTTGTTTGTTTCTTTTTATACTTTTTTCTCTAAACTTCTCTTCTCACTTCATTTCATTCATTTGATCTTCCATCACTGATACCCTTTCTTCCAGTTGATCGAATCGGCTCCTGAGGCTTGTGCATTCATCACATAGTTCTCGTGCCATGGTTTTCAGCTCCATCAGGTCCTTTAAGGACTTCTCTGCATTGGTTATTCTAGTTAGCCATTTGTCTAATTTTTTTTCGAGGTTTTTAACTTCTTTGCCATGGGTTCCAACTTCCTGCTTTAGCTCAGAGTAGTTTGATCATCTGAAGCCTTCTTCTCTCAACTTGTCAAAGTCATTCTCCGTCTAGCTTTGTTCCATTGCTGGTGAGGATCTGCATTCCTTTGGAGGAGGAGAGGTGCTCTGATTTTTAGAGTTTCCGGTTTTTCTGCTGTTTTTTCCCCATCTTTGTAGTTTTATCTACCTTTGGTCTTTGATGATGGTGATGTACAGATGGGGTTTTGGTGTGGATGTCCTTTCTGTTTGTTAGTTTTCCTTCTAACAGTCAGGACCCTCAGCTGCAGGTCTGTTGGAGTTTGCTGGAGGTCCACTCCAGACCCTGTTTGCCTGGGTATCAGCAGTGGAGGCTGCAGAACAGCAGATATTGGTGAACAGCAAGTGTTGCTGCCTGATCATTCCTCTGGATCTTTTGTCTCAAAGGAGTACCCGGCTGTGTGAGGTGTTTGTCTGCCCTATTGGAGGGTGCCTCCCAGTTAGGCTCCTCGGGGGTCAGGGACCCACTTGAGGGGGCAGTCTGTCCGTTCTCAGATCTCCAGCTGCGTGCTGGGAGAACCACTACTCTCTTCAAAGCTGTCTGACAGGGACATTTAAGTTTGCGGAGGTTTCTGCTGCCTTTTATTTGGCTATGCCCTGCCCCCGGAGGTGGAGTCTGCAGAGGCAGGCAGGTCTCCTTGAGCTGCGGTGGGCTCCACCCAGTTCAAGCTTCCTGGCCACTTTGGTTACTTACTCAAGCCTCGGCAAAGGTGGGCGCCCCTCCCCCAGCCTCGCTGCCACCTTGCAGTTTGATCTCAGACTCCTGTGCTGGCAGTGAGCAAGGCTCTGTGGGCGTAGGACCCTCCAGGCCAGGCGCAGGATATAATCTCCTGGTGTGCCGTTTGCTAAGACCGTTGGGAAAGCGCAGTATTAGGGTGAGAGTGACCTGATTTTCCAGTTGCTGCCTGTCACCCCTTTCTTTGACTAGGAAAGGGAATTCCCTGACCCCTTGCGCTTCCCAGGTGAGGCGATGCCTCGCCCTGCTTCGGCTCATGCTCGGTGTGCTGCACCCACTGTCCTGCACCCAGTGTCCAACAGTCCCCAGTGAGATGAACCTGGTACCTCAGTTGGAAATGCAGAAATCACCCGTCTTCTGCGCCACTCACGCTGGGAGCTGTAGACTGGAGCTGTTCCTATTCAGCCATCTTGGCTCCTCCCCTCGATTATGAATTTACTTCTACAGTGAGCTTTATACATTCCTGTGTTTCATGATAGTTGTTATTGTTCTTTCATTTCCAGGTGTGGCACTCCCTTAAGGATTTTTTGTAAGTTATGACGAATTCCCTCAGCTTTTGCTTGTGTGCAAAAGTCTTTTTTTCTCCTTTATTTGTGAAAGACAGCATGCTGAGTATTGTTTTTTTGGCTGACAGTTATTATCACTTAACACTTTGAATATATTATTTCATTCTACCCTGCCCTGCAAGGTTTCTTTTGAGAAATTTGCTTGTAGTCTATTAGATATTTTCTTATTTATGACTTGACACATTTTTCTTAAAGCTTTTAGAATTCTTTCTTTTGCTTTGACTTTTGAAAATTTGATTATAATGTGCCTTGGAGTTGAGTCTAATTGGGAATCTTTTTGCTTCCTGGATCTTTGTAGACGTGGCGAGTTTTCAGCTATTATTTTGTTAAATTAGTTTTCTGTGCCTTTCTTCATCTATTCCCCATCTGGCATTTGTATAATGCAAACATTCGTTAACTTAATAGTGTCTCATAAATCTTGTTGGCTATCTTTATTCATGCTTATTCTTAGTCCTTTTTATCTGACTGGACTATTTCAAAATACCTGTCTTCATGTTCAAAAATTCTTTCTTATGCTTAACCAAATTTGTTATTGACACTGTCAGTCATATTTTTTGTTTCATTTATTGAATTTTTCAACTCCAAGATTTCTGGGGTTTTTATAATTATCTCTGTTGAATTTCTCATTCAGATGATGAATTTTTTCCTATTTCATTGAATTGGTGGTCTGTATTTTCTTGTAGCTCAATGAGTTTCCTAAGCTCATGATTTTGAATTCCTTTTCAGGAATTCTATACATTTTATTTTTGGGAGGGGGTCTGTTACTAAAGAATTATTGTGTTCTTTTAGAGGTGTTGTTTTGCTTTTTTATGTTTCTTGTACCCCTATGTTGATATTTGTGCATCTAGTGGAATAGTCATCCTTTTCAATTTTGTGGGATAGCTTTTGAAGGGAGAGACATTTTCCTGTAGATGAGTCCTATGATGTTTGTTGAGAATGGTGCATTGGCTTTTGTTCTGGGTGGACCCAGTAACATAGCCTCTGTGCAGTTTCTTCAGCTGAAAACTTTGTCAGTGATAGCTGTGATTATGCCAGTGACCTAGGCTACATGAGTTTGTGATGGCAGTAGTGAAGTTTTGCCGAGAGCTGAAGGTACTGAACTGGTGGTTGGGCTTGGTGCATTTGGCTACTATGGGCTGGTTACTCACAAGGCTTTCTAGTGGCTGGTTCACCAGCAGGCTGACTGTTGGACTGGACATGTGCAGGTACAGCAAGTCAGCCAGCTGTGTGTCACCTTCCCCACTATGCAGGTCTGCCTGTATGGGGGTAAGGGTGTTGGATGGATTTTAAGGCAGCATCTCAGCTGTTCCACTGAGCCTAGGCTCTGAGTAGCCAGGGTTGTGGTGCTGTAACTACCCATGTGAGTACAGTGGTATGATGGCAGTGTGTCAGAAATGGAGAGGTGCAATGGCTACCACCCTCCAGAGCAGCATGTACTCTAGCAGTTGATCCATTGTTAAGATGCTGTGGTGCTGTAGCCACTTAGGTCACAGTGGATGGAGGTTGCACAGTGGAGAGTCCTACTTTGGGGCAGTGCAACTGCATGACTCAACTCCCCAAATTGCATTCGGGGCCTATAAAGACTGCAGAACTCTCTGGCAGCAAGGACTATAGGTGTGTGTAGCAGTAATAAGGACTACTGGGGGTATCCAGCTTACTTTCTCCCTTAAAAATAAAATCACTCCTGGCTGCAAGTTAATCCCAGTAGAGGAGATAATGTGGCAGAGGTACGGTGCTTTGCTCCTCTCTCTGTGGTGCTTTCCTGGGTTTCCATGTTCCACAGGGATCTTGCCACTGCCCTAGTGATCTCCATTGTATTTCCTCAGTCACTCCAGTTGAAATATAGATGTTTGTTGTTTGCATCCCTTTTTGTGGGGAGATAAGCACCTGGCAACTCTAGTCAGCCATCTTGCTGTTTCATTGTGGTAATAGCTGAGTTTCAAAGGACTCATCAAATCCTGAAATTGTACACAGCCCTTGTGTGTTCACAAAATAAATTTGCTTAGAACTTGTAGGAGTATTCATATATCAGGTATGTTTGGACCAATGGATTTTGTTGACATAGTCAGGGCCAGAAAACACCTTTACAGGCTAGGAAGTATTACACAGCCCTTTTCACACATGTGTGAGTAAGGCTGGTCTCACTGTCATATGTATTCTCCAGTTGGACCTTAAGTAATGGAGAGATTAAAGGCCAGGTTGACTTTCCACTATTCCCCCAACTCACTAAGACAGTGGATCTCAAAAATATGGTCCTGAGATGAAGAGCATCAGCTGTGGTCTACTTGTTAGAAATGCTAACTCTCAAGCTATACCCCAGAGCTACTGAATGAGAAACTCAGGGATAGACCTCAGTAAGCTGTGTTGAAGCAAGACATCCAGGTGATTCCTATGCGAACCACTGACCCAAGACAATGATAGCAAAATCATTTTGCCACAAATCTCCTGGTAACTTTCAAATGAGTTCAGGCTCAGCTTTTAGTATTTTGCTGCAACATAAATATAGCTAACATATGTTGAGTGCTTACTCTCTGTAAGGGGCTGAACTAATCACTTGCCCTGAATAAATGCATTTGATCCTCACAACAACCCTATTAGGAGGGTACAGGCTGGCTGGCTTCCTTCCTTCCTTCCTTCCTTCTTTTGCTGTGTCATCCAGACTTGGGTACACTAGTGCGATCTCAGCTCACTGCAACCTTTGCCTCCCAGATTCAAGCGATTCTTGTGCCTCAGCCTCCTGAGTAGCTGGGATTACAGGTACGCACCATCACACCTGGCTAATATTTGTATTTTTAGTAGAGATGGTTTCACCACGTTGGCTAGGCTGGTCTGGAACTCCTGGCCTCAAGTGATCTACCTGCCTCGGCCTCACAAACTGCTGGGATTACAAGCATGAGCCACTATGCCCAGCCAGGCTTATTACTTTCATTAACAGATGAGCAGATTGAGGCACAGAGTGGTATAATAACTTGTCCAAAGTTCCACAGAGAGCACATGGCAGAGTCAGGATCTAAATCCAGGCAGTCTTCACCACACTCTATGACTTCTATCAGTGGACTCTTTTCCGAAACTCCACGGCACATTGTTATCACAATGAGAGGGAAAGAGAATGGGGCAATAGTTTCCAGGTATTCCTCTCCTTTTTGGCTACTGGATGCTCCACTATTCCCTAAGAATGCTCCACAATTCTCCTAAGTCTCTGACCATTCGCTGATCCCTTTACTAAGTCTTCTTTCACCTGGTCACTTAGATTCAAACCTGTTGACTCCCCCACAGTTTAGTCCTTTTTTTTATGTTCACATTTCTGTGGGAAATTCCACATTTACAGATGTCCTACATATGGTTTAAATATTTGCTTCTTTTCAGATGACCCCTAAATCTGTACTTGCCTCAAACTGTCTTCTCAATTCCAGTTTCAAATTCCCAGCAGCCTGTACTTTTCCTCATGGGGGGTCTTTGCATCACTTCCACTTCCTTACTTGCTGCTAAACTAATGTCTCCTCCATCAAACTTCCAGAGATTTCTCCCCTAATTTTCCTTATGGGGCCACCATTCTCCTAGTCTTCAGGGCCTTGCTTTCATTCAGGTACCAGTTGTCTTTTTTCACATGAACGAAAAATGTTTTTGCCACCCCCGGTTTTTCCATGTTACAAAGGTCTCTGGCACAAAAGAATTAGGCTTATAACTTGGCCCATTCATTTAATTACCAAAATGTAAAGTTAGTATGCAAGATGAGGCATGATGTAGTTTAGCTTTAATTTCAGAACACATTTTAAAAGATTAGACAGGAATGGCCTTTAAAAAGCAGCAAGAAGGTAAGCAACATAAAGGCCAGTGCAACTAAGAGGCATCTTCAGTGACAACACCAGGGAAAACATGACTTTGGTTTTCATTAATGACCAATTTCATTGAACAAGGAATTGGACATTATAGCATTTATAAACAAAGCACAGTTATAAATTGCTATTCTAATTGTTAATTAGTTGTATTTATACTGTAGATTAGTTTTTTAAATATATCCTCTAGATGCCACTTGATGCTAATTATCTGAGTTACATTATTATCAATTGAAAAACATTTTAATTAAGTACAAAGCTATTTAAATTAGCATAAGACTTATAGAAATTCAAATATGGTTTGATGCTTAACTTTTTTTTTAGGACTACATGAGATGGTACATCTAGGCTTTTGAATTTGATGAAACTCTACTGCAACGTGGCAAATGATAATTTCAGTGAAAGGGGTGGGAGTGTTCTTAGTGATGTTCACTCATTAAATGTGTATGTCTGTCATATGTATTGTATATGATATTGCCAAATCACTGCTACAGGTGCCACAAATACACTGTGATGATTACCACTGTTCCTGCTCTCTATGGGAGCTCTCTGTCTAATCAGGGAGATAGATACACTTGGCAGATCTGGGAGCCCAAGAAGAAAACAAGCTACATAAGAAGTATAGAAACAAAGTGCCTATAAAATCCAGCTGCGGTTGGGTGTAGTGGGAGAGAGAGAGTTTAGAAATCTTCTTAAACTTTCAATTAGGTACATTTGAACTAGATTTTGAGTATAGATGAGGAGGGAAGAAAAATATAGTCTTGGCTTGGTGAATGGAGTCAGATGTGTTTATCATTCGGGTCTCACTTGGTTGTGATATAAATCCAATTCAAAGGGAGAGGCAAGGAAATTTATTGCCTCATGTGATTGAAAAGCCCAAGAGTAGTTGGCTGCAGGCTAGCTTCAGTGGCTCAAATAATGAAACCAAAACTTAGTCTCTCTCTCTTTCTTTTAATCATGTCTCAGCTCTATTTTCTAATCTTGTATTCTGTCTTCAGCTCTGCTGGTGAGCAGAAAAAGTGGTTATCATCCTAATATAAATACAACGATGGCCTGAGTTTTATTCTGTGTGGACTGTCATGGACCATAGGTCCATCCTTGAACTAGTTAGTCACTGTGATCAGGATGATATAGTGTGCTGGTTAGCAAAGCCTAGGTCATATTCCCACTGCTAGAGCTAGGGTTGGAATGACTGAGAGTGAAATAGAGCACTTCTCCAAAGGAAAATTGGGGTGTTGTTATCAGGAGAGGGAATAGGTGCTAGGAAAAAAATGCAAATACTTGTTATAGTAGTCAGATGTATGAGCATAGAAAATCATGATGGTTGGATGGTTGTATATGAGACAGTGGAACCCAGGCATTGTGAAGGGTATTAGTGGAAAATACTTGATAAGTTGTCTCTCCCTTGCTTGCTGAGCTCCTAACACAATGGTACCAAGCATGTTTTTACCTCCTAACATTTTTACTTACTGTTCCCTCTGCATAGAATCCTCTTTTCCAAGATGTACTAATGGCCTCTTCCTTTGTGGCTCAAACATCGCCTTATCAAAGAGGTCTTCCCTGACCACTTTATAAAAACAGCATGTTCCCATTATCACTGTCTACATCAGGAATTGGTCAACTATAGACTGCCAAATCAGGCCAAAACCACTGCCTAGTTTTGTAAATAATATTTTACTGGAACATGATCACACTCATTTAAGTCTGTCTGTGGTTGCTTTTGCAGTACAGTGGCAGAGTTGAGTAGTTGAGACAGAGATCATATGGCCCAGAAAGACTAAAATATCTACTATCTGGCCCTTTACAAAAAAAAAGTTTGCCAGTTCCTGATCTGTGCCTCCATTCTGCTGTATTCTTCTTCAGGCTAGTTATCACAACATGACATGATGTATATTTGTTCATTTTCTTTCTATCCTTCCTCATTAGAATGTAAGCTTTATGATAGCAGGAAGTTTTGTCTCATAGACTTAGAATAGCACCTGGCACATAATAACTGCTCAGTAAAATTTGTTGCATGAATGGATTGAAAGATTTTGAATACTGAAATGTCTCACAACTCACCTGACAGTGTAGTAAAAAGAAGCAGGGGAGAGCGTGCCCCTAAGTTGCAAGAATACTGTAATACATTCGTTAAAGATTCATAAAGGCCTAAACTAGGATAGAAAGAGAAGAGAGAACAAATAGACACGATACCTTGAGATAGAACTAATGAAACTTGGCAAGTAATTTCATGTGGAGGATCATGGGGAAGGAAGTTGGGGATACCTCTGGTGCTGTTAGCCTTGTCAGTCAGATAACTGTGACATCATTAACAGAAATTTATAGGAGCAATGGCAGATTTGGGATTGGAGATTAACAGTTCAGCTTTAGATGTACTAGGTCTTGGAGTTTGACCTCTGCCTTGGAGAGGTCCACTGCCCAGTGGGAGAAGCCAGGCAAAAAGCCCACAAGAGATGACTGGCTGAGGAGAGGGATCAGAGAGTCTATTCACGTAACTTAAAACAGTTGGAAGTGCCCCAAAGCAAATACTCAGCAAAGGTCGTTAACTAGAGCTTCACCCAACAGCACCCAGCCACCCAGCCCATTTCTTTATCTGAAGAAGGCTCCAGGGGTGGTTTACAGGGCCATGATTGCCCTCCCTGGTACATCCTCAGAAGTCCAGGGCCCTATCCCATGTTCCTGTGCTTTTCCTCACCCACTCTGCCTTTTACCATGACAAGGTGAAGCAACTCAAAAGGCTTTAGAATGCAACAAAACTTAGTTCTGTCACACTTACCAGCCACGTGAAGTTGGCCACATTGTTCAAGTCACATGGACATCACTTAAATGTATTCAGGTTCTAAATAAACAGTCTCTCTCCTTCCTTTCTCTTTGCTTCTTTTTCCTTTTTTCTCTTCCTTTCTGAAGTATTTCATCAGTACGCAGAAGGAAGCATGAGAATGGCTGAAGGATTATATTTTAGAGTGGAACATGGTTTCTCAGATAGGGTAGTGAAAATAGAATAGTCCAAACCTTGATGCCTGGGAAATGAGAGCCTACGAATCTAATAGTAACATTTGAGTAATAAATCCTAAAACTCACCAGGGACCACCTTCTGCTCCCAGTTATCGTTAGCAGAGATAATCTGCTGGGTATTCAACTGTTTAGAAAGAATTGCTGGTTGTCTAGTTCTTCTGTGGCACCTCATTTAAAAGCTGGTTTATTATTTACAGGAATACAGGAATAATGTATTAGATCATAAACATACAGTTCCCATAAATAATGCAGCAAGAAAGCCAAATATAAAAGTCTCAGATGAACAACTGAACAACCACGACCTAATAAACCAGAGATACTTAATGAGAAAAAGCAAAATTCTACAATATAGAAATAATAATGGGGTTTCATTTGAAATGCTACAGGGAGTACAGCACTCATAATTCTCAAAAAAAAAAAAAAAAAAAAGAGCCAGTCCGAAAACCTAGGTGATTTCACTGCCTAGTAGCGCGCATTCACCCACTGATGTCTGTAGGCAGCATAAGCTACAGTGGTTCGGTTTTCCCCTCGCAAGCTTGAGGGGTGAATTCCTGATGCAGAAGGAAAAGGCATTTGTTGGGCCCCACACAGTTTTCCCTTTGGCAAGAGGGAAATGTGATTTAATATGAGCATCGTAGATTTATGCTTCTGTGTAAACTTCCACAACCATCCCAAGCAGCATTGCCTCAGCAGACCTTCCCAGCTGCTCAGCCATTGCAGCCCTCGGTGGTGCTCAGGGAGAGTGGGAAATAAGTAAGTTGGGGATGTTTGTCAGCTTTCTAGTTTGATTAAAGAGTTGATGACGTTCACTGTGTGGCCGCTTTGAAGAGAGCCAATTCCTTTTTTTTTTTTTTTCTTCTGAGACAGCGTATCGCTCTGTTGCCCAGGCTGGAGTGCAGTGGCGCCATCTTGGCTCACTGCAAGCTCCGCCTCCCAGCTTCACGCCATTCGCCTGCCTCAGCCTCCAGAGTAGCTGGGACTACAGGCACCTGCCACGACGCCCGGCTAATTTTTTGTATTTTCAGTAGAGATGGGGTTTCACCGTGTTAACCAGGATGGTCTCCATCTCCTGACCTCATGATCTGCCCACCTCGGCCTCCCAAAGTGCTGGGATTACAGGCGTGAGCTGCCGAGCCGGCCGAAGAGAGCCAATTCCAACATTTAACAAGGGAGGGAGATGGTTTTGTTTTTCTGTTTGCGGAACTAACACAACTTGGATTTCTCTATCAAGCCATAGTTAGTGTGTTTTCAAGCATCTGTTGGCCTGTTTTTATTGTCAGAGTTTTCTTCTAGCCAGTTAATAACAAGGACAGAGTATTTTCAAATGAGGAGATAAACTTCTGTCAGGCATCTTCAATGTCAAGATCTAGCTATATTGTCTCCTTTCCTATTAATTATATTACGCTTGTAGAACACTCCTTTACCACCAACAGTTACCTGAGTAGAATTTTTTCTTTTTGCTTTTCCAGCAGAGGCCAAGGGGAATGTTGGTATTCCACCGTGATACCAGGAATTTAATGAGATGACAATGTGAATAAGAAAATCTCAGTGCACAGAATAGGGAAGGAAATTAACTTTGTTCTCCTTTATTGGAAAGACTTGAATTTCATTTGCTTATTTGATTGGGAGAAAAGAGTACTAAAAATATTCTCTTACGCTCCTTATGCTTCACCTCCTTGCTTGCACTCTACTTTTGCCAGGTACTGCCCTTTAATCTTAACTCCTTTTGCACCGTCTTCCCTGGGAACAGTGGTTAATGGGGTAAGGGTTAATCCAAACAAAGGAAGAAAGGAGAGACAGAGGAGAAAATATCCAGTCTTCTTCAAAGTACAGAATAGAAGCAAAATTCAAAGTTTCTCCCCTTTAGAACAGTAGTATACGTCAGCAGAATAAGTGAGTATGGGGTGTGGGCACAAACTGCCTGGGTTGAACTCCTGGCTCTAATGGTACAACACTGGGTAAGTTTATCAATCTCTGAAAGCCTCTGGTTTCTCATCGGTAAAACAGGGTTAATAAGAGCACTACATAATTATGTCAAGTACTCAATGTGGTGCTAGGCACCTAATGAGTACCTGATATGTTAATGCCTGTTGTTTTCCTTCTACATATTACTGTTGAACACCATTTGTACAACTGTCACCAAACTAAGTTCAGTGCAGAGATGTAAGGACGTAGAACAAAAGTTCCTCTTTAAAAGTTCTCAAATAAGTTATATTCTTGTACGGGTATCAAAGCACATACCCAGTGAAATATTAAATAGTGAAAATGTTTTTAAAAACTTGAACAAAATATACGATAGAACTTGGACATGCTGAGAGGATTAAGTAGATGGTAAGTGCTGAAGACAAGGTAGGAAGAGATCAGGACTACAGAGGTGTTCGGGAGAAACTTCCTAGAGGAGAAATAGGGGGAAGTGTAATGGATGGGGACAGAGTTTGACTTCGCAAGTGCAAGGGAATGAGAAGCAGCTTCCTATGCAGCAGCAAGAACAGGGACTATGGTGTGACAGAGGAGGTGGAATGAGCTGCCATCGTTTTTTCCAGCAAATAAGCACATTTGGATTTCTTTATGGGGAAGAGACTGTCATGTATCAGCATATAGTAAACAGGAATTACTTACTTTCCCAAAGACTGAATTAAGGAATATCTCAGGGTTGTGCTAGACCCTCCCAGGAACTTTCCTGGCAGTGTACTGTGCAGGATGTGGTGGAAATGGGAATGGGAATATTTAATATTATTTTGGTTCTGAAAGTCAAAGAGAAAAGAATTATAGTTAGACATTATTTATGTTGCAAGAACTCTCATGGTTTAAAAATGAAAGGAAGTAGCATCAACAAGAAGCTTCTTGACATTATTTAAGCTGTAGTGTAGGCAGTTCTTCTTTAGAAAGAAATTCAGTCACATTCAACAAATACTAATTGAGTTTTTACTCTGGCCAGCTGCTGTGTTGACCAAAGGGACACTCTGGGTCCCTGCCTTTCTAGGATCCACAGCTAAGCAAGAAAGTTAGATTTTTTTTCCCCCTTTGAGATAGAGTCTCACTCTGTTGCCCAGGCTGGAGTGCAGTGGCACAATCTCGGCTTACTGCAACCTCCGACTCTCAGGTTCAAGTGATTCTCCTGCATCAGCCTCCCAAGTAGCTGGGATTACAGGTGTGCTACCACCATGCCCAGCTAATTTTTGTATTTTTAGTAGAGACGGGGTTTCACCGTATTGACCAGGCTTGTCTCCAATTCCTGACCTCGTAATCTTCCTGCCTCAGCCTCTCAAAGTGCTGGGATTACAGGCGTGAGCTACCATGTCCAGCCAAAAGACAGATGTTTTAAGCATTTACGTTAAAAAAAAAATGTGCGTTATGGGAGCAAAGTATAAAATGCTATGGAAACATAAAATTAGGAGATTAGTTTAACCAAATTTTACAAGTAAGGGAAGCCTACCTGAAAGAAGTGATTAAGTTGAGACTGGAAGGATTAATTAATCAGTCCAAGCGTTGGAAGCACTAAATGTGGAGTAGCTATTTTGAGCATATACAAAGTCCTGTTGAAGCATAAGGAAAGTTTTAGAAGTTCAACACAGAGAGTAGAGATGGAGTAGAATGTCCAAATATAAGAGGGAAGAGATCTTTATTTTAATAGCTGACATTTCTTAAATGCTTATTCCGTAGCAGGTGTTGTTCTCATCTCTTTGTGTGTCTTGAGTCTCAGGACAGACATCTAAGATAAGTTTCATTCTTATTTTCACTTCATGTATGAGAAAACTGACAAATAGGCAAGTTCCCCAAGGTTTTATAGCAAGTTTAAGGGTGGAAGTAAGCTCTAAACCCAGACAATCAGACTCTGAAACCTGTATTTTGGTTTTCTTTAAATAATTATTGAGATAAAATTCACATACACAATTTACCCAGGTAGAATGTACAAGTACATTTTTTGTATAAAGTGCCTATACTTTTAACATAAATCATGTAGGAGGGCCAGCCGTGGTGGCTCACACCTGTAATCCCAACGCTTGGAGAGACCAAGGCAGGTGGATTACCTGAGGTCAGGATTTTGAGACCAGCCTGACCAACATGGTGAAACTTTGTCTCTACTAAAAATACAAAAATTAGTGTGGCATGGTGGTGGGCGCCTGTAATCTCGGCTACTTGAGAGCCTGAGGCAGGAGAATCACTTGAACCCAGAAGGCAGAGGTTGCAGTGAGCCGAGATGGCACCACTGCACTCCAGTCTGGGTGACAGGGCAAGACTCTGTCTAAAAAATAATAATAATAATAATAATAATAATAATAATAATAATAATAATTTAGGGAAGGAAAGTCATATCTTTTCTTCACCCCTTGCAAGTCTCCATAACAAAGACAGATTTTTTTTTTGTAAAAAAGAAAAGCATTGCAAATTTAATAAACATTTTCTATGACATGAGAGCCTTCAGAAATGAACAACCAAAGAAATGGGGAAAACCGTATTTTTATGTGTAGGTTTGATGAAGAGTAGGACAATCATGTAGAAGTATGACTGGACAAAGGGGGGTGTGAGCTAATGGTAATGAACTGGGAGAAACTTAGCAAGACCTGTTTTTTCTGATTCTTCTTGGCATCTCTTTGTCTTCATTCCTTTCCTCTGGGTATAGAGTAGGACGAAACCTATTACGTGAGTGTCTCTGAGGAAAGAACGGTGGGAGAAGATCAGAGGGTGACTTTTCTAGGTTTTATAATCAGCTTCAGGGGAGAATGACGGGAGCAAGTCAGAGAGTCCTTCTTGCTTCTGCTGTTTTCTCAAATGTCAAGGAGCCATATTTTGGGGTAGCATGTCCTGAAGCCCGACAGTCACATTTACATAGCCACAAATATACATATATATTTTTGTATTGTATGTTTTATATGTATATAGTATACATATATATTTGTTGTATTATATGATATGTGTGTATATATGTGTATACACATGTACATTAGATAAATATATATACATACATGGATCCTTATATACGTGTGTATGTACATGAATCTCTTTTAGAAAACCACAGTATTGCAGTGGGCACTGTGTGTCACGTTCAGGCGTTCGGACTTTTAAGGCAATGGGGATGCATTGAAGGGCTTCTGACTGGGGACCAGCAAGATCTAATTTGTGTTTTACAGGACACCGTGATGAGGATCAGCCAGGGATGGGTTGGACAGATCCAGAATCATGAGCCCAAATACATCCTTGACATCTATGTTCAGTGTTTTAATTCAAAACGAGATTTCAGAAAAAGAGTCGTGCAGCCTGCTCTATAAGACTGTAGCACTGACAACTCAGATTGTTCTTTTCTGACTCAGCCCAAAGAAAAGAAGCTGAGCATATGAGGAAGGGCAGGACTCTTCCAGTTGGAAAGAGCACAAGCATATCCAATGAGTTCTGAACACGGTGCATTGTTCTTCCCACTCAGTTGCTTGATGTGAGCTGATCAGAGGTCAAAGCACATTTAAAGTACTTGTATTATATCATGGGCTTGTGGAAAAGATTGCATTTAACTAAACAAAGGAAAGAGCCGATATGAAATCAATATGCAGGGTGCCTATGAGCTATGAAGGAAGGTAATGTGCTTTTCTTCTTTGGCTGTTAAATGCATCTCAGCTGCCAAGGAAAATGACTTTCTCTCTTGACTTCCTATCTGTCTAGCTGACTGGTTATTGGAGAGTATTCAGGCCCTAGTGGTTCAACTGTATGTTTAATGAGGGTGTCCCAGCACAAGAGCCTAAGCAAGGTCCTCTGGCCTAATTCTTCCTCCAAGGACTCTGAAGATACATCTCTCTTTAGCAAATTGTGATCAAAGATTGCTGGTGGAGCAGAGAAAGGGTCCAGGGCCTTGGTCTTGTACGGTGCAATCTCTCCCATCATTGGGAACTTAGGCTGCAATATGATGTCTGAGAAATGTACCAGAGAGACTCACCTGGAAATATCCCAGAGAATTAATTGCAGACACAGGAATTTCAAGGAGAGGCCTCCACTGAGAAGTGGAAATTTGAGTTAGTTCTTGAAGGATTTCAGTGGGTGAAGTTGGGGAAGAAGCTGTTCCCACTTCTTCCCCACTTCAATAACTTTGATGTTATTGAAGGAAATAACATCAAAAACCACTCTTGGGCCAGGCGCGGTGGCTCATGCCTGTAATCCCAGGACTTTGGGAGGCCAAGGCGGGTGGATCACGAGGTCAGGAGATTGAGACCATCCTGACTAACACGGTGAAAACTCATCTGTACTAAAAATACAAAAAATTAGCCGGGCGTGTTAGCGGGCGCCTGTAGTTCCAGCTACTCGGGAGGCTGAAGCAGGAGAATGGTGCGAACCCAGGAGGCGGAGTTTGCAGTGAGCCGAGATTGCGCCACTGCACTCCAGCCTGGGTGACAGAACAAGACTCTGTCTCAAAAAATAAAAATAAAATATAAAAATAACCACTCTTACTCTTGTGGTACAGCCTTGTAACAACTGAAGTTTACAAATTTAGTCCTGTCTTCTGAATGAGGGATAAAAAATGAATTCTAGAGTACGAGTTGAATTAACTTTTTTTTTAAAAAATGATCACTTTCCTCATTCTCTCCTCATCCTTTTTCTACCCTCTTTTCGTCTGTGATTCCTAGACAGAAAAATGATGCAAGCGAGAAAGGCCAAGTTTGAGTCAAGTCTGCTACCACAGATTGCAAATAGGCTGATAAAGCACAAGAGCTGACACATCCTAGAGAACTGACATGTGATCACATCTGCATGGTAGCATTAGTTACAACCAGATACCTGCACATTTGCCTCTGTCATTTGATTTGATTCCTAAAACCATCCTTAAAGGTACTCAGGATATGGGTTGGTGGAAGATAAATGAAAAAACAATAAATCACCTTCTTAGAGATTAAGAGGATGACTCAGGCTAGCGATGGCACCTATGCCTCTCAGTAATAGCAGTTAGGCCCCTGCTAGGAACAAGCCCCCTCCCCAGCACCATAGGAATGATGCAGAAAGTTCTTAGAGACTGGCTATGATTTTAGGACATTGGCAGTGTTTCTTCACTTTTTTTTTCTTGTCATGGGTGCCTTTGTCAAGCTATTGGAACTACAAATCCCTTCTCAAAATTATATTTTTAACAGCATTAAACAAAATGTCCAGGATTACCAAAGAAAGCTAATTAGATACAGTTGCCAACACATTAAAAAAAAGTCGTGATAAAATAATGTATGTTTGTCTTTGATAACTACCATCATTTCAAAGCAGCAGAGACCATAAACACGATTTTGAGATGTATGCAACAACTTGACTAGGATAGGAAATAATCTGTGAGTTCTGTTGGTGACAGAGTTCCAGAGTGATGATTATTATAGATTATTTTCTATATTCTCATCAGAGGAAATGCTAGATTCCAGTTAGAGGTTAATGAAAAGAATGATGTAAAATCTGCCCCTTCAGTGATCACAAACCCACTGAATTCTATCTGTAAATCTCTGGGGTCCATTGTCCCAGGTGAGGCTCCCTGTCCTAATGTCCTAATGTAAGTGCTTACTTAGTGAGCACCTATTATGTGCAATCACTATGATAAGCTGGGGATTCAGCTAGAGTATAACAAGAATAGGACATGATTGTAAGCCCTGACATATGTCTAGGTTGTTTGATGCTTAATATCATGGACCGGATGAAAGGAACTCCTGTTTCATGTGGAGCCTATCATTAAATTCTGAGGATGGGGTTAGTCTGGAGTTGGAAGCGGGGGTATGTTACAACACACTAGGGCCAAACAGTGATTCTCAACAGTGGTGTGTTGATAGGAGTGGGTGGAGATTTTGACCCTTAGAGCAATACTTGTCAGTGTTGAGAAACATCTTTGGCACAATTTGGTGGGGGTGGAGGTGGGGGGTTGCTACTGACATCTAACGGATGGAGGATAGGGATGCTACACAGCATCCTACAGTGCACAAGACAGCCCCCTACAACAAAGAATGATCTGGCCCTATGCAGTAGGGCTGAGGTTGAGAAGCCGTGGGCTAGAGGAAAAGTATGCAGAGCGCTGACTGCAGCGCCCCTGTAAATAACCTTTGTGTCCCTGGTTTTGTGCCCTGCATCCCCTTGGAAATTTGTATGTCCTCCTTTCTCATTCTTTGAGGTTGCAGATTACATTCTTTCTCCCTCTGTAGTGCCCGGTGTCAGGCCATGCACACAGCAAGTGAGCAATTAATGTTAACCATGGGTAAGTATGGCCCAGCTATCTCTCTAGCCTGAGCCTGGTCACAAAGTATTGACAGAAGCAACAAACTCAAGATGAGAGCTCTCCAGCAGAAAGCTCTTTGGAGTGGGGAAGACAGAAGTGATGTGCATAGAGGTTTGAATCTCTGCCTCCTGTTCAGAGCAGTGTGAGCACAATGACCTATTTTTGTTGGTAAGACAAGTCGACTTCTACTTGGTGCAGCATAACTTTTGCCTTTCATATAGGATGGATATTCAGTTTCCTTATTTATGTAATCTTATAGTTGAAGTAGACTTCAAAATGGATTTATGACAATGCTGACATTTGTTAAGCAACCAATATGTAGGTAGATTTGTTTTATACTCTACATTCACCCCATTACTTAGGGCTTATATTTTATAATCCACTCCCCCCCACCCTGCTTTTCTATTGAGAACCAGAGTGATTTCTTCAGCTAAAAAGGCAGCTCTTCTTGGGGCAAAGGATAAGATGGACCTATTACCCCAGGCATTTAAAATGGCAAATGCTAAGCTGTGTGTTAAGTTTGAGAAGCACACCTTGTAGACCACTACAGTAACAGAGGTGTGATCTCATAGTTTGATGTATTTCTTTAAAATTCTGAATTGTGCAGAAGTTAGTGACATTTCCTTCTCTTCCTTTAAGGCTGCTTTGGACCAATCCTGAAATGATTTTTCAAGTTATGATCAATTGCCCTGTGGGAGAATGATTTTAGTGGGGTCCCTGGATCTCTAAAAGTTCTTTGCTCTAATGAATTAGGAGGAATGTCAGCTTCATCCATTTAGTGAGCTTCTCTGTGAGATGTTTCCATTTGTCATGAAAATGTGGAAGGGGTTTTTGCATTGCCTGAGTTAGAAGGTTCAGAAAAATGAGCCTGGGCCTATTGATTTGTTAGTGTCCAGTGTCCCTAAAATTGGGCCTTGGGGTAGGGTTTTTTGAGAACTATAAAAACAGAGAGAGAGAGCACTTAACAGACCTAGGTAGACATCTTACCTTTAATCTCAAATTAATCATACTTACTAGCTTACTCTTCTGATTTTAATGGAATCTTCTTATAAAATGGGCAGCTTCTAAAGATTAAAAGGGAGTCTTTATATGATCCAGAGAGGATTTCCTGAGTGGTGCCATTTATCACTAACATTTGTATTTTGCTGTACAGGTTGAAAAGCTCACTCACCTCTTATTTAGTCTTCATGATAAACCTGAGCCTTAGGTTGGTGGTGGATGATGCCCACTTTATAGGTACAGGAACTATTCTTAGAACAGTTAAAAGGCTCTACATTCATATAGTAAGTTTGTTGGGAAATCCAAGACAAGAGCCTGGATATTAGAATATATAATATTAACAACAACTATGCTACAATGTGTAATTTAAAAAAATAAACAATGAGTTTGGAGACCCAGATTCTGATATTAATACTACTATAAATTAAGCCTATATCACTGCTTGGTAATGTTTATAATCAAAATTTGTGATATGGAAAGACTGCCCCATCACCTGCAAAGATGAAGTGTGTGTTAGGCCATTCTTGAATTACTATAAAGAAATACCTGAGACTGGGTAATTTATAAAGGAAAAAGGTTTAATTGGCTCACAGTTCTGTAGGATGTATGAGAAGCATGATCCTGGCATCTGCTCAGCTTTGGGGAAGCCTCAGGAAACTTACAGTCATGGTGGAAGGCAGAGGGGGAGCAAGCACATCCCATGGCAAAAGCAGGGGCAAGAGGAGACTGGGGAGGTGCCACACACTTTTAAATGACCAGATCTCACAGGAACTCACTGTCATGAAGACAGTACAGGGGGAAAATACTAAAACATTTATGAGAAATTCAACCCCATGATCCAGGCACCTTTCACCAGACCCTACCTCCAACATTGAGGATTGCAATTCAACATGAGATTTGGGTGGGGACACAGATCCAAACCATAGCAAACTGGCAAGAGCCAACTTGGTTCACTTACCAAAATATGGAGTCTGAAATACCTTGAGAATTTAAGATGTAAAGGAAATGCCTTTGTTCAAATTCAGTAACCCATTGAAAACTTCTTATTTAGAGAATGTTTCTTAATGTACAGGAGTCCAAATATTTATCTTCCATTACTAAGTATAAATCATACTTAGTTTATAATGAGAACATGGGCTGGGATTTGTTTTTAAAGTAAGACATAGTAAAGAAGTCACTGGGATCTGCCATCCTTGACATCTTTGACAAGTAAAACTGATTTACATTTCAGCAGAAAGCATCATCATGCCAGTTTTGTTTTCTACTTCTGCCATTCTAATCACCAAACCTCAGAAAAGAAATAACTAGTTTTACAGTTGTCTACTCAATAAAGGGGCTGCATGCAGGCACCACATTTGATTTGGTAGGGAGGAAGTGGGAGGGGATGGGTGTCTGTGTGACTGAACCACAGGATACCTTCCTGACCTCAACCAGATTTTAATATCAAGTCTTAGTGCTCCCACTTAACTAGAGTTGGGATCATAGCAAGTCAGTAACCTCACTGCACCTTATGAGTGCAATGAAGATATCAACACTGCATTCCTAGATAGTCACTGTGGAAATTAAATAAGACAACCCATGTAAAATTTATACTCAGATATATTAAGTTCTCGATAAGTGTAACTATGTTTATCATTTAAAAAATTAACTCTCAAAACTTCAGTTTCCTCATCTGCAGAGGGAAATGATGAGAGTATCTAAATGTTGTTATAATGATTAAATAAAATAGTATAGGTAAAGTGATTGGCATTGGAGTAAATCATTGTTCTTGTTAGAATCTTGAATGTTACCATTCAAGGCAACACTTGAATGTATGCTCATGCAAAAACAATGTTAAAAAAATTCTTACTGCCCGATGACATGTCAACACGCACAGACTTGAGCAGGATTGCTGATAGTACTGGGGACATAATAAGGTGATAATAAATGGGAAGAAAGCAGGAGGACCACAGAATAATGAGTTCATGCTTTGGAAGAATATTTTTACAAGGTTATCTTGCCTCTTGTAGAGGGCAATGGAAAAAAATCCCCCCAGGAAAATCAGTAATGTCAAAACCATGAAGTACTTTTCTGCAATTAGAACATGTCATCAGATGTAAACAAGTTGATTGGCCCATGCAGGCAAGCCATCACCTTTTTATTTGTTTTCAATTCCAAGGGATGATAAGGTAGAACAGCTAAGAGGATACAAAGATGCAATAATCTAGGCCAGGGATCTTTTACACAAAGGGCCAGATAGTAAATATTTTAGGTTTATGGACCACAGGGTCTCTGTTGCAGCTACTCAACTTTTCCATTGCAGTGGGAAAGCAGCCATAAACAATAGGTAATCAAATGAATATGGCTGTGTTCTAATAAAACTTTACTTACAAAAACAGGTAGTGAGACAAATTTGGCCCATGGGTTCTAGTTTGCCAGTCCCTGGTCTAGGCTCTGGTTTTGAGACTTTTTCTTTTTTTTTTTTTTTTTTTTTTTTAGATGGAGTTTCACTCTTGTTGCCCAGGCTGGAGTGCAATGGCACGATCTTGGCTCACTGCAACCTCTGCATCCTGGGTTCAAGTGACTGTCCTGCCTCAGCCTCCTCAGTAGCTGGGATTACAGGCATGTGCCACCATGCCCAGCTAATTTTCTGTATTTTTAGTAGAGATGGGGTTTCACCATGTTGGCCAGGATGGTCTCAAACTCCTGACCTCAGGTGATCCACCCGCCTCAGCCTCCCAAAATGCTGGGATTACAGGCCTGAGTCACCACGCCTGGCCCTAAGACCTTTTCATCATTTAGTATGTGAAGTCTGATAGCAAATACAAATGCCAAAGACTGGAAATCTAAACTGTGAGAGGTATAAGAGCATGGGTTTATTCAACATTAAATCTTCAGCATCTCTTATAGTGCCTGACACATAACAGGTACTCAATAAATGTTTGGATGGATGGATGAATGGATGGACAGATGGACAAATGGATAGATGGACAAGCAGGCAAACTGACACTAGCTTATGATTCCCTGTTTCTAAACAAGAACATCGTCACAGTCAACAATAAATTAACATTTATTGCACTCTTACTGTGTGCCATGCACTATTCTAAGTGCTTTGCCTGTAATATCTCATTGATGTTTTACAATAACCTATGAGGTAGATACTGTCATAGACCATTGGGTTTTAGTAATAACTTGTTGTCCTCAAGTTGTTAGTTGCTTAATCTTAAATGACTTATTAAAGCTTATCTTCCCTGGTTCCTTCTATTAATAGATATTTATGAGAATTTAAAGTACATATGAAAATCCCTATAAACTCTAAAGTGACATTCAAAGATTAAATAATTGTTGTTTCAGCCCTGCTCTGGTGAGCATGGACCCATGAAACAGTGCTGGATAGTAAGATTTGACATTAGGTGTTTATAGGCCCAAATGGCTCTGGACGAATTGGGAGATCTTAGGGCACATTGTGGGACCTAAATATTACTACTATTGTTCAACATTATATCCTTAGAACCTAGGTGAGTGCCTAACTCACAGCAGGAATTAAATATATATTTCTTTATAAGAAAACAAAAGGAGGGCTAAATAAACTAACAAACAGAGAAACAAATAAATGAGAAAATATACCTGCCCCAGCCAAGGAAGGGCAATATGGTCATAGATATTCTGAGTCTTAATAGGTCCTCCCAGAAACTGAGGTATAGATCACTATGTAAAATAATGGAAGATGTCTAATCTACTTACTGCTGCCTTGAAAGCTGAGTCATTTTCATAATGGGTCAGAAAGACATTTTTCAGGACAACTTGGTAATTCATCTTTATTTCCTTGTATACACAGTACATTCCACTTAAAAAGAGATGCTAATGTATTTACATTAAAGCATGTGGATTTACAGCCTGGGATGAAATATATTCATAGATAGTATACCTTAATCCTGTTTAGGGAAATCGAAGAATCAACTGGCATCAGATTAGTGTTGATTAACTGTCACTCAGATTGACAAAGCAGCACAAGATACACTTAGCAAATACCCAAATCGAGCTAAAAAGCTCTGCAGATACGGGTTTTGACACTTGCTTTTTTTTTTTTTTTTAAAAAAAAGATAATTGGTTCAACATCTAAGAACATACTCTTTGGCACTGACTAATTCAGTCTTCATAGACGCTATTTTTTTTTCTGTTTGTAGGGATAGAGGAAAAAACTATTAAAGGCTCACAAAATGTGCTTGCCTCTGGATTGGTAAGCAAAGATTGGGAGATACTAGATGCCCTTAAAAGTGTCTTATACCAATTCACGTTAGAAGAACACCTTTTAGCGTACCTGTTTTTACAACTTTTGCCTGGTATTGAAAATTGACTAGCTTCTGCTATCCTGTGGATTTCCATTTCCTATTAAGCAGGCATTTAAAATTGAGTCATACAGGAGTAATGGTCACTCTTCAAAATGGACTTCTTTGTGAGCTCTAGGGAACAGTTCTTCCTGCTTTAGTGATGTAGACTGTTAGGGACAGACAGTCAAGACATAGAAGCCTCTACCCTGTGAGAAAAATAATGAATTATTTAGGGTATGTCTAATTGCAAGTGACACAAAGCAAAATTATTCTAGTTTTTTAAAAATTTATTTAAAAATGGGAATTTGTAGACTTATCAATCACTGAGAAGTCTAGATATGACCATCCCTGGTGCTTTTAACATCTTTCTCTCTTGTACAGGTTTCCTTTAGGCAGTTCTTCAGCAGACATTATCTCAGAAGGAGAGACAGAAACACCTTCATTCAGGCAGCCATAGCAATCTTTGAAAATAACTGATTAACCCTGCTTGGGTCACATGCCCCTAGACCAAACACTCTTTCTAAGGAGTCAGATATTCTGATTGGGCAGCCTAGATCACATTCCCTTCTGTATCCTGGGGGTGGGGGAGGGCCAAGTGAGCACCAGCCCCAGTAGGTTTCTGCAAAGCAATAAGTGTTCTAGTATCCGAAGGAAAGCTAAAGGATGTTGAATAGGCAGAGACATTGTAACTATCCCACTTTCCTCCTTTGTCTCATATGCAGATAGGACACCTTATTTTGAAGACCTTTCTTTGGACTTTGTTTCTTGCTAAGTCTGGAAGGCTTGCATTGGTCAGTGAGATGGTTAAATGAAGCTTTATTTTTTATTGACCTGTCTTTTCTTCATAGCTATATTTTCTAAGCCTAGTTATACCAAGCTAGAGTTTGATGCCTGTTATGAAGCATTGGAGAGAAAGGGAAATGGGAACTCAAGACTTACACTTGCCATGGTTTGGGTTTATGTAACAAAGCCAGTGACCTGCAAAGTCTCTACCAGGTTTCAGAGGCCTTCATTCACTGAAGAACTGCCTTCTGAGTGGCATTTTCCCTTCAAAGAGGCCAAGCTCGGTTAAAGCTACTATGGCACGTGTACCTTTAGACCCCATGGAGTGTCAAACATGGGTATATGGAGATGGGGGAGGCATATATGATCATGGAGACATGTGAAATGTTCATTTTTTGCAAGAAACAGAATCCACCCCAGCTAGGTCATGGGAAAACAGAGTATTCATTGCAAGGTTGTGAGAAGACAGTGCAGGAGCAATTTATATACGTTCAGTCAAGCATTATGAGATCTTGCAGCTTCTAGAATCAAGGTGTTCCCTCTGCCTCTCAGGGGCCATGTGACTTCTTTTTTCTCTGATTTGCTTTCTCACATTTTCTCATGGAGATTACACCTCTTGCACATCTTTCAACATGGCTGCCAGCCCCAAACCTATGTTTGGAAGTTAAAAGTGTGAAGTCAGGGACTAGGATTCTCAGTAAGTGTTAGTTATTATTGTCAAGTACCTGTTACTCACTGACGATGTGCACTGTGTTTAGTTTCAGTTCTCAAGCTAGAATCTGATTGGTCAGGTGTAGACAGGTAGCAACTCAAACAGGACTACCTAGGTGGCCCTTTAACAGAAAAGCAGTTGTGAGTAGGATGTGCATAACCGAACTTTATTATTCCATGGTGGTCTTTTCTTGATGAAGAGATTGATGGAATCTGACTCATAACTCCCAAACTCATGATTGAAAAAGTAACATGTTTAGCGGGGAGTTAAGAACATGGCCTCTGCAGCTAGATTTGCCTGTGTTTGGGTCCTGGTCCCCACAATGATGCTCTGTGAAACCTTTCTGTGCTTCAGTTTCTGCTATAATAATATCATGTACTAGGGTTGCAGTGAGCATGAAGTATGTTAACTCACAAAGTGCTTTAAAAAATGTCTGGCAAATAGTAAGCACTCAATACATGTCAGCAGTTGATATGACTTTTATTACCTAAATCTGGCTCTGAGCTCCCACAGTAATCTGCTAGGAAATTCCATCTCCATTATCACTGGGTCGTTCAAGAATTGACAAAGCGTACATGGTGTCAAGAAAACGTGGGCAGGCCTGCTGCTCTTTGGTCAGTTAAGATCATCTCTGATAATTTCATTTCCCTAGCCTGCAGGGTCATTTAAAATGCACTTACTCTCTACTTCCACACCACAGAGAGGGCACAGAAATCTTTGCTGAGGTGTGGGCCAAGGGTACTGTCTTCTAGGGGCATGACACAGCCATCCTTTCTGAGAGATGGTCACCTCCCTAGTGATAACTCTGGTCTTCCAAGGACCCCAGATCTCTAAATTTTTCTAAGTGTTCTGATTCTTCTAAATCTGTCTTCTCTTCAGCTTTCTTCCAAGTCACTCCTCTCTCCTCTCTTCCCCACAGGACAACGAGCCTACTCTCCACTAAGGTTAGGTGTTTACAGATGGCAGGAATAGCTATTGCTTTAAGGCAGTTTCTGCTTTTGACCCAATGAGTACCTTCTGTTATAAAACTCCAATGCGTCACTGGGGCCTGTTGGGGTGGGGTGGGAGGGTGAGCACCAGGAAGAAAAGCTAGTGGATGCTGAGCTTAATTCCTGGGTGATGAGTTGATCTGTGCAGCAAATCACCATGGCACATGTTTGCCTGTGTAACCAACCTGCACATCCTTGCACATCCTGCATATGTATCCTAGAAATTAAAATAAAACTTGAAGAAAAAACAAAGGAAAACAGCAACAACAACAACAACAACAACAAACCTCAGTTGCATTTTGCTGAGTCAGAGAAGCCAGACCCAGAACTCTTATCTACTGAATGATTCTGTTTATATGATTTGATAGAAAACACAAAACCATAGGAGAATGGTGGAAGCCAGGATTTGGGGCTCAGGGGATGGATGGAATACAAAACGGGTAGCATGAGGGAATTTTTGGAGCGATAAAATTGGGCTGTATTTGCTTATTGTGGTAGATACATGACGCATGTATTTGTGAAAACCCACAGATCTATTAATATGCACCACAAAGAGTACATTTTCCTTTATGGAAACAACTAAACAAACATCAAGGATATGCAAAGGGCCTTCCCACCTGCTTGAAATGGAGAGGAGAGGAAAATACAGAAACACAAATTGATGTTTTAAAAAATTACTAAGCCGCAGACAAAGCTAAAGAGATGGGTTATGTCAGATTGTCATATTAAATAGCGGAACTTCCTGGCTGGATGCAGTGGCTCATGCTTGTAATCCCAATGCTTTGACGGCTGAGGTGGGAGGACTGCTTGAGCCCAGAAGTTCAAGACCAGCCTGGGCAACATGGTAAAACCCTCTCTCTACAAAAAAATTTTAAAAATTAACCAGGAATGGTGACATGTCCCGGTAGTCAAGCTACTCAAGAGGCTGAGGTGGGAGGATTGCTTGAGTTCCAGAATTTGAGGCTGCAGTCAGCTGTGATCACACCACTGCACTCAGCCTGGATGACAGACCAAGACCTTGGCCCTAAAAGTTTTTTTAAAAATGGGGCTTTCTGACATTTATGCAGCCAAAAGACACATGAAAAAATGCACATGATCACTGGCCATCAGAGAAATGCAAATCAAAACCACAATGAGATACCATCTGTCACCAGTTAGAATGGCGATCATTAAAAAGTCAGGGAACAACAGATGCTGGAGAGGATGTGGAGAAATGGGATCACTTTTACACTGTTGGTGGGACTGTAAACTAGTTCAACCATTGTGGAAGTCAGTGTGGTGATTCCTCAGGGATCTAGAACTAGAAATACCATTTGACCCAGCCATCCCATTACTGGGTATATACCCAAAGGATTATAAAACATACTGCTGTAAAGACACATGCACACGTATGTTTATTGCAGTACTATTCACAATAGCAAAGACTTGGAACCAAGCCAAATGTCCAACAATGACAGACTGGATTAAGAAAATGTGGCACCTATACACCATGGAATACTATGCAGCCATAAAAAATGATGAGTTCATGTCCTTTGTAAGGACATGGTTGAAGCTGGAAACCATCATTCTCAGCAAACTATCACAAGGACAAAAAACCAAAGACCACATGTTCTCACTCATAGATGGGAATTGAACAATGAGAACACATGGACATAGGAAGGGGAACATCACACATGGGGGCCTGTTGTGGGGTGGGGGGAGGCGGGAGGGATAGCATTAGGAGGTATACCTAATGTTAAATGACGAGTTAATGGGTGCAGCACACCAACATGGCACATGTATACATATGTAACAAACCTGCCGGTTGTGCACATGTACCCTAAAACTTAAAGTGTAATAAAAAAAAAATGGGGCTTTCTGTTGCAGGACACAGGGACTCATCAAAGGTTGTAAACCCAGCCAAAAATCTGTCACACTGGGCTTTGGGCAGTTGATTTGACTGCACTAAACTGGAGTGATTACAGGAGAAAATGAAGCTGGTAGAAAGCTATTTCACTGAGACCATTTAACTACAGGCTTACTCGTTTACTTACTTACTACTTACTGGAAAAGAAGTTATCCAGTATTGCAGTGGTATAGCTGATACTAACAGCTCATATGTCTCCCCTACAGAAGCTTCTTTTTCATTCTTCAGTTTTTCTGGCTTAAGTAAAATAGAATTCAAAATATCTGAGTTCCTGCTGCTTGTCTAGAAAAGTACAAAGACTCCCATAACAGGGTCCTTGGCTTTAAGTAGCTTATTTTGTGGAGAAGTGGAGAAAGCAAGACATAGTCAATGAAGACAATAAAATACATGCTCATCCAAGACATAAGTTAGGTATTATGGAAGCACAACACAGGGAGCAATTGGTGATAACTGAAGGGAAACCAGGGAAGGCTTCATGATGGAAGTGGCATTTGACCTGGGCCTTATAGGATTTGATGCACTATGGGGAACAAAAGGAAAGGAAAAGTACTTTCTGGCTGAGAACACTGTAAGCAAAGGCAAGGACATGGGAAAACCCAGCCCCACTCAGCAGTCAGTGAAAGGTACCTCAGTACATGAGAGCAAAATGTCCAGCTAAATAATCACTAAAAAGTGATTTTTAAATTTTGGTCAACTGGCTTACTACTGCCTAAAAGCTTTAAGTGAAGAACATGGCCATATGGAAATGTCAGTTTACTTCTCTTTCCTTCATCTTGGATAGAATGGTATTAAACTTTAGGCAGATTGAGCAACAAAATTCTCTTAAGGGGTCTCAAATAAATAATAAGTAGGGACTGTTTTTTCTCCCATAAAAGTAAGGTGATATGGTTTGGCTGTGTCCCTAGCCAAATCTCATCTTGAATTGTAGTTCCCATAATCACCACCTGCTGTGGGAGGGACCCAGGGGGAGGTAATTGAATCATGAGGGCAGTTAACTCCATGCTATTCTTGTGATAGTGAGTTCTCATGACATCTGATGGTTTTTTAAGGGGCTTTTCCCCATTTTGCTCAGCACTTCTCTCTCCTGCCACCATGTGAAGAAGGACATATTTGCATCCCCCTCCACCATGATTGTAAGTTTCCTGAGTCCTCCCCCAAGCCATGCTGAACCATGAGTCAATTAAACCTCTTTCCTTTATAAATTACCCGATCTTGGGTATGTCTTTATTAGCAGCATGAGAACAGACTAATTACATAAGGCCAATGGTAGACAGTTGCTGGCAGCTTCATGGTATCTGAGTGAACATATCTGAAGTCCCCTTGGTCTTTTTCTCATGGTCAGAAGATGAGATGACTCAGGCAGCTCCAGATATCATGCTGATATTCAGATAAAAACACTGAAACTAGCCACATCCTTACCCTCTTGTGGACAGTAAAACTTTCTCAGTGCTCCTCCCCAGTAGACAGCTACCTACATCTCTTTGAACAAAGTCATGTCATATGTCCACCCCTAGCTTCAAGGGAGTCTGGGAAAGTATTTAGCTGGACATTTTGCTCCCATAAATAATACTAGGATTTTCTTGGCCAGGGGAAAGGGGGAAATGGTTGTTGACAAGGAAATGACATGCTGGCCATACTGGGGATGAAGTCAGTGGACAAGGTAAAAAATTACATAATCAAAATTATCTATAAATCACCTATAAAGCATGCTCATTTTAAAGCTTTCGTAACAGGACTGTATTCCGAAATTAAATCATTTAAGTGTTTTAATGCTTTGAAACCTTCAATTCTTTGTCCAGATTTCTACTTGCTGGTTCTTAATTTTCAGGTCATCATCATCTTCATCTCTCGTAAATGATTTTGTAAGTTTCTCCAATTATTTTTTAGACAGTGTTTCTCTGTGGTCCTCAATTAATGTTTCAATTTCTTTCACCATAGGAAGGCATCACCACCCACTTGCCTGGCCACAGGAACAGCGTGTTCTACTTTTTCAAAGACCAGGAAATTCTTAAAATCATACACTTTTTTTTTTTTTATTTTACATCTCACTGGTATCCATTGACCATGTGAGTCTTGATTGCTGTCACACTGTGAGAGACACTTGAGAACTGAAATCTCCACTGAGGACACAGCGTATCATGGCTCCCATCTCACCCTCACTCCCAGGTGGAAGGGCAGGCAGAATCAATGTTCTTTTTAACTTGATCACATTGTTCATATTTATTCTCTCCCTCTCCCTCTACACTACTGGCCTGATTCTGGCCACCTGTCCCACTGAGGTCTGGAGGGGAGATATGGATGGAGAGCCACATTCACCTCATTCTTAGGACACACAGTGCATCATCTTTGAGAACCAGGGGGTCACCCTTGAGCACGGCTCTCTCATGATGATGTCAAGCAGCCTTCTCAGCTTATCGCTGATGCTTTGTTTGCCTATACTATCCTTACCTAGAGGCTGCCTTGTTCCAGAATTTTCCATTAGTGTTAAACACAACCAGTGAGTTGAAATTGTTTGTTATACTGTGCAGTTTTATTTACTATCAAAAACGATGTACTCATAAGAAACTGAAATGAAGTTGCTTGCTGCTTGGATGGTTCCTTTTGTTTTTTTTCAAGTTTTGGCTTAATGATACACTGAGCATGAGTTCCGGTCTATTGGTTTCCAGAGTAGAGTTTGCTTAATTAAACTACTTGTCTCTTCATATCTTGCCAGGATGTTTTTATACGTGAATCTTAAATTGCCCTGCAGTTTCAAATTCTACACAATGTTTAAAATGTGTACTTTGATGGTATTGCCAGTTCAGTTAAATTGTTAGAGTTTTCAAAAGAGAATGTCTTATTTTATCATTCTCCATTGTTAACCTTCAAATTATTGAATGATACTCATTTATCTTTCTGGCTTTACTGTCTATTCTTGTCTTCATCACTATCTTTTATCATAATAAAATATATCTACCATCTATTTTGATATGCCAGACATGTATAGCATTTTATGATATATTACACTTTAATATATATGTAATATATCTCATATATACATATGTGTATATGTGTATGTGTATATGTATGTGTGTGTATATACACACATATATAGTCACTAATCCTCACAATAGGTTTATGAGAGAAGTACTACTATTATTCCCATTTCACAAATAAGGAAACTGAAGCTAGAAGAAGCAAATTAACTTGTCCAGTATCATATTCCTCTTCACAGTCTTCATGGAGAACCCTGAACTTTAACACTCTGTTTTCAGCATTCACATGTGTCAAAATTCCCAGCCTAGATGAACCCAAACATCCACATTATGTATGCCTGTGTTCAGGCAACTGAACACATGCACCTCTGTGCAGCCTGTGCCACGCAGCAGGCTGGTGCCTATATAAAAGTGTGGTTACTAACCACCGCTAGGCCTTCGGTATCTGGTACCCAATATCCAATACCCAGCTACCTCATGGTATTTCTCTTGTCAAAAGGTTGTAACTCTTGCTATATTCATTTCTTCACCTTTTGCCTATTCTTGTGCCCACAACAGTCTGCCTTCAGCTTTTGATAGAATGTCTCTTGAGATGTGTCTTCCATGTTGCCAAATTCAGTAGACTTTTCTATTCCTCTCCTTAATTTCCAGCACTGTTTAACACAGATAAACTGTTCCCTCCTTCTTGAAATACATACTTCTTTCTCTTGGCTTCTGTGTTACCCCATTCCTGGTCTTCTTTCTACCTCTATTCTCATGTTTTTTTTTTCATTTTCCTTTGATGGCTCATCCTTCCATACTCAAAATTTAAATGTTGGAGTCCCTTAAAATTCTGACATTGGCTCTCCTTTTACTTTTACATTACTCTAACCATTGCTTGGATCATATCACCCTTCTCTTAGTGTCCACACTTATCTACCTGCCAGTGACTCCCAGTAATAGCACTTCCCCAGCAAAGCCTTCGCAGGTCCTCTGATGCTAGGCTAGCCCCTCTGCTCAGTGTTCCATCAGCTTCTTGTACTACTTCATAGCATTTACAACAGTTTCTCAGTCCTTTTTCCAATAGTGCTCTTCTGAGGAATTTTTCTTCAGGCTTTTTTCTTTTTCTTAATCACACCCCTCCCATGAAATCTTACTATCATAGATATACTAGATATCCGTTTATGTACTATGTGAAGTGTGCATTTATATAGCTGTTTATATATCTATATATTGCTATACATCTCTAGATATATATATACATTTGTGCTTTATACATAAATACAGTAAGATTTCTTTTGCTTCCCAAGAACCAGTTTTTGCCCCCTTGAAGATAACATCACCCCCATTGAAAATGCATGATTTACAATATCTGTTATTTTTAAAAATGGATTTAAATATTTTTTGCAATATCCACCTGTGTTGCTACAATAAAACTTATTAAGAGCAAAGATTATCTTCTTACTGAACATTGCCTCAGCATTGTGCCATTCACATAATAGGTACTTGTTAACTATTTATAGACAACAAATATTACAACAGGCAGAATGGCTGTAGATTTTATGTGCATTTTTAAATTTTTTTCTTAACTTGCAATTCCTAAATAAGAAAGCCAGAGCCTATTTTCCCCCACAAAATCATGTCTGACGTAGGCTCTACATAAATATTTGTTGAATGAATTAATTTTATCTGTACTTTTTGGATAAGAAGAATCTGTCCTGATTCCTAAAAAGAAAATATTTGGTATGTATCCTAGAAACTATTTGTAATGACTACAGATGTTTTGCATTAGAAGTTTATTAAATGCCAGCAGCAGCCTGGGGAGACACAATGGGATTAAATCACCTCAAGTGACTATTTCTACTGAAAGTTACTTTCTAGCATCTGTGTATTGTTCATGTCTGGGAAGATTTTCAGAAGCTGACAGCCACCTTCCCTGTGCTTAATCCTGACACTTGTGGAAACTCTGCATCCTCGTTGATCACTCAGTTCATTTTAAATCTTTGGTTAAACATAACGCAACTCATTTCCTTAAAAAGAATTTTTCACTGCCTATTACTTTTAGGAGAAGGCCACAAATTCATGTTAGGAATTAAATACAAAAATCTCTGTTTCTAAGGCATTTCCTGTGGTTAGTTGTCCCATAACTCACTCTTCTACAACTAACATATGTGCTGTAGAGAAGACTGGTTTGTAGGAAAATGGGTCTCAGATATTAAAGAGTATTTAAATATCAGATTGTAGCCATGTTTACTAGCCTGGACTTACAGAGACAAAAACTATATCTCACATATGTTGGAAATCTTTAAACAGTGGGAGCTACATGAAGATACCTTTAGCTAAAACTTTGGAGTAACCAGAAAATTATCTTGCACAGAAGATAGTGTTCATTACTCAAAGAATTATTAGTTTATTCATAATTTTTCAAAAATATTCCTGGTAAATATCATGGGAGATTAAACTTTCATTGTCATGGTTCTTGCTCCTTCCTAAGAAAAATATAGTTGGATTCAGAGCAGCTTCCTTTATTAAGTAAAGGCAATTTCTATTGTGACTTAAATATCAAATACTAAAAAAGCTGGATATTATTTGTGGAGTATAAAGTTTTAATGGGCATGGCTGGCTTTGAGCATTAATCACTTGGCTTTGACTGTCTATTTCATCTCCTCCCGTGGGCCCTGTGATCATCCTTCAGTCTGCTTGTCCAGCACATCACCAGATCCCATTAGTTTTTCTCTTAAATATTTCCTCAGCCATCCACTCTTCTCTATGCTTACTACCAATCATATGATCCCATCTACCACCATCTCTCTCCTGGCTTCTCTTTATTCACCCTTGCCTTCCTTAAGTGTCTTTTCCATGACATAATGTCTCAGTCATTCTGGGCTGCTATAGCAGATACTACAGACTGGATGCCTTAAAAAACAGAAATTTATTTTTTACAGTTCTGGAGGCTGGGGAGTCTGAGATCAGGGTGTCAGCATGGTCAGGTTTGGTGGGGTCCTTCATGTTGGCTTGCAGACATCCATCATCTTACTGTATCTTCACATGGTGGAGAAAGAGCACTAGTCTTTTTCTCTTCTTCTGAGGATGCTAATCCCATCATGGGCACTCTACCCTGATGACCTCATCTAAACCTAATTATTTCCCAAACGCCCCACCTCCTAATACCATCACATTGATGGCTAGGGTTTCAACATCTGAATTTTGGGGGGACACAAACAAGTAATCCATAACATGCAGCTACAGTGATCTTTGGAAAATGCCAGGTTGATCAAGTCAGATCCCCTGCTTAAAACCTTCACTGTGGCCTCTGAGGCTCTGCAATCCCTGAGCCAAACTTTCTCTCTAGTCTCACCACATGATATTCATCTTTTGCTAAGAATGGCCTAGCAGCATCAGTCTTTTTTTTTTTTTTTTTTTTTTTTCCAAGACGGAGTCTTGTTCTGTCTCCCAGGCTAGAGGGCAGTGATGGGATCTCGACTCCCTGCAATTCCAACTCCCGGGTTCAAGCAATTCTCCTGCCTCAGCCTCCCAAGTAGTTGAGATTACAGGCTCATGCCACCACACCTGGCTAATTTTTGTATTTTTAGTAGCGACAAGGTTTCATCATGTTGGCCAGGGTGGTCTCAAACTCCTGACGTCATGATCCGCCTGCCTCAGCCTCCCAAAGTAATGGGATTACAGGTGTGAGCCACTGCGCCTGGCCCAGTCTTCTTTATTAATGGGAATTTCCCAACTGTGAAGCGTTTCCATAGTCTTTTCTACTGCTACATTCAGCTCTTGACTACTTCAGTTCTAATTATTTTTCAAATATCAGCAAAACTTCACTTCTTTAGGAAACTTATCTGCCAAACCAGGTTGTGACTTCAAGTTTTATACTTTCAAAGACATGTTTCTTTTCTTTATCACTACTATATATTTTCATTTCTGAGATTAATTACTAGGTTTTTTGGGGGGTTTTTTGTTTTTTTTTTTGTTTGTTTTTTTTTGAAACGGAGTTTCACCCTTGTTGCCCAGGCTGGAGTGCAAAGGTGTGATCTTGGCTCACTGCAACCTCCACCTCCCGAGTTCAAGGGATTCTCCTGCCTCAGCCTCCCGAGTAGCTGGGATTACAGGAATGCACCACCACGCCCGGCTAATTTTGTATTTTCAGTAGAGATGGGATTTCTCCATGTTGGTCAGGCTGGTTTCGAACTCCTGACCTCAGGTGATCCGCCCACCTTGGCCTTCCAAAATGCTGGGATTACAGGTGTGAGCCACCTCGCCCAGCCAATTACTAGTTGTTTAAACCAATTAGTGTACACTAGTGGAGGATACTATATTATACCGTGAGCTTCTTACCTCTTTGCTTCACCACTACAGCCTCCTGCTTGATACAGATTTATTAAGTTAATTGAACTTTGGGTTCACCAACATACTGTGCTCCTCTTCTGGTACACAGAGTTTATCTGATCAGTTATATCTAGAAAATAATAAAATAACAGGAGCGGAAGAAACCTTAAAGATTATGTAATCCACCCAAATGGAGAAATAATACTAAAGGGAAAATTGTCAAAGGCCATGCAATGCATCTGCAAAATTAGAACCGAAAATCAGGTTTTTGGTTTCTCAGTATTTGGGTGTTTCAAGAAACAAAATTATTTTTCTTCCATTTTCTTATCACCATTCTCTAGATTGACTTCCTTTCTCCATTTTATAATCTAATATGGGTATAAAACTATATCCTTATCTTGTCAAGTAAAATATCATTGTTATTAAAGTTATCATTCAGGTTATATATACCCAAGCAATGTGAAGTAGAAAACTGACGTTTTTACCTCAAACCTTATTCATCAGATATTTTAACTCTGCCTTTTGAATCTATTGAACATTTTGCCCCAAGGTTTAAACCCAACGATGATTTTTAGTTCATATTCATTAATACAAAAGCACTAATCATAATTATATCAATATTAATCATGTTCATCAGGAAAAAATTTACCAAAGCAAACTCTGTTAAGCTAGTTTAAATTCTTAAACAATTTTCTAAAGAGTACACTTAAGTAATTTCTGATTTTTAAAAGAACGCTTCTTGAAATTCTTACTTTTGAGATCAGTTCTTCATGTACAAGAAGTGATTCATCATAAATTTTCTTTATCAAATTTCACGGATGCTATTTGCTGTCCTAGTAATTTTTGTGTCTAGTGTTTCTCCCAAATCCAATTTTTGTGTGTCACATTTTGCAAATCTGTATTTTTCTTTCAGTATTTAGTCCACAGCAATTTTAACATGTATATAGTTTTAGGTAATTAGTCATTTTTCATAAAATTTAATTTTCTCAGGTCAGTCTTTGGAGTTTTAAAGAATTACGCGTTTTTAGGGCTTTGATGTTTTAGTTAAGTTTCATTTTTGCTCTCTGCCATTTTATCTATTACGAGATTTATTTTCTGGTTATTATTTCTACCTATTAAATGCAGTTTAAATTGGATAAAAGTCTGTTCCTTTTTTTTTTTCCTTAAACACTGAGAAAATGTTTCGCAATTTCCTTTCATAGTACAGGATTATTTTTTCTTCTCATTAGAAAAAAGAGGTTGCTAAAGGCAGTTATCTGCTTAGATAAGATTGTACACCTCATAAAATTTTAGATTTGGGGTTAACAGTTTAACTCTGATGCTTATCCCTCATTTAATAATTGGGGAAATCCAAAACCAGAGATTTTTATCTGACTTGCCTAAGAGCATAGAGATAGGACTAGATTTCAGGTCTCTTGACATCTGGGACACTTTGAGTCAAAAGTATGACAAAACTGAGATCTGGACTTGAATATCCTTTCTGGAGAGGAGAAGCTGGTTTTTTATTACTTATGGCAGTGGAGTGCATTTGAGATTTTTTTTTTTTTTTTACAAGTTTACTCCCTACCTGTGCTAGGAGGGAAAAGAGCCCTTGAGCTCATCTTTATGGTGATTCAGAACACTTTAGATAGATCCTGTCACATGCTTTATAAGTTCCTGATTGATTCTATGGAATTAAGTTATTGGGCAGAGAACCAGCTAATGGAAACACATTGATGAAATCATTTTTGAGAGACATTAAATTGAACTTAAAATAAAGCTGAAATGGCTTTATGGATTTTTCACTCAAACTGTTTATGAACATTTATTGCCAGTAAATTATATTGTGTCAAAAGAGGGAATCAGTAGGTATGGTTTTAATAGAAACCTTTTTGAAATAATAAAATTGAGAATAATTCATTATCTGAGAAAACAGAGAGAGGATGGGATGGGGAAATTCATCCTGAAGGATGTTTGTCTACTCTGGAGCTTCTGGGAAAGTAAACAATGGTGTGAAAATCAGAAACCTGATAGCACTTGGAAAGAAATGGCCTTTTTGAAGAGTATTAATATCTCATCTCATTATAGATGTGAATTGTTTTGAGAAGAAAGGTGATTGAGGATTTAGCAAGCATTACTTGATGGTATAAACATTGATATTTGCTCATAGCTCATAAAAAGATGAGCATGTAAAGGAGGGACTTAATCTGCTAAGGGAGATAGTCTAGAGGAGTGATCAAAGGCATCAGTTTTAGAACAGAAAGATTAGAGTTCAAATCCCACCCCTCCGACCCCTTACTCAGTCACCCCTCCCACTTCCACCTAGTTGTGTGACCATAGGAAAAATTTCCTGACTTCCCTGAGCCTCAAAGATACTAATAGTCTCCACTTCATAGGGTTATTCTGGTGATCAAATGAAAAACTAGAATATCCAGTACTGTTTCTAGTTCATAGAAAATGCTTTAAAAATGTTATTTTTGAAAAAGTCATGGAAGATCTGGATAAGAAGGATGAATAAGAATCATAAACATTATATAATATTACTGCTGGTTGCTTTGTGCCAGAGATCTCATTCAGCCTTCCAAGATTCCTGGGAGATAAAGGTACTATCAACACACTTTCTTTTGAGAGAGGGAAACTGAATATCACAGAAGTTGAACTTCATGCCCAAGGTCACTCAGCTAATGAGTGGCTTTGAAATCTTCCCCTAAGAAGTCTTATCAATGAGTTTGTCCTCCAGTATGTGGAACATATGGACCCCCACTGGCCAAAGCCCAGCAAGAACATAATCAAAGGGTATTTGGTTGGACAATGGGAGCTGAGTGAGTGGGAGTTGAGGGAGCATGAGCATCTTGTTCTTCACTTCCTTTCTACATCCAAAGCCTGTCAATCATTTGCCACCGCTGCCTGTCAGAACCTATCTCCCTAGATTTTGCTGGCTTGCCATTCAGTGGGCACCAGCTTAGCCTGGCATTGAGAAAGCAATAATTTAATACTCCCATAGAAGCATCAGTACCATTTGGAAATGAGTCTAGTAGAAGCCTTCGGAACCTAAAGTCAACCTGGCTATATCCCATATAAGACCTTGTCCCTGCCTACACAGAGCTTAAGATCTGGATGACAGAACACCACACCATTCAAAAGCATGTTCTTTGTTGAATATAATGGAGCATTTCTAGATGTTATAACAATGTAAGAGGATTACAAAAATTCACACATGGAAGTAAGATATTCTCCCCTCCTTACAGCATCAAAGTGCACCAAATGTATAAAAAAGAAACACCTTTACTTCAAAGTACAGGATACTGCCTCAGCTAAGTTTAATTGAAAAACTAATATCTTGTGCAATTGTCTGTGAAAAACTGAGGCTTAAATGATTTGAAAACACTTTGGGAGCAGACAAATCAGATAATTGCTATCTTTATGGCTGCAAATTTCGACTGGTGTTGACAAGTTGTAAAGATAAAAGCTTATAGCACAGTCAAGAGCTAAATGTCTAGATTGGGTTTGGGATCAATGTTAATACTCAAAGTGTAAAAGCTCTGAACTTCAAATGATCTCTTATAGTGTTCTATTTTGCTTAACTTTTCAAGATAATAATGTAGAACTTTATTTACTGAAAAACTTTTGCTAGTCATTAGGCAAATACTTCACTGTTCTACCATCTAACCCACTGCGTAGATGTCATATGTGTTATGTGATTTGTGCCATGCATTGCAATAAGAGAGCTTTGGTTGCTGTTTTTCAAAACATTTCCGGTTGGGTGACTATTAATAGTTTCTGAGAGACAAGAGTCAGACCTTACCATTTCTAGGCATCTTTTCCTTTCTGAAGCCGAGATGGAATTTGCCTCATGGCCTCACTCTGATCTCAGCAAGAATGCTTTCAAAAGAAGTTCCTTGTTTTTCAAAGGCTGTTTGCATGAGTGATTCAATGCTTTCCTATCATGGAGCTCTAAAGCCAGTGGAAAAATATGTGGGTATGGGGTTGTGTAATGGATTCGCTGCATTTAGCTCCAATCAGTGTGCTGATTGTGCCTACAGGTGACTCCAGTATCTCCAATCTCTGTTTGCTTTTCTGTTTTGTTTACAGGAGCGGAGGGCACAGTGTTCCCTAAATCTATAGAAACACCTAATGTCAGGGCAGACCCCTTCAAAGAACTAAGGTAAACTTCTGACTTTGGTTTGCATTGATTAATGGCTATTGCCTTGCTCTGTGCAACTGGCCAGTGATTCATTCTGAATAAATAATAAGTGTCACAGCGTGAATACATAAATTGAAAGAGGTTGGAGAGAACCAGAAGATAAGCTACAACCAAAAGAAAATTTTCTATGAGAACTTAAAATTGAGGATCTGGATGGGGTAAAAGGTTGCCCACTTTGTGAAATCTAGATTCATTCATTTGGAATGTTTGTTATGTGCTGTATTTTGTGGTACCCAAAACCTATCCAGTTAGAGAACTAGTTGGTAATTGGTGCTGATCAGCCCAAAGAAAAATGATATCTAAAAGAAGATGAAGTCTAAATACAATACGATGTCTTATTATGCAACAAGCTCTCTATTACTTGGGGTGGTATGGTACTAGAAAGAACCCCCTTCTGCAGATGTTCCAGGTGCTGATGTTAATCTTCAAATATTCATAAATGTGCTGCCTTAGCAGAGGATGACTCTGAGATGCTATGTACTCACCACCAGCAACTAAGGAAAACACAAAAGAACAGACAGATGGATAAACAGACAGAGAGCCTGAAAACCATTCCAGCCACCAAACAACCATGCCCCTGTCCCTCCCGCCAAAATGTATTTAAAATGGTACGTTGAAACAAATAGAACTATTCTTTCTATTGCTTCAAGTTATTCATCATAACTGTGATGAATTCAGTGAATACTGGCTTTTTTTTTTCATTTCTGGTAGTTCTTTTACCTAAAAGCAATCATAAATCGCCATATATGGCACTGAATAACTGTTTCATGATAGACACCAACCATAGGCACATGTACTTGCATTGCACAAATCATATCTACTCTTTCCTGATGCAATCTGAAGATCTATGCTTTGCTTAAAAAGCAAGAGCCATATTGGACCTAGTGTTTCTTTTAACAGAAGCACATTCTCAGTAAGTGGAAAATGTATCACCTCATTATAAAACCCATAGCATTTTTTGCAAAGCCTATAAGTCTGGATGGCTGTAAGGAAATAAATTGGGCCAAAGGAAGAGGATAGTTGGTGGAGAATGAGAATCTTTTCATAACAAAATCCCACATAGAGTGGGCTGTATTTTTAAGATTACACATCACACCACAAGGTTCTACTTTTTACTAGCATAACTATCTTCAGCAGAGCTTCCACATGCCTGAACTTACCTGATTTTCTGTTAGCTAGTTCCTATGTTTCATATAAGGTACTGAAGCTAGAATCTTTTAAGCAAATACGTCTGAGAAAACCTGCTTTTTAGGACTCTATGAGAAAGAGTTATTGCCTGAGAGTGCAGTGAACCTTCGTGTCTGTGATGGAAGAGGTCTTTTGAGACAAGCTAATCAGTGGCCTGGTTCCCATTCTTTTCACAGTCCTCTGTAGAAGCACGTTTCTTACAGAACTAGTCAGTAATTAGTGATGATTAGCCCCAAGAAAAAGTGCTGTCTAAAAGAAGCAGGACTCCCATCAACAAATGGGCGAAGGATATGAACAGATAATTCTCAAAAGAAGACATTTATGCAGCCAGAAGACACATGAAAAAGTGCTCATCATCACTGGCCATCAGAGAAATGCAAATCAAAACCACAATGAGATACCATCTCACACCAGTTAGAGTGGCGATCATTAAAAAGTCAGGGAACAACAGATGCTGGAGAGGATGTGGAGAAATAGGAACACTTTTACAGTGTTGGTGGGATTGTAAGCTATTTCAACCATTGTGGAAGTCAGTGTGGCGATTCCTCAGGGATCTAGAACTGGAAATACCATTTGACCCAGCCATCCCATTACTGGGTATATACCCAAAGGATTATAAATCATGCTGCTATAAAGACACATGCACACATATATTTATTGCAGCACTATTCATAATAGCAAAGACTTGGAACCAAGCCAAATGTCCAACAATGATAGACTGGATTAAGAAAATGTGGTACATATACACCATGGAATACTATGCAGCCATAAAAAATGATGAGTTCATGTCCTTTGTAGGGACATGGATGAAACTGGAAACCATCATTCTCAGCAAACTATCACAAGGTCAAAAAACCAAACACCGCATGTTCTCACTCATAGGTGGGAATTGAACAATGAGATCACATGGACACAGGAAGGGGAACATCACACACGGGGGCCTGTTGTGGGGTGGGGGGAGAGGGGAGGGATAGCATTAGGAGATATACCTAATGTTAAATGACGAGTTAATGGGTGCAGCACACCAACATGGCACATGTATACATATGTAACAAACCTGCACGTTGTGCACATGTACCCTAAAATTTGAAGTATAATAATAATTTTTTTTTTAAAAAGCAGGACTCTAAATACAGTACAGATATTTTTTCTATGGAACAAAGCTTTTCATTACCTGGGAGATTTGGGAAATATAAGAGGAAAGGAGATAGGCTGTCTTGGCTTTAAGCGGTAAAGTAAATCTTCTGTACTTAAAAACAAACCCAACCCAAACCAATGAAACAAAAAGACAACTCTCCAAGCATTAGCCCACTCTAGAGATGCATAGCCTGAAGAACATGGAGCAGAGTATTTGCACATGTTATGCTGAGACATAATCGTAGTGTTTGTTACACAACTTATAAACAACCCTGAAACTTACCTTTAAAAAGTTAAACCTCCACAATTTACAAGTAAATCTCCTAAGTCCAGTGCAACAAAATAAATAAATACTTTGTGTAGTTGGTTTATTTACTGTGCTTCTTCAAAAGTTATAGGTATGTCCCACAGAGGCTAGAAAGCATGAATTTTTTTTAATAATTTCAACTTTCATTTTAGATTCAGGGATACACACGCAGGTTTGTTACATGAGTATGTTGCATGATGCTGAGGTTTGGAGTACGAATGATCCGTCACCCAGGTAGTAAGAGTAATACCCAATAGGTAGTTTTTCAGCCCTTTGTCTTTTCTCTCTCCTCATCTACTAGTCCCTCAGTGTCTTTTGTTCCCATCTTCATATTCATGTGTATCCAGTGCTCAGCTCCCACTTATTAGTGAAAATGTGCAGTATTTGGTTTTCTGTTCCTGTGTTAACTTAAGATAATGGCCTTCAGTTATATTCATGTTGCTGCAGAGGACATGATTTTGTTAGTTTTTTATGGCTTTGTAGTGTTCTATGGTATATATGTACCACATTTTCTTTCTCCAATCCATCATTGACAGATACCTAGGTTGATTTTTGTGTCTTAGTGTTGTATATTGCAATGAATATACAAGTGCCTATGTCATTTTGATAGAACAATTTATTTCCCTTTGGGTATATACCCAGTAATGGGATTGCTCGGTCAGTTAGTAATTGCGTTGTCAGTTCTTTGAGACATCTCCAAATAATGGCTGAACTAATTTACATTCCCACCAGCGGTGTATAAGTGTTCCTTTACTCCACAGTCTCACCAACATCTGTTGTTTCTTGACTTTTTAATAATAGTCATTCTGACTGATGTGAGATAGTATCTCATTGTGATTTTGATTTGTGGTGTGCAGCATTTTTCATGTTTTTTGGCCATGTGTATGCCTTCTTTTGAGAAGTGTCCTTTTATTTCTTTTGCCCACTTTTTAATGGGGTTGTTTTTTGCTTGTTGAATTAAGTTCCTTATAGATAACATATCTTTGTCAGATATTAGACCTTTGTTGGGTGCATAGTTTGATAATATTTTCTTCCATTTTGTAGACTGTTTATCCTGTTGATAGTTTCTTTTGCTGTGCAGAACCTCTTTAGTTTAAGGAGGTCCCTCTTGTCAATTTTGGTTTTGATGCAATTGCTTTTGAGGACTTAGTCATAAACTCTTTCCCAAGGCCTATGTCCAGAATAGTATTTCTGAGGTTTTCATCTAGAATTCTTATAGTTTGAGGTCTTCTATTTAAATATTTAATCCATCTTTAGTTAATTCTTAAATATAGGGAAAGGTAGGAGTCCAGTTTTATTCTTCTGCATGTGATTAGCCAGATATCCCAGCACCATTTATTGAATAGGGAATCCTTTCCACATGCTTATTTTTGTTGACTTTGTCAAAGATTAAATAGCTATAGGTATGAGACTATTTCTGGTTTCTCTATTCTGTTCCATTGGTCTACATGTCTATTTCTCTATGAATCCCATGCTGTTTTAGTTACTGTAGCCTTAAAGTACACTTTGAAGCTGAGTAATGTGATAGCTCTGGAGTTTTTCTTTTTGCTTAGGATTGCTTTGGGCTCTTTTTTGGTTCCATATGAATTTTAGAATTTTTTTTTTCTAATTCTGTGAAAAAATAACATTGGTAGTTTTTAGATTACATTGGGCAGTAAGACCATTTTAACAATATTGATTCTTTCATTGATTGATTCCATGAGCATGGAATGTTTTCCCATTTGTTGTGTCAACTATGATTTGTTTCAGTTGTGTTTTATAGTTCTCCTTGTAGAGATCTTCTTCTTCCTTGGTTAGATGTATTCCTAGTTATTTTATTTTTTGTGTGGGGTTGCTTTCTTGATTTGGCTCTCAGCATGAATATTACTCGTGTATAGAAATGCTATTGATTTTTGTACAATGATTTTATTTATCTTTATTGAAGTCATTTCAGTCCTAGGAGCCTTTTGGTAGAGTCTTTAGGGTTTTCTAGCTATAGAATCATATTGTTGGACTGGGTGTGGTGGCTTACACCTGTAATCCCAATGTTTTGGGAGGCCAAGGCTGGAGGATCACTTGAGCCCAGGAGTCTGAGACAAGCCTGGACAACATAGTGAAACCCTGTCTCTACCAAAAGAAAAAAAAAGTTAATAGCCAGATGTGGTAGTGATGCATGTCTACAGTCCCAGCTGCTTGGGATGCTAAGGCATGAGGATGGCTTGAGCCCAGGAATTTGAGGTTGCAGTTAGCTGTGATCACACCACTGCTCTCTAGCCTGGTGGCAGAGCAGGACCCTATCTTTCTCTCTCTCATATACACACATACACACACACATACACAGAATCATATTGTTAACCAAGAGAGATAATTTGACTTCTTTTCTTTTTATTTATTTCTCTTGCCTGATTGCTGCGGCAAAGACTTCAGTACTGTGTTGAATAGAAGTGATAAAAGTAGGCATCCTTGCCTCATTCCACTTCTTGAGGGGAATGTTTCCAGCTTTTGCCCATTCAGTATGATGTTGGCTGTGTGTTTGTCACAGATGGCTCTTATATTTGGGGGGTATGTTCTTTTGATGCCTAGTTTTTTGGGTTTTTTTTGAGGGTTTTTCTCATACAGGGATGTTGGATTTTATTGAATGCTTTTTCTATATCTCTTGAGATGATCATATGGTTTTTGTTTTTCATTCTGTTTATACGATGGATCACATTTATTGATTTGCATATGTTGAACTATCCTTGCATCCCAGGAATAAAGGCTATTTAATCATGGTAAATTAACTTTTTGATGTGCTGTGGGATTTTGTCTGCTAGTATTTTTTTGAGGATTTTTGCATGTGTGTTCATCAGGGATATTAACCTGCAGATTTCTTTTTTGTTTTGTCTTTGTGAGGTTTTGATATTCGGGTGATGCTGGCTTCCTAGAACAAATTAAGGAGGAGTCCTTCCTCCTCGGTTTTTTGGAATAATTTCAGTAGAATTGGTAACAGCTCTTCTTTGTACATCTGGTAGAATTTGGCTGTGAATCCATCTGGCCTGGGGCTTTTTTTGTTAATAGGTTTTTATTACTGATTCAGTTTCAGAACTTGATATTCATTCTTTTCGGGGTTTCAACTTCTTCCTGATTCAACCTTGGGAGGTTGTGTATTTCCATGAATTTATCCATTTCCTCTAGATTTCCTAGTTTGTGTGCATAGAGGTGTTCATAATAGTCTTTGAGGATCTTTTGTATTTCTGTGGGGTAGCTTGTAATGTCACCTTTGTCATGAAAACATAAAAATATTTTCTTACGTAATTCTAAAGCTTGCTTTTTTTTTTTTTTTGCCCCTGTTGTTCAAACTGTGGTAGCCCGGACTGAGTCAGGGACCTAGAATGTCATAATCTACCTCCTTCATCCTTTTGAAATTTTTTAAAATGGTGTTTTATAGGAGTATCTCTGACCAATTGAAAAGATGACCAATTATTGATAGATTAGCCCAGACCAGTGTGTCTGTGAATGTTTTATATTTGTCATTTCATGGTGCCACATATTACTCCATGCTATTGATTGCTATTGACCTTGGATATTGTGTAAATTGTTAATGAACTTGGTGACTGACTCTTCTGGTCTCTGACTTTAGCACTGGGCCAGTCTTACTTGGCCACATTCACACTGCTATGTCTTCTAGATTTAAGAAAATAGAGTAATTTAAGTGAGGTTCCTGGACTTGTACTAGCAAACAGAGCTAGACAGACTCTTGAGGTGAAGCAAAAGTGGTCCATTCTTCAGTGGTAGCAAAATGGAGGGAAAAGAGCACTGTGCTAAGAGTTGGGCGCCTAATGCCAACCCACTGTAGGGGCCAAGGGAAAGCTTCCCTTTCACTATCTGCAGATTCACTAAAAATCAACTGACAGCAGGCAGATTGATGGCAGAAAAGGCATAATAAAAATTTTACTTTAATATGTATAGCACAAGGGGATTATAGGAGAACAATTACCCAATAACCCAATGAGGTACAGATGCTTATATGCCTTTCTTCACAGGGGAGGGGAGATGAGGAAAATGTAGCACTTGTGGAGTAGTAAATGATTTTAGGGCAAAATAAATGGACCTGGGGAACATAGAATGGTCTGGGAGAAAGTTTGTTGGGCCTGCAGAGCAGATAATGTCTGCCAAATGATTCTCTTTGGAATACTGAATGGGACTGAAACAGAAAACAGTGGTTTGTGACAGAAATTGGTCCAGGTGTGTTGCCATACTTAGGTCTTTCTTCCTTCAGTATGAGTCATTAATAAAAACTCAGGGAAGGAACCAATGGTAATTGTTTTTTTCTTTCCTTTGGGGGGGTCCAAACTTTAGGCAGATAAGGGAACTTCAGAAAATAGCTTCTTCCAGACTCTCTGCTGGTCTCCAAAGGCCTTAAATTTAAAATAGCAAGCCAGGGTGTCATATTTTGAGGTATTAGTTTCTGAGTCCTAATATCCCTATGTGGCCTTGAGCTAATTGTGGAGCCCTGCTGTCTGTGAAAAGGCAGGGCACTTCTAGCTCTAAACAGCTAATCCTGTTATATTATTTTGACTCTTGGTTTCAAAATAATTTTAAAGTTAAAAAAGAGTTATAAAATTTATACAGATAATTCTCATCTGCCTTCACCTAATTTTCTCCAAAGTTAACATCTTACATATCTGTGGTATAGTTACCACAACTAAGAAATTAACATTGTAGTCCTGTAATATCATGCTTTACATGAGATTTATTTCAAGGAATGAAATCACCTGAATAACTTATAGATTTAAAAATATGTAAAAAGGACTTTAACAGAAAAGCTATTTGTTAAGAGGTGAATTTATAGATCTTTAAAATTCTCACTGCAGTTAAGTTGGAATGTTATTTTTGAGGGTTTTTTTTCTTTAATATTCTATACCCAGATTTTCTTGGTCTTACTTGTCAATAATGGAAAACAAATGGATTCAAAAGACCACAACTTATTTAGACACAGACTGTCTTTTAAAATAGACAAGCAGAAACTTAAATATACATGTTCCTTACCTAATCAAACATGAGAAAATTACATCTATTTCAAAACGCTTCTCCATTGAGTAACATTTGTTTTCCTCAAACCTCTGTCTTGGCTGCTAGAGGTTTTCTGTTTGTTCTTATTTTGTTGTTGTTTGCTTGTTTGTTAACGAAAACCAGATTTAAGGCCTCTGGCATTTCTTCCTAGAAGATGTCAGTTAAAGGAGAGGTAGCTTCCTCTTTGCTACAGTTTTGGTTCATTGCCTTTTTTTGGTTTGTTTTCAGAGTTACTATATTTACTGTATTTGCAGTCTTTGGTTAAGATGCTTGTAAATAATCCAGAGTTGAGCTCAAATTTTCAAAAAAACAAAATGCTTTTCTCCAGACAAATAATGAGTGTTACAAAGGTCTATGCCAAATATCCATCTCAAGTAATGTTTATTGACTTTATTCTTGCAAGGTAATTCTGAAGTAAAGATACTTTGTTCTGGATTCCAGACTATACTTGAAATTATACCAGGCACTGTAACCATCCCTTGAAATAAGAAAAATTCATCTTGAATTGAAATCGTATTTTAATAAATTCATGATCTTAAACTATGAATATCTTAAATGTTCACTTATTCACTGTTTTTTTTTCCCTCCTGAAGTCTATATAAAGACAAATGGAAAAATCACTGATCTCAGGCTGTTCATGATCTGAAACAGGAAATAGGCCATTCAGTTTTGCATATGTATTTTCCATAGGAACAGAGGCTTCCTTTGAATGCCTTCCTTGCTCTAAAGATTCCTTTCAACTGTAAAGTTTCCTTGTAGGATTCTGATCCTACGAGAATAGGAAGTAGACGGTAAAATCTTCTTTCTCAGGTACATGCCACGGCAAATGTTAAAAAAGAGAGAAAGTTATATAGACTACCCAAAGCTTGGAGGGAACCATGAAATATCAAGTCAAAATGTCTTTATAAAAGAATTCTTCATGTTCACAGTCAGCTAATATGCTGATGTGCTCTTACGTTACATAAAATTATTTAAATAAAGTAATTTTTAAAAACCCACTTGGAATGCAGAGATAAAATGAAAACTCAAATAATTGATAGTTAAAGGGAATACAACAGAAATGTCACCGCCCAATACAATACCGTGTGATAATTAATATGGAGATATGAACCAAGCCAGAGAATAATGGAGAATTACAAAATCTACTTAGAAGCGTTTAGGTAAAGTTGCCCAAAGGAGATGGCGTTTTGATTGAAAGAAGAGAGAAGAGAGAAAAGGTAAAAACCAACAAATAGGTCTTATAATTCAAAAGGAATGGTTCTCTGGGGCCATTTAGCATGGGAGCAAACAGCCCAACATATTTCTGTAACTCCTCAAAATGTTACTGGGTATTTACAAAAATTGATTTTTGTAATGTAATTTTCCTCATAACAATTGTATTCTTTAAAAAATTGTATGATGGCAATTTCAGATATGGTTGCAGGAAACTTTAAAGATTGTTACAAATTTTAAAAATCAGTGCACTACTTAATTTAGAACTAAAAATTTCACTAATCTCAAATCTATTGAAAAGAGCTTGAAATAAATAAGGTATTACTCTGTTACTGTTTATTTTTCCCCATAATGCTACCAGGTTTTAATGACAAAGCAGAAAGATTCTACGATACATCTATTACTCCCACTATTATGCACTTGAACATCCTGTAGGGTTTCTTTTTGTTGTTGTTGTTTTGTTTTGTTTTAATAGAAACATAGTAAATCTGAACTCCTTTGGGAATGTGTGAGATTTAAAGTCTGTGTGTATCATTGGGAAACAAGGATTAGACAAGGCTTGCACAAGTTGACAAAAATGAATTTATTTCTTTAATTTTATGTTAGGATGTCTATAACCAACTAAATATTTATAGGCTTTCTGTGATTTATAAATTTAAACTATCAAAACAGTCTATTAGAGCCTTAGGGGTGAATTAATTAGAGGCTTGGTAATTCTCCGCACACCACTGACAGTTACAGTACCAAAATATTGGATAAATAGTCTGACTTTTTTTTTTTCCTCTCTCTTTTATTTTATTTTATTATTATTATACATTAAGTTTTAGGGTACATGTGCACAATGTGCAGGTTTGTTACATATGTATACATGTGCCATGTTGGTGTGCTGCACCCATTAACTGGTCATTTAGCATTAGGTATATCTCCTAATGCTATCCCTCCCCCCTCCCCCCACCCCACAGTAGTCCCCGGAGTGTGATGTTCCCCTTCCTGTGTCCATGTGTTCTCATTAAAAACATACAGGTTGAGGCCAGGTGTGGGGTGGCTCATGCCTATGATCCCAGCACTTTGGGAGGCTGAGGCAGGAGGATCACCTGAGCTCAGGAGTTCCAGATCAGCCTGGCCACCATGGTGAAACCCCATCTCTACTAAAAATACAAAAATTAGCTGGGTGTGGTGGTGCATGCCGGTAATCCCAGCTAGTTGGGAGGCTGAGGCAGGAGAATCACTTGAACTAGGAGGCGGAGGTTGCAGTTGTAGGGGTGGGTTGCCCCTACACACCTGTGGGTGTTTCTCGTAAGGTGGGACGAGAGATTTGGAAAAGAAAAAGACACAGAGACAAAGTATAGAGAAAGAAATAAGGGGACCCGGGGAACCAGCGTTCAGCATATGGAGGATCCCGCCAGCCTCTGAGTTCCCTTAGTATTTATTGATCATCTGTGGGTGTTTCTCAAAGAGGGGGATGTGTCAGGGTCACAAGACAATTGTGGGGAGAGGGTCAGCAGACAAACACGTGAACAAAGGTCTTGGCATCATAGACAATGTAAAGGATTAAGTGCTGTGCTTTTGGATATGCATACACATAAACATCTCAATGCTTTACAAAGCAGTATTGCTGCCCGCAGGTCCCACCTCCAGCCCTAAGGCGGTTTTTCCCTATCTCAGTAGATGGAGCATACAATCGGGTTTTATACCGAGACATTCCATTGCCCAGGGACAGGCAGGAGACAGATGCCTTCCTCTTGTCTCAACTGCAAGAGGCATTCCTTCCTCTTTTACTAATCCTCCTCAGCACAGACCCTTTACAGGTGTCGGGCTGGGGGACGGTCAGGTCTTTCCCTTCCCACGAGGCCATATTTCAGACTATCACATGGGGAGAAACCTTGGACAATACCTGGCTTTCCTAGGCAGAGGTCCCTGCGGCCTTCCGCAGTTTTTGTGTCCCTGGGTACTTGAGATTAGGGAGTGGTGATGACTCTTAAGGAGCATGCTGCCTTCAAGCATCTGTTTAACAAAGCACATCCTGCACCGCCCTTAATCCATTCAACCCTGAGTTGACACAGCACACGTTTCAGAGAGCACGGGGTTTGGGGTAAGGTCATAGATTAACAGAATCTCAAGGCAGAAGAATTTTTCTTAGCACATAACAAAATGGAGTCTCCTATGTCTACTTCTTTCTACACAGACACAGTAACAATTTGATCTCTCTTGCTTTTCCCCACATTTCCCCCTTTTCTTTTCGACAAAACCGCCATCATCATCATGGCCCGTTCTCGATGGTCGCTGTCTCTTCGGAGCTGTTGGGTACACCTGCAGACTAACAACAGACAAAACAGGCACACAAGGATTAATATGAGATTTATAATCGTAGTACTTCCAATGGTCTTAACCCAAGTGACAGGGTTAAGATTTGCGAGGCCATCAGCAACTCCTGCAATTGCCTCAGTTCCTGGCACCAAATTTAAATGGGCTTTTGATGCTTCGAAAATTTGTTCTTTTAATTTGGAAATGTCTAAAGTGAGATTATCTTCTCTTCCCTGTAGATGGCGTCTAACCATGTCCCAGTGATGCTCAGACTCATTATAAATTTGGGGTGTAATACAAAAATCTGACGTATTCCAGTCACATTGTAACTGGAAACGATGTTCTAAGCTCATGAGTCTGTCTCCCATCCAAATGACAGTTTGTCTAAGATCATTAATTTGATTTGCCAATTTTTGATCAATACTAGATTGTGAATTCCACAATCTTGTAGAATTCTTTTGCCAATCATTAACAAAGTTTACTGACTGAACAGAAGAGTGCAATGCAACTCCTGCTACAGCAGCCGTAGCTGTGACTGCAATTAATCCCATAATCACTGCAATTAAAGTAAAAATGAATCTTTTGGATCTATTTAAAACACCTTTTAATACTTCAGTCAAAATATGGACGGATGGTGAGGCCTCCCACGGTCGGTCCATGGACACAGGGATCCACACGCCCTCTCTTGCTCTCACCAGCAGAATACGGTGTTGCCAATTAAAAGTTGAATCAATGCAAGTAAGCAATCTACAATTTTCACAGGTTATAGTCTGGGAGTCTGGTTTAATAACTATATTTCCTACAACTAGCATATAAGGGGGCTTTACGCAACTTTGTAAAGGAACTGTTAGACTGGAATTTAGGTCGACAGTATAAAATGGCTTACAATCTCTTGTTTCTAAAGTTTGATTTCCAGACCAAATTCTAATGTGGTGTGAGGCCACAGTAAGCCTCCATAATTCTGGATGTTCAGGACCAGAAACAGGACTTACTATTTTTGGTCTTGGGGTAGAGATTCCTTTTTCTCCCCATTCCCAAGGGTAGAAAGACTGCAATTTTTTATGCTTATGTTTGTCTAAACTTTCTGTTAAGTCGCTATCAACAGCTGGACTCACTTGTGCACTTGGACACGACTGAGTTTGTCCTGAGCAATTGTGGTAGAATTGACCTCGAGGTGCCCAATCTATAATAGTTCCAAATTCATTGTTTTATAATATCACCGCACTATTGGCCACACATTCTTCCCAAACTAAAACTTCTGTATTTTTTGATTCTTTGGGAATTTCCTTGGGGCAAGGTTTCCCTTTAGGTCTAAATTTTAATGATCTTTGATAAGAAAAGTCTTGTAAATAATTTACCCGTGGCCTGAGTGACATCCCGCTTACCATGTGATAAGTGAATCTACTGATGGGACTGACAGTAGGTACTTCTACCAACCAATTTTGGACTGCAGGCATTAAACATCCTGGTGCTCTCCCTAGGCAAATAGGAGGATAACGATACCCAATGGAAATATTTATCATCATCCCTTCTTCCTCAGGTTTGGCAGGGCAGCGATCATCTATGGGGCCAGGTACCCATACACTATCATTAACATATACTTCTATAGGATTATCCATCCATGTGACTGGTGTTACCATCTCCGTGGAGGCCCTTTTCTTTGCATCTCCGATGGGTTCATTGTAGAACTTCAAATGTCTAGTGGGTAACCAAACAGGAAGCTGATTTTCTCCTGGTGAAACACAAGCAAAACCTCTCCCCCACGTTATCACCTTCCCTATTTCCCATGTCTTATTTTTATTATCTTTCCACCAAATTAGTTTTCCTTCATGTGGGCTGTTCTTTTTACCAGTAAGATGTTGTTCTGCAGAAGTAGTAGTCTGATTTCTATAAATGTTTAAAAAATTTAAAGTATAGAGTGCTAGATTAAGTTGCATCTGAGGAGTGGTACACTCCTTACTGTCTCCCCCTTCTTTTTGTTTAACTAATTGAGTTTTGAGTGTTCTATTAGTTCTTTCAACTATGGCCTGTCCTTGGGAATTATAAGGAATTCCTGTTGTATGTGAAATTTTCCACTGACTTAAGAATTTTTGGAAAGCTTTACTACAATATCCTGGTCCATTGTCAGTTTTGATTTTTTCTGGAACTCCCATTACAGCAAAACAAGACAATAAATGTTTTTTAACATGGGAAGTACTTTCTCCTGTTTGGCAAGTTGCCCATATGAAATGTGAATAAGTATCAACTGTTACATGAACATATGATAATCTTCCAAATGAAGGTACATGCGTGACATCCATTTGCCATAATGCATTAGGACACAGACCTCTGGGATTAACTCCTGCCTCTTGAGTGGGCAGGTGTAAGACTTGACACTGGGTGCAATGTTGTACAATATCTTTTGCCTGTTTCCATGTGACATCAAATTTGTTTTTTAATCCTGCTGCATTTACATGAGTCAAAGCATGAAGTTCTTGTGCTTTTATGAGTGCAGATGATACCAGTAAGTCAGCTTGTTCATTTGCTTTAGTCAAAGGCCCTGGTAAATTAGTGTGTGCTCGAATATGAGTAATATAAAATGGGAAATTTCTTTTTCTTACAGTTTGTTGTAATAAATTGAATAGCTGGTTTAACTGATCATCCATGCTATATTTAATTAGAGCTGTCTCAACATCCCTTGTAGCCTGTACTACATATGCAGAATCTGATATAATATTGATAGGTTGGTCAAAATCTTGTAACACTGTAATGACTGCAACCAACTCTGCTCTTTGAGCCGATTGATATGGAGTTTTGATTACTCGTTCTTTCGGCCCTGTGTAAGCTGCTTTTCCATTGCTGGAACCATCAGTAAATACTGTTAGAGCATTTTCTAAAGGTTCACGTCTGGTAATTTTAGGTAGAATCCAAGTAGTCAATTTTAAGAACTGGAAGATCTTTGTTTTTGGGTAATGATTATCAATAAGTCCCACAAAATTAGCAAGACCAATCTGCCATGCACCAGAATTGATAAAGGCTTGTCTAACTTGTTCCTTGGTTAAAGGGACAACTATTTTGTCTGGGTCATTTCCACATAATTTTGTTATTCGTAATCTTGTCTGACCGATTAATGTAGCTATTTGATCCAAGTACAATGTAAAAGTCTTAACTGTACTGTGAGGAAGGAATGACCACTCCACAAGATCAGTATTTTGAATAATGATGCCTGTTGGAGAATGTGCAGTGGCAAAAATAAAAAGTTGGAGTGGGGCTAAGGGATCTATTCTATTTATTTGCGCTGACTGAATTTTTTCTTCCACTAATTTAATTTCTTTTGTTGCCTCTGGGGTTAATATTCTTTGACTATTTAAGTCTGAGTCTCCTCTTAAGATAGAGAACAAATTTGACATGGCATAAGTAGGAATGCCTAGAGTTGGCCGAATCCAATTAATATCTCCTAGTAATTTTTGAAAATCATTTAGTGTTTTTAATGTGTCTTTTCTTATTTCTATTTTTTGTGGCTTAATTTTTCTATTTTCTATCTGCATCCCTAAATAATGAAAAGGAGTAGAGGTTTGGATCTTATCAGATGCTATTGCCAGTCCAGCATTGGCAACCTCTGCTTGCAGAAATGTATAACAGTCAATTAATTTATCTTTCGTTTCTGCAGCACATAAAATATCATCAATATAATGAATAATATAACAGTCTGAAAACTTTTCTCTCACTGGTTGAAGAGCTCGACCTACAAAAGTCTGACAAATAGTTGGACTATTAAGCATTCCCTGAGGTAACACTTTCCACTGAAACCTGGTGGCTGGTTCTTTATTATTTATGGCTGGTATAGTAAAGGCAAATTTTTCACAATCCTGCTCTGCCAGAGGGATGGTAAAAAAGCAATCCTTTAGATCAATTATAATTAAAGGCCAATCTTTTGGGATCATGGCCGGAGAGGGCAACCCGGGTTGGAGAGGCCCCATGGGTTGAATTACGGCGTTTACAGCCCTTAAGTCAGTTAACATACGCCATTTGCCTGATTTCTTCTGAATTACAAACACAGGAGAATTCCAAGGTGAGAACGAAGGCTCAATGTGACCCTTTTCTAACTGTTCATTTGCTAATAAATGTAAAGCCTCCAGTTTTTGTTTTGGTAGCGGCCACTGATTTACCCACACCGGTTTTTCTGTTTTCCAAGTTAGTGGTATGGGTTTAGGAGGCTCTACAGTGACCGCCCCTAAAAAGGATACCCTATTCCTTCTCTTTCTTGATTTATTTTAGCCTCAACTGGAACTTTAATGCCATCTTCATTTTTCCCTAGTCCCTTTCCTGGTATATATCCCATCTTGGTCATGATTTTTTGACTCGTGGGGCTATATAATGGAGCGGGCATGGTGATTTCCGCACCCCATTGTTGTAATAAATCTCGACCCCACAGATTAAGAGGAATTGAAGTAATCATTGGCTGAACAGTACTTTCTTGATTATCTGGCCCTAAGCAATGTAAAATCTCCATACTTTGATACACTTCTGAGGCTGTGCCTATGCCGACAAGTCCTGTAACAGCCTTTTGTTTAGGCCAATTTTTTGGCCACTGATTTAAAGCAATGATAGAGACATCTGCTCCAGTGTCTACCAACCCTTCAAACTGTTTTCCTTGAATAATGGCCTTACACACAGGTCTGTTCTCTGAGACCTGACTTGCCCAATATGCAGCCTTTCCTGTTGGATCAGTGCTTACAAGCCCTCCTATTCTTTTTATTTCACTATTTCCACCCTTAATATATGGCAGGAGTAATAATTGAGCAATCCTGTCTCTTGGACTGGCACTCCAAGGAATTGAAGAGCTAATAACCAATTGAATTTCGCCTTTATAGTCTGAATCAACCACACTAGTATGAATTTGAACTCCTTTTAGATTTAGACTTGATCTTCCCAAGATTAGTCCTACAGTCCCCTCAGGCAGTGGGCCATATACCCCTGTAGGGATTTTTTGTGGGGGCTCCCCTGGAAGCAGAGAGACTGCTTGTATAGTACATAAATCTACTGCTGCACTGCCGCTTGTGGTGAGGGACAATTGTTGTATTGTGGTAACTGGCTTATTCCCTGAAACACTTGGGACAGTAGGGGTTGTTGTCCCTGAAAACCCTGAGGAACAAATGGCTGAATTGGGAATGCCCCAGTTTGTTGTGGGGCCTGAGGCTGGCCCCTTTGCTCGTTTCCCGACAATGGTTGCCCATTTTTATCAAATTTAGAACGACATTGACTAGCCCAATGTTTTCCTTTTTTACATCTTGGACATAAGTCAGGTGGCTCTCTACCTGTTGTAGTTGCTTGAATAGTTATATTCTGTTTGTTTAAGACTGGGCAATTCTTTTTTAAGTGACCAATTTGACCACAATTATAACATTTTCCTCCAAATGTTCTAACTTGTCCTCCTAAAACAACTCCTGTTATTGCTTGAGCCATAAGCATAGCTTTATGCATAGCTCCTCCGATTCCATCACAGGCTTTTACATATTCTGAGATTACATCTGATCCTGCAGGAACCTTTCCTTTTAATGGCTTAATGGCTGATTGACACTCAGGATTGGCGTTTTCATATGCCATCAACTCCACTATGACCTTACCGGCTTTTTCATCGGCAATTGACTTTTGAGCAACATCTTGGAGCCTTGCCACAAAATCAGGGTAGGGCTCTTTTGAACCTTGTCTTACTGTATTAAATGAGGGGCAGGTACTTCCTGGGTCTTGGATTTTTTCCCAGGCTCTAAGGCAGATAGCTCTAACTTGCTCAATGGCCTCATTTTGCATTAATGCTTGTTGACTAATAGTACTCCAATTTTGACCTATTCCTAATAGTTGATCTGCATCTATGTTAACTGGAGGATTGGCAGCCCTATTTCTTCGGACCTGTTCTTGTACCCCATCAATCCACCAAGTCTTAAATTGTAAAAATTGAGAGGGTGAGAGAGACGATTTTGCCAGAATCTCCCAATCATAAGGAATGAGTCTATGTCCATAAGCAATGGAATCTAATAATGTCCTCATATAAGGGGAGTTGGGTCCATACTGTTTTACTCCCTCTTTCATATCTTTTAGCATTTTTATCGAAAAAGACTTGTATCTGGCCTCAACTGTGGGAGGCTCTCCCTCTTGGGCTCCTTCTCCAGGTGGCATCGGTTCTAACGTTACTGGGAATTGCCATGCCTCAGTATCTCCTTCCTTTCTTGATTTATCAATAATTTCATGTAATTCACTACCCTGTCTACTAGGTGGTGCCATAGGATTAAGTCTCCTAGTGGGCGGCTGATGGTATGGCGCCCTGCCCTGTGGTGCTGGGGGCATTCCTGGATATCCATACTGACTTTCTGGGGGTGGCCGATACTGAAGTTCAGCCGGCGGCCAGTATTGATAGGCTACTGGCGGTTGGGTCTTATTTTCTTTAACCTGCTTTTGAGGTTGTAATCTTACGGGCACCTGACCTGCTGGAAGAGGACTTGTGCCTCGTGGTTTAGACTCTGATGGCCCCATTAATTCTGGACCTTTTCCTTCTAATTTTAACGTTTCAGGATATATCACCTCCTGTAATTGATTATAGTCAACATTTTGCGTTGACTGAGCCATTACCGGCTCTGCTACATATTCGCAATGTAAACTTTCGGTTTCTTTCTGGGATTTTTTCCTTGTGTTTTCATTACAATCTATTAAACAGCTTCCAGGGGCATCAGAAACTGAAATGCTATCTTCTTCTGTTTGAAATGGTTCTAAAGCTGCTTTAATAATGGCCCAATCATTCCATACTGTAAGTGGAATGATATTACCCTTCCTACCTGCTTGTTTTAGTTCCTTACCAATTCTTTTCCAATCTTTTAGATCTAAAGTTCCTTGTTCTGGAAACCATGGGCAAAATTGTTCTATTATTTGAAATAGCTTGATTAGATTTTTTGTAGATACTTTAACTCCCCCTCTTTTTAAAAGAATTTTAATAAAGCTGAGATAAGAGGCATATTTACTTTTAATTTTACTTTTAGTTTGCCCCATTATCACCCTAGCTTCTTCCGAGCGCGCAAGCTTACCGTAAGGCTGACTGTAGATGTACTCGGGATCTCTCGTCGACTTGTCCTCAATGACCACGCTCGAGCGTACCTTCACCCTAGAGAAAAGCCTCCACGTTGGGCACCAGATGTAGGGGTGGGTTGCCCCTACACACCTGTGGGTGTTTCTCGTAAGGTGGGACGAGAGATTTGGAAAAGAAAAAGACACAGAGACAAAGTATAGAGAAAGAAATAAGGGGACCCGGGGAACCAGCGTTCAGCATATGGAGGATCCCGCCAGCCTCTGAGTTCCCTTAGTATTTATTGATCATCTGTGGGTGTTTCTCAAAGAGGGGGATGTGTCAGGGTCACAAGACAATTGTAGGGAGAGGGTCAGCAGACAAACACGTGAACAAAGGTCTTGGCATCATAGACAATGTAAAGGATTAAGTGCTGTGCTTTTGGATATGCATACACATAAACATCTCAATGCTTTACAAAGCAGTATTGCTGCCCGCAGGTCCCACCTCCAGCCCTAAGGCGGTTTTTCCCTATCTCAGTAGATGGAGCATACAATCGGGTTTTATACCGAGACATTCCATTGCCCAGGGACAGGCAGGAGACAGATGCCTTCCTCTTGTCTCAACTGCAAGAGGCATTCCTTCCTCTTTTACTAATCCTCCTCAGCACAGACCCTTTACAGGTGTCGGGCTGGGGGACGGTCAGGTCTTTCCCTTCCCACGAGGCCATATTTCAGACTATCACATGGGGAGAAACCTTGGACAATACCTGGCTTTCCTAGGCAGAGGTCCCTGCGGCCTTCCGCAGTTTTTGTGTCCCTGGGTACTTGAGATTAGGGAGTGGTGATGACTCTTAAGGAGCATGCTGCCTTCAAGCATCTGTTTAACAAAGCACATCCTGCACCGCCCTTAATCCATTCAACCCTGAGTTGACACAGCACACGTTTCAGAGAGCACGGGGTTGGGGGTAAGGTCATAGATTAACAGAATCTCAAGGCAGAAGAATTTTTCTTAGCACATAACAAAATGGAGTCTCCTATGTCTACTTCTTTCTACACAGACACAGTAACAATTTGATCTCTCTTGCTTTTCCCCACAGCAGTGAGTTGAGATCATGCCACTGCACCCCAGCCTGGGTGACAGAGTGACTTTGTCTCAAAAACTAATAATAAATAAAAATTAAAATTAAAAAACCATGCAGGTTGGGTGTCCCAAATCCAAAAATCCAAAATCCAAAATGCTCTAAAATTGAAAACTTTTTGAGGACTGACATAAAGCTCAAAGGAAATACTCATTGGAGCATTTCAAATTTCAGATTTTCAGATTTGGGGTGCTCAACCTGTAATGCAGGTATTTCAAAATCTGGAAAAATCCATAATTCAAAACACTTCTGGTCCCTTATTTCAGATAAAGGATCCTCATTCTGTATAAACATATATATTGAAAGTGAGAAAGACACATACAAAGAGACAGAGAGACAGACAGACACAAGGAGGAGTGTATATTGAGCTTCTTAGCTGTAGGTACTTGGTATGTGGGGCAGTATGACTGATACCATTGTGGAAGAAATCCGTAAATTTTCTCCCTTTTGAACAGTTTGCAAACATGTTCTGTAATTGTCTTCCTCTCTACTTCTCTCCCTTTCCCCACACACCCCAGCAATCCATGTACTTAAAGTTTTTAGCTTTGTTTTGCATTTATAGGATTAATAATTATTTGGTCATAAGCACAAATACTGAAGTGATTACAGGAGAAGTAGAAAACTATAGCGGACCAAATAACAGCATAGTTATTCAAGGGCCTTACAAAGTAGAATTGTGAACAGCATCCATGTTGGTCAGTAGTCTGTACTCTGAAGGCATCCTGCCCTGGGTTTGAATTTGGCCTAAATGCCTATCCGCTTTGTGAATTTGGGCAAGTCTCTTAAGCTCTCCTAGTCCTAATGCCTAGAACACAGGACGAGTTCTGAACATAACCTCAACAAATATTAGTTTTTTGGAGGAAAAGGCAAACAGCTGTCTTTCATCAGGGCTCAAGAACTCAGACAGGAATTCTGAGAGCTTAAAATGTCATCAACCAGTACAAAGTTTGTATCAAATCATGGTAACCAAAAATTCTCTTTCAATTAAGAACAAAATAACTACTGTGCTTACATTTACTATTAACAACATGCACATAGGAAAGGATATTTCAACTAACAGAGTTCACGTAACCTTAGAATAACACACAGTTCCATAAATCAGATCCATTGAACTATGTGAACATATTAACGTGTCATTATGTTGCCTCTATTTTTTCATTTTGCCCAAAACCCAAGTGACTTCATCACAACTGTCCTCACTGCATGTTGTGTAGTACCTGCCCAGAAAACAGGAGGGTCCAAGAGCCACAGACTAAGGCATGATATGATCCTCTTGATTTTAAGGTCATCCTGTTTGAATTCCTCAAACTGACATGCAGTTGTCTCTCTTTCAAGACTAGTTAACCCAAATATTTATGTAGCTTTTCTCCTTTTCTTTCCTTTCCTCTTGTATCCCAACATTCTTCCTTCCCCTTTTCCCTATTAGTATCGTACTATAGTTTGAATTTAACTACATATTTCATTTTTCTCCCTTATCCCCAGTATTTCTCCAGGATGCCTTTTCGTTCTGGAGTTCTCTTAGAGTGTAGAAGGCAAAAAAATGGAGCAAAATAACAGTGATGCTTCAATATTTGAGCCATTTCCATCTTCTCCCTTGATATATTTATCTAAAACTCTTTTACAAATGTGACAGAAATTATATTTTGAACAAATTAAACCTATGTGTTGTATATTCATCTTCTCTATACATTATAGCTCTTCCATTAGAGACCAGGGAAGGATACACAGCAAATAACATCAAAGGGGAAAATGAGGCAAGGATATAGGGAAGTTCATTCAGAAAGCAGGAAGAAGTTGAAAGCCCATCTCTTCTGTTATCTGGTGGAGTGTAGGAAGAAGATGGGACATATAGGAAAAGCAAGGGGTGAAATGTATGCCCTGATGATGTCTCTCCTCTGAGTCATGGAGGAGGGAAGCCAGTTAGATAGGGCTTAAGGAAAGTCGAAAGCAAAGGGTCATTGCATATTTTCAATTGAGACTCTAAGAGGAGGCCAATTGCAAGGTGGTCCCATACCAGCTGGATTGTTAAGTGGCTGGAGCGGAAAAAAGGGCCTGGGTCAGCACTCTTGAATCTCCTTCAACTCCTAGAGGAAGGGTGAATGGTTTGTCAAATGGCCCACATGGGGTCCTGTCAAGGAATGCTAATGGACAACTGGTGGTGAAGGCCTCTAGAGAGACATCCTGCAATACGGCCGAAAGTTCAAAGTAGATAGTCCAGCTTGTGGGTGGAGTGGGAGGCATACCCAGACCTCATGGTCTACCCACACCATTCGCAGCTGATCGTCAGTGGGCACTGAGTGGGTCCAGAGATCCCACCACCAAATCCACCGCAGACTTCAGCACAGCCTGTTAGCCAGACACTAGATGCTGATTAAACGTACATTTCCTGGAATCTGAATTTTCCTTATTCTTGTCATCAGGAGGTCACATAAGCCCCCTCCCCTCTATCTTGATAATGATATCCTTAAGAAGGAAAGGAAATTTGAAAGACTGGTTATTTATCTTAAAGAATAAATGTAAACTTTTGGATCACAGAGAGGTTGACAAAATAAACTCAATTTAATTTTTCCCCACAATCCATAAGGATAAGCAGTTTGAAAGAAAAAGTAATTCAGGTAAGCACAATAAGGAAATGCTGTTTGCTTTGCATGGATAAAGATGATTTGTCAAATGACCAGCCTTCAAGACAGGGTATTATGCCAGTCATAAAGTATCTTATGTGACTTCATTGAGCTTTAAAGGCCATAATTCTTCTCCTCAGTATCATGTAGGAAGCACAAATATGATCAAAGGAAAAATGAAACACTTTCAGAATCCATTGTTAGGCACCTGCTATTCATGATTTCCATTTCTCTGTAGGCCTTGAACCAGGATTGATTGTAACTGTGATCCATAACTGATGCTCTAAACATCCTCCCCAAAAGCAGTCCTAGATTTTTTTTAATCTTTTAAATTTAAGTAGGTATTGGGGGAAATGTCTTGAGTACCAAAACGTTTCACAAGCCACTCTCAAAATCATGACTAGACATTACTAGACCATCTATGAAAGCTGGAGCTATTAGCGATGTGCAGTGATTGTCCCCATCACGACCAGCCCGTTTTCACCTGAATTTGAGAGGGGCAATGTGACTACATCATTCTCATCATTCCCAGACAAGTGGATTTTACTTAAAAATTAAAATTATATCATCTAGATTAATTTTAATGTAAAGGATTAAAATATGAAAAAACCCAAAAAGATAAAAATCATAATGAGAGGGTATAAAATTGTGCTTTTATCCATGTGGTCAGGACGGACATGACATTTTAAAAATAAATGATAATCTCTCAGCTTTTTAGAGCAGAATGGGCAAGCGTGTTTATTTCCCGAAATTCCTAAGTTGTGGCCATTTTCTTCCTCAAATAGAGTAATGTGATTTTATTATTGTTTTTAACTTGATTAAAATGTCAGCCACTGTCATTTATTATGGAAAGTGTGTGGGGTAT